>NC_000002.12:202641133-202944163 GCF_000001405.40 Homo sapiens | reverse complement strand
TGAAAAGTATTTAGCCATCCTCATCTTTTTATCTTTATGCATTATTACTCACGTGGCACACATTTACCCACAAAGATCAGCAAGGATATGTCTAATTCCCCATATACTAGTAGTACCTCCATTGCAGTACCTCCATTACTTTCTATTTCTTCAAGAAAACATACCAGAAAGTGGCTTGCAGGTCAGTGAGATGTTGATAAATCAAAAACAGGAGTTTAGGCCGGGCGTGGTGGCTCATGCCTGTAATCCCAGCACTTTGGGAGGCTGAGGTGGGTGGATAACGAGGTCAGGAGTTCAAGACAAGCCTGGCCAACATGGTGAAACCCTGTCTCTACTAAAAATACAAAAACTAGCCGGGTGTGGTGGCAGGTGCCTGTAACCCCAGCTACTCAGGAGGCTGAGGCAAGAGAACTGCTTGAACCCGGGAGGCGGAGGTTGCAGTGAGCCGAGATCGGGCCACTGTACTCCAGCCTTGGCGACAGAGCAAGACTCCATCTCAGAAAAAAAAAAACAAAACTGGAGTTAGCCTAATATGTGTGTGTGTGTGTGTGTGTGTGTGTGTGTGTGTGTGTGTGTACATTCCATTAAATGTAAGTTCCATGTCAACTCTGGCACTTCAGAACTAGTTACAGAATATGTTACATTTCCAATTGATCTCAAAGCACAAGTGTGCCCAAACACAGAGACTCATAAGTACTGTTTAAAGTACTATTTGTAGTCCTGAATGCAAATCTTTTAAAATCCTTACATAAAAATGAAAGTCATGGAAACAGTATTTTAAACACACTGTGGCTGGGCATGGTGGCTAACGCCTGTAATCCCAGAACTTTGAGAGGCCAAGGCGGGTGGATCACCTGAGGTCAGGAGTTTGAGGCCAGCCTGGCCAACATGGTGAAATCCTGTCTCTATTAAAAATACAAAAAAATGAGCCAGGTGTGGTCGTGGGCACCTGTAATCCCAGCTACTTGGGAGGCTTAGGCAGGAGAATCGCTTGAACTCGGAAGGCAGAGGTTGCAGTGAACCAAGATTGTGCCATTGCACTCCAGCCTGGGCAACAAGAGTGGAACTCCATCTCAAAAATAAATAAATAAATAAACACAATGTAAGTCAAAAGTGTCAAGAAATTAAGGTCATTTAGTAAGACTAATACATTTTGCTAAACGGCATAAAACTGGTTACTTATAAAATATACTCACCATTTGTGCATTGGATTCCCCCAATGACTGAAGTTCATATTGAATAGCCTGCCCATTTTGGTCCACTAGATGGAATTGCTCTGCAGAAAGAGTCTGTGTCTGAGTCAGGGGCCCTGGTATATTCTGTGATATGAGTGAATTATTTGCTTCACGAGTAGTGATGGGCAAAACTGTAGGAGAATCATTTTGTCCAAAGGAAGAATCCCTGGAGTCCATACAGATTAGATGCTTTTGTAAGGAAAAAAAAAATCACTTCAGTCTATCACCATTTTTTTTAAAGATGTGTATAATAAAAATGAAAAGACATCCATTTTTCAGTTGTTTTTACTTTTTTGTAAGAGTTGTCAATTCACACAAATTGCTATACACAGAAAGTATTTCTTAAGTAAAATTGTTGATTATTATACTTACTATCTTAATTTTACCAAAATTGTCCACAGGAATGGAACCTGAAATAACATAATTCAACCTATAGATTTTTCTCTGTATATAAAATTTTTATGAATATATCTTAGCATTAAGTTCTGTATTATAATATTAAATATATCATAAAATATGTGTATAATTAAATATTAAAATTCTTTTTTTTTTTTTGAGACGGAGTCTCTCTCTGTTGCCCAGGCAGGAGTGCAGTGGCGTGATCTCAGCTCACTGCAAGCTCTGCCTCCTGGGTTCACGCCATTCTCCTGCCTCAGCCTCCTGAGTAGCTGGGATTACAGGCACCCACCACCACGCCCAGCTAATTTTTGTATTTTTAGTAGAGACAGGGTTTCACCATGTTGGCCAGGCTGGTCTTGAACTCCTGACCTCAGGTGATACGCCCGCCTCAGCCTCCCAAAGTGCTGGGATCACAGGTGTCAGCCACCACGCCCAGCTCAAAATTCTTGAATACACTAAATATAACAGCTATCCCTTGAGCATAAAGAGCTGTTAAATGGCATGCTGTTTTACCCTAGGATGGAAAAAGGTTCCCAGCTGAATCCATACCTCAAATACTTGAGCACTGGTTTTTGACTCTTCACCGTCATTATGGTTGACTCTTAATGAATCATTAGATTGTTCCATGCTGACATCATATTCAATTCCATTTTCTTCTATTATTTAATAGCTGAAAGAGTTTAAATAGCTGATCAACTAAAGCACTTAGTATTTTTGTGGACTGTTTTATCTTAAACAAATCTCTCATATTCACTACTGTGGTACCCTATATAATTTAGGTAAAATCAATTCCATTCTATAGATTAAAAAATTAACACTTTTTAAAATGACTTGCCAAGGCACCAGAATACATTCAATGCAGGGCAAAAATTAGTGTTATATAGTTCCCTCATCCTATCTTTAACTACACTTCTGTACTGGCTTTTTAAGATTGCTTTTATGTGACAAGGTACTGGTATACCCTTTCAAATACTTCTAAAATTCTCATATTACCAGAGATTTAATGCACATAAAGTTTTTCAACTTTATGAGTTGGGTATGCCCTATTGTAGCAGTATATAATTTTAAAATAGATATCCTGGTGTAGACAGAGATTATATATATACAATTTTTACCATTAATAGACAAGCATCCCACTTAACATTAGTTTGACAAGCTTTGAAAAGGAAGATATATTTTAAAAAAGAAAATGAAGAAATATATACCAATAACTCCGAGCCACTTAGGTCTACTACAGTAGTTCTCAATTGGGGCAATTTTGTAAAGCTACAAAATCAGTCCATTTTTAATATATGGCTACAAAATATCTTTTAATTGCTTCTCGTTTTTAAGATTTTAAATTATCACTTATATCCTAATCAAGTAAAAAATCAATTGCAAAAATTCCAAAAAGCCTGTAGTTACCTTGGGCTATAGAAGTAAAAGCAATTTTATTTTATAACTTTCTGGATGGTTTTTGAATTTTATATATTATACCTATATTATTTGAGAATAAAATTATTTAGAAGGAGTTTCAAAATAAAAAGAGCCTCCCATTAGTGTCAATATGGCAAATAGATACTGTAAAAAAAACTGTCTTGCTACAAAACATACAAAACAAAAAACAGAAAGTTGACCGAAAATAAAATCTTTATTTTGTGTCCAGGCTCTGCTACAAGAAGTGCCAACAATCAAAGCCCATTCCCCACTCCAGTGACCGCCCTCCCCTCCCCCCAACTCCAAAAGATCAAAAAAAGAAGAGCTGAGCATAAACAAAGAGGAAACTTTCCCCAAGGGTAGTTCTAATACATTAGTTTTGTGGCTAAGAAACTGAAGTTGGGACAAATAGCTGGTAGGGGAGGAAAACTTAAAATTCCCAAGATAAGGATAACAATCTGAAAGGTTCTGGGTGAAGAGTGTAACCTGGCTTCTGGTAAGAAAAAAATGCAGCTACTATTTGGAGAAAAACAAACCCAATTAAGACTCCAGTATCCTTTCATATTAAGATCAATCAAATATAAGCTAACAATCAAAGAATGCCAAAAAAACAGGAAATTAGCCACCATGAGATTGAGTCACCAGATTCAGACAGCCCCTAAAGACTCCCCATATTGGAAACATCTAAGATTGAATATAATTATTCAATGTCTAAAAAAATGAACCACAGAGATAAGCAAATAATAAAAACTATCAAAAGTTTAATTTTTTAAAAAAACAGGCTGGGCACAGTGGCTCATGCTGGTAATCTCAGCATTCTGGGAGGCCCAGGTAGGTGGATCGCTTGTGGTCAGGAGTTTGAGACCAGACTGGCCAACATGGTGAAACCCTGTCTCTACTAAAAATACAAAAATTAGCTGGGCACAGTGATGCATGCCTGTAATCCTCACTACTTGGGAGGCTGAGGCAGAAGAATTGCTTAAACCCAGGAGGTGGAGGTTGCAGTGAGCTGAGATGGCGCCACTGCACTCCAGCCTGGGTGACAGAGCAAGACTTTGTCTCAAAACAAACAAACAAACAAACAAACAAAGAAACAATGAAAAACTGCTGAAACTAGGTCAATGGGCCAGAAACAGAGGTTCATGTCTGTAATCCCAGCACTTTGGGAGACCAAGGCAAGAGGATTGCTTGACACCAGGAATCTGAGACCAGCCTGGGCAACATAATGAGATCCTGTCTCTACAAAAAAATTTAACAATCAGCCATGTCTGGTGGTGTGGGTCTGCAGTCCCAGCTACTCAGGAGGCTGAGGTGGGAGGATCTCTTGAGTTCAGGAGTCTGAGGCCGCAGTGAGCCATAATCATGCCACTGCACTCCAGCCTGGGTGACATAGTGAGACCCTGTCTCAAAAAAAAAAAAAAAAAAAAAGAAAAAAAGGCAATGGGTAAGTTAAATAGATGATTAGATGCAGAAGAAATAATTATTAAATTGGAAGATAGATTTTTAAATTATCTAGACTGTATCACAGCAAAAACAGAACATAAAATGTATGACAAAGACTTAAAAATAAGAAAAATAGAAAGTATAGTATGCATATAAGTCTCAAAAGAATAGAAAAGGGAAAATGGAGGAGAGACAATATAGATGCTCTTAAACTTATGATGGAGTTACTATCCCGATAAACACACTGTGCATTGAAAATACCTTAAGTGGAAACTATTATAAGTTGAAAGTGCATTTTTGACTTACAGTATTTTCAGTTTACAATGGGTTTATCCAGATGTAATGCCATCGCCATCATAGGTTAAGGGGTATACTAAATATATATCATTTTCACACCATCATAAAGTGGAAAATCATAAGTTGAATTAATATAAGTCAGGGATCATCTGTATTTGAAGAGATAATGGCTGGCAATTTTTCAAAACTAAAGACATGAATCCACAGATAAACGAAGCCTTACTTTTAAGTATTCCAAGAGAAATAAAAAGAAACCCATACTCAATGTAGTGAACGTGCAACATTCTAAAGAGGAACAGCAAAATGCAGCTGGACAGATAAGACAGACCATAAAAACACCCCTGAGCCTAGGTAACAAAAAATACAAATTAAAGAAAGAGAGATAAGACAGACTCCCTACAGAGTATTGAAATTAGACGTACAGTGGCCTTCTTAATAGCAACATGGTAGCAGAAGTCATAGGAATAGTATTTAAGGTTTTAAGAAAGTAGATTGGCTGGGTGTGGTGGCTCATGCCTGTAATCCTAGCATTTTGGGAGGCCAAGGAGAGTGGATCGCTTGAGCCCACAAGTTTGAGATCAGCCTGCCAACATGGCGAAACCCCATCTCAAAAAAGAAAAAAAAGAAAAGTAACTATCAATAAACAATTGTATATGATCCAAACTATTTTTTTCCACTGTCTTACCTTCAGAATAACCAAAAACAAAAAAAAAACAAAAAAAACCCCCCCACAAAACCCCCCATTTTTTTTCAGAAAAGAGAGTGAAAGGAAGATACTTTAAGATTAAAAAAAAACTGAAAGTTGGCTGGGCACGGTGGCTCACCCTGTAATCCCAACACTTTTGGAGGCCGAGGCAGGCGGATCACTTGATGCCAGGAGTTCAAGACCATCCTGACCAACATGGCGAAACCCTGTCTCTGCTAAAAATAAAAAAAATAAAAAAATAAAAAAAATTAGCTGGGTGTTGTGGTGCATACCTGTAACCAGAGCTCCTCAAGTGACTAAGGCACGAAAACTGCTTGAATCTGGGAAGTGGAGGTTGCAGTAAGCCAAGATCGTGCCTTGGCACTCTAGCCTGGGCAACAGGGCAAGACTCCGTCTCAAAAAGAATCATAATAAAAAATAAAAACAAAAAACTGAGAGTTTACAATCAATGTCTCGTATATGAAAGAAATTTCTAAACAACATACTTCATATTTGATAGCACAACAGGGTAACTACCGTCAATAATTTAATTATATTTAAAAATAATTAAAAGAGTATAATTGGATTGTTTATAACACAAAGGATAAATGCTTGAAGGGATGGATAAATGCTTGAGGGGATGGATACCCCATTTTACATGCTATGATTATTATACATTGCATGTCAGTATCAAAACATTTCATGTACCCCATAAATATCTACAACTACTACAATTAAAACATTTTTTTTTTTTTTTTACAGTTGGCTGGGTGCAACGGCTCACACCTATAATCCCTGCACTTTGGGAGGCTGAGGCAGGTGGATCACCTGAGGTCAGGAGTTTGAGACCAGCCTAGCCAACATGGTGAAACCCCATCTCTACTAAAAATATAAAAACTAGCCAGGCGTGGTGGCGCACGCCTATAATTCCAGTTACTTGGGAGGCTGGGGCAAGAGAATCATTTGAACCCAAGAGACGCAGGTTGTAATGAGCCAAGATCACACCACTGCACTCTAGCCTGGGCAACAAGAGCAAGACTCTGTCTCAAAAAAATAATAAATAAACAAATAACAAAAAAAAGGAACAGTTAAGTCATGCCATACAAGCACATTATAGAAGGGAAGAGAAAAAATATACACCAAATATAAAATATTTGGTACAGGAATTACCTCTGTATTTCTTACCTGTTAGGTAACTGAATAAAGCACATTATTTTAGCAAAAAAAAATATTTCAAAAAAACAAATATTATAGCAGAAAAAAGTCCTGAGATGCTTGAAAAAATGGCAAGCAAACAAATTACAACTCTATAAAAATCTAAATAAACACTCTGTATAAAATAATAATCTCAATATTGTAATTTTGTATGTGTGTTTTAAGGACAGAAATAAAATACTATAGAACTAAAAAAAATGCATGTAACTCTACAGGGTGTGATGATAGATAATATATCAATTTATAAAATATAGCAATGATAATATGCACAATATATCAAAATCTATGGGCTGCAAAAAAGCAGTGCTCAGAGGGAAATTTAGAGCAATAAATACAACAGAATCGAGAGTCCAGAAATAACATACCTATGGTTAAATTATTTTTGACAAGGGTGCCAAAAGCATTTGATGAGGAAAGAATACTATCTTCAACAAATGGTGCCAGGACAACTGAATATCCACATGAAAACGAATGATGTTGAACTCCTACCTCATATTACATACCAAAAATAAAAAATGGATCAAAGAGCTGAATATAAGAACTAAAACCATGCAACTCTTAGAAGAAAAACATAGGGGTAAATCTTCATGTCTTTGCATTTGGTGATGGTTTCTTAGATATGGCACCAATAGGACAAGTAAAAGAGAAAACAGATAAATTGGACACCATCAAAATAAAAATTTTTGTACAAAGGTCACCATGACAAGAGTTAAAAGACAACCCATAGATGGGAAAGAATATCTGCAAATCATGTATCTGATAAGGGTCTGGAATATGTAAAGAACTCATACAATTCAACAACAAAGACTACAATCCAAAATAACCCAATTACAAAATGGGCAAAGGTAGAGCCCAAAGATAGATCAAGACCCTGTCTAAAAACAAACAAACAAACAAAATCCCATTATGCTAAGTGACAGAAGCCAAGCCACACACAAAAGGTCACATATTATATGATTCTATTTACATAAAATATCCAAAATAGGTAAATCCATAGAGAAAGAAAGTAGACTGGTGGATGCCAGAGGCTTGAGGGAAGGTATAATGGACTAATGGGTACCAAATTTTATTTTGAGGTGATGAAGATGTTTTGAAGCTCTACATGGCACTTTTGCAACTTTGTGAATGAACTGTCAGTAAATTCTTCATTTTAAAGGGATTAATTTTAAGTTATATGAATTTCACCTCAATTAAAAAAAGTAAAATAGTACCACCACAATGTGTGTGTACATATATATGCATGTGTATACACAAGCAGGAAAATATGAACGTGGACTAGATATTTGATATTAAGGAATTTTTCTTGGGATGTTCAGGCATTCCATGAAAAAAAAGGAATTTTGGGGCTGGATACAGTGGCTCACACTTACAATCCTAACACTTGGGAGGCTGAGGTGGGAGGATTACTTGAGAACAGGAATTTGAGACCAGCATGGGAGTTCAAGACCAGCCTGAGATCCCATTTCTACAAGAAACTTAATAAAAACAAATTAGCTGGGTATGGTGGCACATGTCTGTAGTCGTAATTATTTGGGAGGCTGAGGTGGGAGGATGGCACGAGCCCAGGAGTTTGAGGCTGCAGTAAGCTGTGACTGTACCACTGCAATTCAGCGTGTGCAACAGAGTGAGACTCTGTCCCTAAAGAAAGTATTTTTGGTGTTTTTAGGTATGTGAATGGTATGATAATATTAATACTTATAGATAAAATTATTAGAATGTCCAGGATTTGTTTAAAAAATATCAAAGTCAGGCTGAGCATGGTGACTCATGCGGGTAATCCCAGCACTCTGTGAGGCAGAGGTGGGTGGATCACCGGAACCCAGGAGTTTGACACTAGCCTGGGCAACATAACAAGACCCTATTTCTACTAAAGATCAAAAAAATTAGCTGGGCATGGTGGTGTGTGCCTGCAGTCCCAGCTTCTCGGCAAGCTGAGGCAGGAGATCACTTGAGCCCAGGAGCTGTGATTGTGCCACTGCACTCCAGCCTGTGTGACAAAATGAGACCTTGTCTCAAGAAAGTAAATAAATACCAAAGTCAGAGAAAAGGGTACAATTGATAGAGAAATAAATAAAACAAGATTGGTCATACACTGATAATTGTACACTGGCTTCATTTACTATTCTACTAATATATATATATATATATAAATATACAAATATAAATATAAATATAATATATATAAGTAGAATATTCTACTATTCTAATATATAAATATATAATATACAAATATATAATATATATATTAGTATAGTAAATGAATATATTATATATTATATATTTATAAAATTTATATTTATATTTAAATATATACAGGAGTATATATTATAATTATATTATATAATTATAAATAATTATATATAATTATATATTATATATAATATGTATTTTTTTTTTGAGACAAGGTCTCACTCTGGCCCTCAGGCTGGGGTGCAGTGGCGCAATCTCCACTCACTGCAACCTCTACCTCTCCAGTTCAAGCGATTCTCCCACCTCAGCTTCCCAAGTAACTGGCACTACTGGCGCACACCACCATGCCCAGCTAATTTTTGTACTGTTTGGTAGAGATGGGGTTTCACCATGTTGGCCAGGCTGGTATCGAACTCCTGACTTCAAATGATCTACCCACCTTGGCCTCCCAAAGTGCTGGGATTACAGATGTGAGTCACTGCCCAGCCTACTCCTGTATATTTTTGAAATTTCCCTTTAAAAACTTTTAGGCCAGGTGCAGTGGCTCATGCCTGTAATTCTAGCACTTTGGGAGGCCAAGGCAGGCAGACTGCTTGATCCCAGGAATTCCAGACGAGCCCGGACAACATGTTGAAACCCTGTCTCTACACACACAAAAAATTAGCCAGGTGTGGTGGCCCTCACCTGCAGTCCCAGGTAATCAGATGGCTGAGGTGGGAGGATCACTTGATCCTGGGAGGTTAAGACTGCAGTCAGCTGTGATCATAGCACTGCACTCCAGCCTAGGTGACAAAGCAAGACCTTGTCTCAAAAAACAATCAAACAGCAACAAGAAAAACCAACTTTTAAAAAAGTGGATAGAACTTAGAGCCAAATTGACAAATGTATTACATAGTGCAAGACCTCATGATAATTATCTCAGCCAAGTTAAGGAAACAGAATAAGCTTGAATTACTGGATATATTTAAAATTCATTCCAAACAATTAAAGAACGTGTGTTCCTCTCAAATTCACATGGAACTGCAAATACTAGATCTGAACCATAAAGAACATGTCATGTATCAAAACTTGTGAATACAGCTAATATAAAATTTCAAGGGAAATTTATAGCCTTTAAACTAAGCTTGTCCAACCTGTGGCCCATGGTGTGACTCAGGATGACTTAAAATGCAGCCCAACGCAAATTCATAAACTTTCTTAAAACATTATGAGATTTTTTTTTTGATATTTTTTTTAACTCATCAGCTAACATTAGTGTATTTTATGTGTGGCCCAAGACAATCCATCTTTTTCCAATGTGGTCCAGGGAAGCCAAAAGATTGGACACTCCTTCTTTAAACCCTCATATTAGGAAAGAAAGCTGTGTTCCCTGTTTGTATAGTGGTGTGTAAATTTAAAAAAAGAAAAGAAAAGAAAAGAAAGGAAAGAAAAGAAAAGCAGACTGTGGTCAAAGGATACAAAATTTCAATTACGAGGAATAAGTTCATAGTGACTACAGTTAATAGCAATATACTGTAGTCACGTCACATCAGCAAGATGGCCCACTAGAAGTCCCTAGCATTCATTTCCCCCACAAAGACAATCAAAACAATGAATAAACAACTACATTTTAACAAAAATAAATGAGGGAGAGCATTGACGAGCACAGAAACTCGGGATGGCCACATAGAGAATGGAAGGAAGCATCCGGCCTCCACCACCCAATCCCCCAACTGGGAAGAGCTAGGAACCAGGAAGAACTCCCTGCAGCAAGGAGGGAAGCAAGAGGATTCCAGTAACCAACCCTACCAATAGACCTCACCACTGAGGTTCCCTGCAGTCTTCACAGGCACCAAGCCCAGCTGAGGAAGCTCTCTGGAGTCCACACTGCTGTGCTACCCCGAGAGAAGAAACCGACACTGTGTCCCAGGCACTGTAGTTCATGTAGCTACTGTGCTATGTCATCTTGGAATCCGAACTACGGCTGGAGTGTGTCTTGCTCTGGGGCTGAGTAGCCACAGTTCCCCTTTATCCCTGAGGCTAAGCCAAGACTGAATCACACTAGCCCAGTGGCCCAACATCCCCAAGTTGAGCTGCAAACAGCTCTTATACCCCTGTACAGGGGTCGGGGGAAGCAGAGGTGGAGCCACCCCACCTACCCCTCCTATCACCCCCTCAGGCCAGAGCTGAAGCAGTATCCTGCCTCCTAGGGAAACAGTACCTTAGCTGCTCAGAGCAGTCATGCCTCTCCAGTGCATAAGGTGAAGCAACTACCCACATTCCAGGAAATGATGCCTGGGCCTCCCAGAACAGTCATGCCCCCCAGGCTTAAGCTGAAGCAGCACATGGGCCCCTGGAGAACTGGTGCTGTGGCCAAGTTGAGCAGCTGCCCATCCCAGGGCTGAGCTGACAGTATCCTGTGTCCTAGGGAAACACAGCAGTGGTTGAGCTGAGACACTCTGCCCTACAGACCAAACTTATCTAGTAGTCATCTTCCCCAGAGCTGGACTAGCCCCCTAGAGTCTGAGCTGCTAAGACACCCTTCTCCGTAGGGAGTGCAGTCATTGCTATGCTGTTCCCTACACCCCCAGGGCCTAAACAACAGTTGTACTCCACCATTCTGGGGCACTTGCTGCTGCTGCTGCTGCTGCTGCTGCAACTGGCCTCACAGAGTCTGAGATACTGCCAAGTTCCCAGGGACTACAGTTACTATTACACAGTGCTTCATCCCCCTGGGACTTGACTTACCACCGAGCCCTATTGGCTCATGTTCCCAAACTGTAGCTGTACCCTGCTCCCAAACCTCCAGGGTACCCCCTCCGTTCCCCTAGGCTTGGGCCAGTTCTGTGCCCTGCCTCTCAGAGGTAGAATCACAGCTACAACCTAGCTCCCTGGGCCTGAGCTGCTAGAGGGTATCTGAGAGTCACAGACCCTAGCTCTGTGGTCAATCTACATCCAACTCTGCCACAGAGTGCTAACCTGTACCCCAAAACTCAGGTGCCATAACAGGTTTGTGAGACTCTGATATGGTCTGGGTCCGTGTCCCCACCCAAATCTCATGTTCAATTATAACCCCCAATGTTGGAGGTGGGGCCTGGTGGGAGGTGATTGGATCATGGTGGGGGTTTCTCATGGTTTAACGTCATCTGCCCAGAGCTCTCCTTGAGATAGTGAGATCTCGTTGTTTAAGTGTGTGGCACTTCCCCACTCTTTGTCTTCCTCCTGCTCCTGCCATGTGAAATGCTGGTTCCCCCTTTGCCTTCCACCATGACTGGAAGCTTCCTGACGCCTCCCCAGTAGAAGCCACAATGCTTCCTGTACAGCCTGCAGAACCATGAACCAATTAAACCTCTTTTCTTTATAAATCACCCAGTCTCAAGTATTTGTTTATGTCACTGCAAGAACAGACTAATACAGACCCTGTGCCAGTACCTGGAACCCAGCGCTCCTGTAGCTACTTGTAGTCTATTCAGACCTGACATCTTGGTTAAGTCTTCCCTTTGGGGAGAAAATTAGAATGAGCACCCAGTTATTGGTGACGTTATTAATTAAAATTAGAATGAGCACCCAGTTATTGCTGACGTTGAATGCAGCTGAAGAAGCTGCATGGAAACTATACCACTGCACCTATCCACAAACAGACACTACACCCTTCCTGACTGGCATGATAAAACCCAACTGCAGGTGAGTGTCTTTCTCTACAAAGCTACTCTAGAAAGTTTAGAAAAGGCAATTGTTCCACCAAATAAACAGACATTGACACAGAAACACAAGGAAGTATGACGCTACCAAAGGAACATAATACAGCTGACCCTCAAACAATGCAGGAATTGGGGCACCAACTGCTCACACGGTCAAAAATGTGTGTATAACTTTTGACTGCCCAAAGGCTTAACTACTAATAGCTTACTATTGGCTGGAAGCCTTACCAATAACATAAACAGTCAATTAACATATAGTTTTATGTTATATGTATTATATACTGTATTCTTATAATTAAGTTAGCTAAATAAAAGTTTATGAAGAAAGTCATGGCCGGGAGCAGTGGCTCACACCTGTAATCCCAGCACTTTGGGAGGCCAAGGCAGGCGGATAACCTAAGGTCGAGAGTTCGAGACCAGCCTGGCCAACATGGAGAAACCCATCTCTACTAAAAATATGAAATTAGCCGGGCTTGGTGGCACATGCCTGTAAACCCAGCTACTAAGGAAGCTGAGGCAGGAGAATCGCTTGAATCAGGGGGTGGAGGTTGTGGTGAGCCGAGACTGCACCATTGCACTCCAGCCTGGGCAACAAGAGTGAAACTCCGTTGCCAAAAAAAAAAAAAAAAAAAAAAGAAAAGAAAAAAAGTCATAAGGAAGAGAAAATGTATTTACTAATCATTAAGGGGAAGTGGATCATCATAAAGGTATTCATCCTCATCATCTAAATATAAGTTGAATAGGCTAAGGGAGAGGAAGAAGAGGAGGGGTTGGTCCCACTGTCTCAGGGATGGTAGAGGCTAAAGAAAACCTGAGTACAGGACCTGTGCAGTTTAAAACCATGTTGATCAAGGGAGTTGTAACTCTAGTAACAGATTCTAATGATAAAAAGGCTACGAGTTGCCAAAAATTTTTCAAAACAATGGTCTTAAACTTAACAAGAAACAAGAAAATACAAATAGATAATTCAATGAAGTCGGAAAACAACTCACAATATGAACAAGAAATTCAACAAAGAGATACAAATAATAAAAAGAACAAAACAAAAATCCTGCTGCTGAAGAATTCAATGAATGAAATAAATACAATAGAGAGCTTCAATTAGCAGACTTGATCAAGCAGAGAGAATTTCTGAACTTGGACATAGGTCATTTGAAATTACCCAGAGAGAGAAAAGAAGGAAATAATGATGAAAATGAACAAAGAAAGTCTATAAGAATTATGGGATACCATTAAATACTGTAAAACACTGAACGAGGCCAGGTGTGGTGGCTCAGGCCTGTAATCCCAGCACTTTGGAAAGCCAAGGCAGGTGGATGACTTGGGGTCAGGAGTTGAGACAGGCCTGGCCAACATGGTGAAACCCTGTGTCTACTAAAAATACAAAAATTAGGCAGACATGGTGATGCACAACTATAATTCCGGCTATTCAGGAGGCTAAGGCATGAGAATCGCTTGAGCCCAGGAGGCAGAGGTTGGAGTGAGCCGAGATCGAGCCACTGCACTCCAGCCTGGGCGACAGATTGAGGCCCTGTCTCAAAACAAAACAAAACAAAACCCCCCACACACATTGAATGAAATAAATTGGAGAACACACACAAAAAATGGAAAGACATCGCATTTATGGAGTGGAATAATTAATATTGTGAAAATGACCATACTACCAAAGGCGATCAACAGATTCACTGCAATCCTTATAAAAATACCAATGAGCTGGGTACAATGGCACACATCCATAGTCCCAGCTACTCAGAAGGCTGAGGCAGGAGGATTGCTTGAGCCCAGGATTCCAAGGCCAGTCTGGGTACTGTAGCAAGACCCTATCTCTTAAAAAAACAAAACAACAACAACAACAAAAGCCCCGAAATCCCAATGATAGTCTTCACACAAATAGAAACAACAAAAACCTTAAAATTTGTATGGAACCACAAAAGACCTTGACTAGCCAAAGCAATCCTAAGCAAAAAGAACAAAGCTAGAAGCATCATACTATCTGGCTTCAAAATATATTACAAAGCTATATAACCAAAACATCACAGTACTGGCATAAAAACAGACACACCAATGGAAGAGAATAGAAAACAAACAAACAAACAAAATCTACGCACTTACAGCCAATTGATTTTCAACAAAGGTACCAAGAATATTCACTGGGGAAGGGACAGTCCCTTTGATAAAAGGTCCTGGGAAAACTGGATATCTGTATGCAGTAAAATGAAAGTAGACCCCTAGCTCTCACCATATATAAAAACCAACTAAAAATGGATTAAAGACTTAAATGTGAGACCTGGAACTATAAAACTACCAGAAGAAAACACAGGGGTAATGCTTCAGGACATTGGTCTAGGCAAAGATTTTTATGGCTAAGACCTCAAAAGCAAAAATAGACAAATGGATTTGTATCAAACTAAAAAGCTTTTGTACAGCAAACTAAACAAGCAACAGAGTGAAGAGACAACCTGCAGAGTGGAAGAAAATATTTGCAAACTATTCCACGAGGGATTAATAAATAAATAATTTCATTTAGAAATGGACAAATGAGCTGAACAGACATCTCTCAAAAGAAGATATACAGGCCAGGCGTGATGGCTCACACCTGTAATCCCCACATTTTGGGAGGCTGAGGCTGGAGGACTGCCTGAGGTCAGGAGTTTGAGACCAGCCTAGACAACATGGTGAAACCCTGTCTCTACAAAAACACAAAAAATTAGCCGGGGATGGTGGCACGGACCTGTGGTCCTAGCTGCTCGCACCTAAGCCCGGGAGACTGAGGCTGCAGTGAGCCGAGATTGAGCCACTGCACTCCAGCCTGGACGATAGAATGAGACCCTGTCTGACGAAGAAGACATACGAATGGTCAACGGGTATATATCTTTAAAAAAAATCTCTAAGAATCGGGTAAATACAAATCAAAATCACAATGAGCTATCATCTCACCTCGGTTAGAATGGCTATTATCAAAAAGACAAAAAATAACAAATGCTGGCAAGGATTTGGAGAAAAGGGAACTCATACACTGTTGGTGTAAATTAGTACAGCCATTATGAAAAACAGTATAGAGATTACTCAAAAAACTAAAAATAGACTACCATATGATCCAGCAATTCCACTAATGGGTAAATATCCAAAGGAAAGGAAATCAGTAAGTCAAGGAGAAAGCTGCACTCCCATGTTTATTACATCATTATTCCACAATGGTCAAGATATGGAATCAACCTAAGTGTCCGTAAACAGATAAACTGGTAAAGAAAATGTGGTATATATACACAATAGAATACTATTTAGCCATTAAAAAAAATGAAATTCTGTCATTCACAGCAACGTAGATGGGCTTAGAGGACATTATGTTTGAGAAATAAGCCAGGCACAGAAAGACAAATACTGCATGTTCTCACTCATGTGTAAAGTTAAAAGGTTGATTTCATAGAAGTAGGGAGTAGAATAATGGTTACTAGAGGTGGGGAAGGGTAGGGTAGGGAAGGGAACAGCCAAATGGTTGATGGTTACAAAGGTACAGCTAGGACAGAGTGCGGTTGCTCATGCCTGTAATCCTAGCATTTTGGGAGGTCAAGCTTGACCCCAGGCAACCTGGACAACATAGTGAGACCCCATCTCTACCAAATATAGTAATTAAAAAATTAACTGGGCATGGTGGTGTACACCCGTAGTCCTAGCTACTCAGGAGGCTTAGGTGAGGATTGCTTGAACCTGGGAGATCAAGGCTGCAGGGAGTTGTGATCACGCCGCTGGCACTCCAGCCTAGGGGACAAGAGTGAGACCCTGTCTCAAAAAAAAAAAAAAAAGACAGCTAGATAGGAGGAATAAGTTCTAGTGTTCTATAGCACTATAGGGTGACTATAATTAACAATATATCGTATATTTTCAAATAGCTAGAAGAGCAGATTTTGAATGGTCCCAATACAAAGAAATGAAAAATGTTTGAGATGATGAATATGCTAACTATCCTGATTTGATCATTACACGTTTTATACATGTATCAAAATATCACACTATACCCCATTAACTTATACAATTATGTGTCAATTAAAAATAATGAAAGAAAAAAAGCCAAAAACCCCACATTATATACTTGAAAACTGCTGCAAGAATAGATTTTAAATATTCTCACCACAAAAAAAGTATATGAGTAATACATATGTTAATTAGCCTGCTCTAACCCATCCAGGATATATACATACATCATGTTGTATATCATCAATATACACAATTTTTGTCAATTAAAAATATTTTTAAAAGCTTGCTTTTATGGAAAAAAAAAAGACTGAATTAATGAACTATGTGTCCATTTTGAAAAGCCAGAAACTAAGAAATGTGAGCACATAAAAATGAAGGCCATATTAAAGGATGTAATTCAATGAAACAGAATAAAAAGACATAATGCAGATGTCAACAACGCCACAAACTGGTTTTCTGTAGAGAAAGGGAAGGACAGGCCTCCAGAGAAAGAAAGAAAAAAAAGCACAAATAAGCCAGGCACTGTGGCTCATGCCTGTAATCCCAGCACTTTGGGAAGCCGAGATGGGCACACTGCTTGAACTCAGGAGTTCGAGACCAGCCACGGGCAACATGATGAAACCTTATCTCTACAAAAAAATATAAAAATTAGCTGGGCATGGTGGTGCATGCCTGTAGTCCCAGCTACTCAAGAGGCTAAGGTAGGAGGATCATCTGAGCCTGAGCTGCAGTGAGCTATGATTGCACCACTGCCCTCCAACCTGGGCGACAGAGCAAGACCCTGTCTCAAAAAAATAAAAATTTAGGAATAAACTTGACAAGAGATATGCAAGATATATGTATCGTAAACTACAAAACCTAGGTAGGAGAAATTAAAGAATATCTGAATGAGTGATGACATATACTGTGTCTATAAAATGGAAGACTCAATAAGATATTATATCTTCCAACTTGATCTATGTATTGTATATCATCCCAACCTAAATCCCAGTAGGTTTTTTAAAATTGAGAATCTGATCCTAAAATTCATACGGAAGTGCAAAGGTTGAACAGCCAAAACAACTTTGGAAAAGAAGACAAGGTTGGAGTTCTTACACTACTACTGATTTTTAGACTTAATACAAAGATATAACAATCAAGGTATTATGGTATCGGTGTAAAAATAGACAAATAGATCAATGGACAGAATAGACAATCCAGAAATTGACCCACACATTATCTGGCCAATTGCTTTTTTCTTTGGCTTAGCTGAGGCTTTATTTTGAAAAAACAATTGAACTAGGTTTTGTCTGTTTTTAAAATTTTGTTTTAACCAGAAGGCTCCCAAAGGTATAAACTGGTTTTCAGTTGCGAGCATGAAAAAGAGGCGGTCGTCTAGGAACCACCCTAGGTTCCCTTAAGGGTGGGCTGAGGTCCACAATTGGGCCTCAGGTGGTCTCCTGTTCCCTATGCTTCCCTGCACAGTTGCCTCCCCCACAGGCTCTGGTCGGCCAGAGGAGGTAGGTAGGCTGGGAGGAGTTGCAGTGGCATTCATTGCAGGACATCAAAGGACTCAGATACTAGCTTCCCATTGTGGATCTCGATCCTCTTCACAACCACGGCCCTGAAGGAGCTGGTGCAGCTGAAGGAGGTGGAGCCCCTGCCAGAGTCTAAGCTGGATTGGAAGGGGCCCTAGGTCATACTTGTGGCCAAAGCTTGTGAGGCCTTCGCAGGCCGAGCTCAGCCCCTTGAGTAGCCACTGGTGGTTTCTGTATGGATACTCATGTTCTGCATCCCAGACTCCACCTGGCTCTCCTTGCCTTTCAGCAGCTTCTTGTAAGTGGAGATCTTGATGTCCATGGCCAGTTTAACATTCACCAGCTCCTGTTACTCAAGCAGCTGACAGGCCATGTCTTGCTTGGCTCTCTGGAGGATGGCTTCCAGCTTGGCACTGGCATCCTTAATGGCCAGCTCCCCCTGCTACTCAGCATCTGGGATGGCAGCCTCCAAGGAAGCCCTCTGGCCTTTGAGGCCCTCATTCTCAGCCTGAAGCAAGCTGATGTTCTGGTTCATCTTAGAGATCTGTCTTCATGTGACGCAGGTCATTCTTGGCTTCCCAGGCAGCGTCTGCAGCTCCTCACACTTGATCATATTCCTAATACTCCTTGTACATGCTTTCAGTTTCAGCTCAGCTGCAGCTGGTGATCTCCTCATACTGGGCACGGACCTCGGCAAGGATGCCATTTAAATCGAGGGAGTGGCTGTTGTCCATGGACAGGACCAGGGATGTGACCAAGAACTGGGACTACAGCTCACAGATCTCCTCTTCATACAGCTGAATGAGGAAGTTGATCTTGTCAGTCAGCTCTTCCAGGTGAGATTCCAGCTCTACCTTGTTCATGTAAGCTACATTCATATCCTTCTTGATGAGGACAAATTCATTCTCCATCTCTGTAGGCTTGGTTATTTAAACTTCACACTTTTGATAGTCCTCCACTGGTCTCTCCATGTTGCCAAGTTCTGCCTCCAGCTTCAGCTGCTCCTGGCTCAGTGTGTCCAGTTGCTGCTTTAGGTTGTTGATGTAGCTCTCAAACATGCTGTCCATGTTGCTCCAAGCTACTTTTTGCTGCTGCAAAAGGATCCACTTGGTCTCCAGTATCTTGTTCTGCTGCTCCAGGAAGGGTACCTTCTCAGTGAAGGGGGCAAACTTGTTTAGGGTCTTGATCTGCAATTTCTCCGGGGTGCATACAGCCTGGGTGTTGGTGTGCACATCCAGCTTAAGGGGACTCGGGAGGCTCTGGGTCACTGTGGCAGCTGTGATGCTCCTCCATACCACCAGACCTGGCATAGCCTCCCTCCAGACCCATGCCAGTGTCCAGGCTACCCCGGAAGCTGCTGCTGTTGCCCATCCAGGAGAAGTTCTAGGAGTTAATGCAGACATCTGGCCCATTCTTGTATAAGCAGCTGCCAAGGAGGCCCTTGGCCACCAAGGGACCAGAGGTGGATACCATGTAGGACTTCTGGGTCACCCTGATAGATATGGTGGAGGATGGAGTAGAGGCAAGCAGGCTGAACTGGACAGATTCGAGATGGAGCTGAGAAGCTATTTCTAGGTGGTAGTCAATTGCTTTTTGACAAATATATCAATACATCAAGAGAAAAAGGACATTTTTTAACTAATGGTGCTAAAACAACTAAATAGCCGTATGTAAAACAATAAACCTTGACCCTTACCTCACACCAGATAGCAAATCAACTTGAAATGGATCACAGACTATCAAATGATAAAACTTCTAGAAGAAAACACAGGAGAAAATCTTTGTACCCTTGGACTTGGCAAAGATATATTAAACCTGAAACAAACAGTACAAAATATAAAAGAAAAAAATCTATGAATTAGACTTTGTCAAAATTTAAAATGTATTCTCATTACAGATGGGAAAAAATATTTGCAAAACATGTAGCTGACAAAGACCTTATATTCAAACTCTAAAGAACTTTTACAACTCAGTAAGACAACTCAACTAAAAAAATTGGCAAGATGTTTGACGATACAACTTCACTAAAGAAGATATATAGCTAGCAAGTAAGCACACAAAAGATGCTGATCAGCATTAGTCATTAGGGAAACAAAAATTAACATCACATTAGATTTAAGTCCTTAATCCATCTTGAGTTGATTTTTGTATAAGGTGAGAGATGAGGATCCAGTTTCATTCTCCTACATGTGGCTAGCCAATTATCCCAGCACCATCTGTTGAATAGGGTGTCATTTCACCACTTGAAGGTTTTGTTTGCTTTGTCGAAAATCAGTTGGCTGTTACGTATGTGGGTTTATTTCTGGGTTCTCTATTCTGTTTCATTGGTCTATGTACCTATTTTGATACCAGTACCATGCTGTTTTGGTGAGTACAGCCTTATAGTATAGTTCGAAATCAGGTAATGTAATGCCTCCGGATTTGTTCTTTTTGCTTTGTCTTGCTTTGGCTATGCGGGCTCTTTTTTAGTTCCACATGAATTTTAGGATTGTTTTTTCTAATTCTGTGAAGAATGATGGTGGTATTTTGATGGGAATTGCATTGAATTTCTAGATTGCTTTTGGCAGTATGGTCATTTTCACAGTACTGATTCTACCCATCCATGAACATGGGATATGTTTCCATTTGTATATGTTGTCTATGTTTCAGCAGTGTTTTGTAGTTTTCCTTGCAGAGGTGTTTCACCTCCTTGGTTAGGTATATTCCTAAGTATTTTACTTTTTTTGCAGCTATCGTAACAGGGGTTGAGTTCTTGATTTCACTCTCAGCTTGGCTGCTGTTGGTGTACAGGAGAGCTACCGCACAAAATTAATTGTGTACATTAATTTTGTACCCGGAAACTTTGCTGAATTCTTTATTTTTTGTTTTTTGAGATGGAGTTTCACTCTTTTGCCCAGGCTGGAGTGCAATGGCCGTGATCTCGGCTCATGGCAACCTCTGCCTCCCAGGTTCAAGCGATTCTCCTGCCTCAGCCTCCCAAGTAGCTGGGATTACAGGCATGCACCACCACACCTGGCTAATTTTGTATTTTTAGTAGAGATGGGGTTTCACCATGTTGGTCAGGCTGGTCTCAAACTCCTGACCTCAGGTGATCCGCCCACCTCAGCCTCCCAAAGTGCTGGGATTACAGGCGTGAGCCACCTCGCCTGGCCTTCTTTGCTGAATTCTTTGATCAGTTCTAGGAGCTTTCTGGAGGAGTCTTTAGAGTTTTCTAGGTAAACAATCATATCATCTGCAAACAGTGACAGTTTGACTTCCTCTTTACCAACTGGGATGCTCTTTTATTTCTTTTTTCTTTTTTGAGACAGAGTCTCACTCTGTCACCCAGGCTGGAGTGCAGTGGTGAGATCTTAATCTCAGCTCACTGCAACCTTCACCTACCGGGTTCAAGTGATTCTCATGCCTCAGCCTCCCAAGTAGCTAGGATTATAGGAGCCTGCCACCACACCCAGCTAATTTTTTTGTATTTTTAGAAGAGAAGAGGTTTCCACATGTTGACCAGGCTTGTCTGAAACTCTGGACCTAAGGTGATCCACCCACCTTGGCTTCCCAAAGTGCTGGGATTATAGGCGTGAGGCATAGCAACTGGCCTAAATGCTCTTTATTTCTTTCTCTTGTCTGACTGCTCTGGCTAGTAGGACTTCCAGTACTATATTAAAGATGAGTGGTGAGAGTGGGTATCCTTTTCTTGTTCCAGGCCAGGCTGGTAGCTCATGCCTGTAATCCCATCACTTTGGGAGGCTGGGGCAGGCAGGTCACTTGAATCCAGGAGTTCAAGACCAACCTGGCTGACATAGTGAGACCCCCATCTCTACAAAAAAATTTTTAAAAATTAGCTGGGTGTGGTGGCATGTGTCGTGGTCCCAGCTACTTAGAAAGCTGAGGTGGGGGGATTGCCTGAGCCCAGGACATTGAGGCTGCAGTGAACCATGATCATGACAGGGCAAGACCCTGTCTCAAAAGATTAAAAATTTCTTTTTAAGGGCTCAGTGTGGTGGCTAATCCCTGTAATCTTAGCACTTTGGGAAGTCAAGGTGGAAGAATGGCTTGAAGCCAGAGTTTAAGATCAGCCTGGGAAATATAATGAGATTCTGTCTCTATTGAAAAAAAAAAAAATCAGCCAGGCATGGTGGTGAGTGCCTATAGTCCCCATAGCTTCTTGGGAAGCTGAGGTGGGAGGACTGGTTGAGCTCAGGAGTTTGAGGCTACAGTGAGTCATAATCATGCCACTGCACTCCAGCCTGGGTGACAGAGTGAGACCCCATCTCAGGAAAAAAAAATTTTTCAATAAAATTTTAAGTTTTATTGTTTATGTCATTAAAACAAATATTATGTTAATATAGCAACATCAGAAAGTTAAAGTCACTTATAATTTTACAGAAATCACTATTGACATTTTTGCATATTCTTCCAGATTTTTTCTAATCATATATATTTATAAGCAGATATTCATTCACAAAATGAATTATTACTACACATCCAAGTGACTGTTCTATGTGCTGGAGATACAAGGATGATCAAGACACTTAAAGTCTCTATGTATAAAATTTATATTCTGTGTGTTTTATAACTATATCTGAATTTTTAAAATCAGGTTTATTTCATGATATCACAGAGGAACTGAACATTTTAAGTGAACTCATGTTTGCTAATTAACTAACGCAATTATGGAAAATGCAAAAGAAACTGACCTGAATATAGAGATTTAATTTAATACAAAGCTGTCTGATGGCAAGGTAATAGAAATTTCTTCAATTTACTGAGGTGTTTACATAGATCTAAAATTTTCTGGAATTAAAGAACTTTGGGCCAGGTGCAGTGGCTCACACCTGTAATCCCAGCCAGCACTTTGGGAGGCCAAGGCAGGCGGATCACAAAGTCAGGAGGTCAAGACCATCCTGGCTAACATGGTGAAACCCCGTCTCTACCAAAAATACAAAAAATGAGCCGGGCACGGTGGCACGCACTTGTAGTCCCAGCTACCTGGGAGGCTGAGGCGGGAGAATTGCTTGAACCTGGGAGGCGGAGGTTGCAGTGAGCCGAGATTGCACCACTGCACTCCAGCCTGGGCGACAGAGTGAGACTCCGTCTCAAAAAATATAATAATAATACTAAGATTTTATGTTTCTAAGAGTTGATTATCCTGATTTTTAAAATTCATTTAACTATTATTTATTGACTGACTTCCAATATGCACTACACAGAAATACAAAAGGACTCTATTAAAACAGGAAACTTTTTACAAAGTTAGATTCAACTGCAAATAAGGTCCTATTGAGGGGCTTATTAAAAATGAAATATCTATTAGGAATATAACGTTTTAAAAATTTACCTTTTTCTTGCTTTTTTCCTATTAGGAATACAATTTACTATTCTAAAGTAAATTGTCAAGAATACGATTTAAATACAGTTTAATTTTCTTTTTCTTTCTTTCCCATTTTTTTTTTGAGACGGAGTTTCACTCTTGTTGCCCAGGTTGGAGTGCAATGGCGCGATCTTGGCTCACTGCACCTGGCTTAATTTTTAAAGTAATCTGAATATTCACTGTCTAAACATGATGACATCAAGATCAAAAAAATTTCTTAATATTTCTGAGAGCTCTTTGACTTTTAAAATATAAGCACTATTATGATAGATCAATTAAGATTATGAATTTAGGACAGGCACGGTGGCTTACGCCTGTAATCCCAGCACTTTGGGAGGCCGAGGCGGGCGGATCACAAGGTCAGGAGATCAAGACCATCATGGCTAACATGGTGAAACCCCATCTCTACTAAAAATACAAAAAAACATTAGCCGGGCATGATGGTGGGCGCCTGTAGTCCCAGCTACAGGAGTCTGAGGCAGGAGAATGGCGTGAACCCGGG
The DNA here is from genome assembly GCF_000001405.40 of Homo sapiens. Lineage (NCBI taxonomy): Eukaryota > Metazoa > Chordata > Mammalia > Primates > Hominidae > Homo > Homo sapiens. The sequence continues at coordinate 202,920,244 of NC_000002.12, read as the reverse complement.
AGGCGGAGCTTGCAGTGAGCTGAGAGTGCACTACTGCACTCCAGCCTGGGCGACAGAGCGAGACCCCGTCTCAAAAAAAAAAAAAAAGATTATGAATTTAATTGTCATAGTTATAAAATAGAATGTATTGAATCTCAACTATCCTAAATAATTATTAGCTAGAATTATCAACAATCACTCTACTATTCTGTGATATAGGACCTATTATTATCATCATTTTATAGAAAAAGATGATGAGGTTCATTGCTCAAAATTATAAGGTTATCATTTATTGAGCATTTACCATAGTAAGGTACTATGCTAAAAGTGTTTTACCTATATCATTTAACCCTTTTGACAATGCTGTGATTCAGTTACCTGTTCCAATTTACATATAGGATAGGCAGATAAGTAACTTTCCCAAGATTACAAATATGCTGAGTGGCTGAGCAAGAACTCAAACCTACATGTGTTTATTTCAAAGCCCGTACTCTATTATTACAATAGGAACTTTTTCAAACCAATAAACAAAGCTCTCTTCTGCCTTTATTAGTCAAAAATCCATAGCTTTAAATCTTTTTCTGGATAGGTTAACAAATTAAAGATGTTAAAAGGAATTATTTGTTCCTTTTTGTTTTCAACTTTTGCCAGTTGAAATTTAATTAGAAGCAGTACCGTAACATACAAAAAACTCTATCTCCGACACCACCCAAAAGCTAGAGCTCTAACTATGCAGGCATTGTAGTCACTGAAAAAACATTAGGTAGAACAGATTGAGAAGTGGAGTTTAGGAAGAAGTTGTAAAAAGTGCCAATAGCTTAGGGGTAAGAATTCCAAATATTCCCAGTTTCCTGACAGGTACTCTGATCCTACTGCAAGTTACCTTTACTAGCCTAATTTTATTTTTTTTACTTTATTTACTTTTGCTCACTCACTCTGAAATTTCATCAGTAAAATTTTCATTGATGTTAATAAGCCCTTTTTCTTAAAAAGAAAAAACTTTGGAGGGAACATCAGCCATTAACAAATTGGTATAAATTTCTGTAAGGATGGATTTCTTCCTTTAAAACGAGTTAAAAAGAGCTACCCTGAGGGAGTGAAAAGTTTTACTTGGAGGTGAGAAAGCAAGTACAGGTGAGCCTCAAAGAACTTAGAGGGATTCAGCAGGCCTGCACAGGATGCTGCAGTGAAGACTGAGGGAAGTATGACTGGCTTAGGTAAGTACACTAGTTAAGGGGTGGGGAGTATGTTGACAGAGGAAGACTGCCAAACACAAACCACCTACTGCAGAATTTTGCCCATATTGAGATTTTGCCAATGGAATAAAAATAACTATATTTTCTACTGCCTTCTGGAAATGAAAATCTATGGGTTAAAGACTTTTTGTGGTTACATTGAGAAAATATTAAAGTAGTTTCTATACGGAAAAGTTGGTTTTAATATGATGACTGACCTAACCCATTGTTGAAATGAAGATTAAAAGTACATTTTTAAGTTACAGACACACTTTAAAAAAATAATTTGGATGCAGTGAAAAGTATTACCTCTTCCTTCCTCCTTTCTTCCATCAATTTGCTTTACCTTCTTTAATCCTGACAACTGCAAAGTGACTTAAAATAGCTGATTTTCCCAACTATCCTGAATGTCAGTATATGCTATAAGTTTTTATCCCTAACTGCCAATTAACTCCGTCAAAGTAAAGTTTTTTTTTGTTTTTTTTGTTTTGTTTTGTTTTGAGACGGAGTCTTGCTCTATCACCCAGTACTGGAGTGCAGTGGCACTCACTGCAAGCTCTCGGCTCACTGCAAGCTCCGCCTCCCAGGTTCACACCATTCTCCTGCCTCAGCCTCCAGAGTAGCTGGGACTATAGGCGCCCGCCACCATGCCCGGCTAATTTTTTTTGTATTTTAGTAGAGACGGGGTTTCACCGTGTTAGCCAGGATGGTCTCAATCTCCCGACCTTGTGATCCGCCCACCTCGGCCTCCCAAAGTGCTGGGATTACAGGCATGAGCCACCGCGCCTGGCCCTGTCAAAGTAAAGTTTATAAGAATGCAGATATTAATATTAAATAGCTAAGTATAAAATGTTTTTTCCAACTGATAAACATAAATAGAACAAAGCACCTATATACAAAGGGTAATTTGACTTTTTAAACATGTAATAGATAATAGTTAACTTTTTAAAATAAAGTTGTTACTTTCAATTAGTTAAAAAAAATTACCTTCAGATAGTGGCTCAGGTTTAAATTCCAGGCCTCAAGCATTCTACTACCCCCAGAAATGTCCTTTCTTGTCCACTGAAGTTCTTCCTTTTGGGGGCACTAAATCATGATAGCTGTAGCTTCATTTATGTGAAAGCTTTAATTGGGTCTTCACAGCAGCATTTTCTCTGTAATGAGAAGGTATTTAATGTATATTTTATTTTCCTACACATAAAGATAATTATTACTTTTTGTTATGCAGGTTTTATTTTAAAATAACCATTATCAGCCTGGTGTGGTAAAACTATCAATTGATTCATTTAAGAGAACTAAAGATGAGGACTGACTTTACAGGTAACTACATGTATCTTGGGACAGGTGACAATCTCTCTGTGCCTGTTTCCTTGTCTAAAATCAGGTATTTGGAATATTTAAATTCTCACGTTTTATAACTATCACTAAAACAAAGATCTCTAGCAAATTACATTTTTCATCAATGAAAATACTTACTATTAGGGTATCTTTTGGAGCCACAAGAAGCTTGAAAATAAAAGCTCTTCTCCCCATGCCCTACCTCCCAAACCCTAGAATTGACAGGCTTATTTCTTAAGCAAGCGTATTACAATTAAAGAGAGCAGAAAGAAAAAAGAAAATATTAAATATGGAGCCTAAACAGTTAATGATTGGATTTCAGAAAACACACTAAAGCATTAAATTTTGCCGGCAAATTGCTTTCTAGAATGTTTTGTTATCACATTTAAAAAGTGGATTTTATCTTATATCAAAAGTAAAGATTGGAAAGCATCTGTAAAATTAGCAGCTCAGCGCTTTTTTTTTTTTTTTTTTTTTTTTTTGAGACGGAGTCTCGCTCTGTCGCCCAGGCTGGAGTGCAGTGGCGGGATCTCGGCTCACTGCAAGCTCCGCCTCCCGGGTTCACGCCATTCTCCTGCCTCAGCCTCCCAAGTAGCTGGGACTACAGGCGCCCGCCACTACGCCCGGCTAATTTTTTTGTATTTTCAGTAGAGACAGGGTTTCACCGTGTTAGCCGGGATGGTCTCGATCTCCTGACTTCGTGATCCGCCCGCCTCGGCCTCCCAAAGTGCTGGGATTACAGGCGTGAGCCACCGCGCCCGGCGAGCTCAGCGTTTTTATTCTGGGAAGAAAGGGCTTTTTATTGTTTTTAGACAGTGAATGTATGGCAGAGGGGTAGAGACGATTCAGGTTGTTGTCATGTCTCCTTCAAGGACCATACTTGGGCCACTGCTGTTAGGATCTTATTCAACAGCAATTCTATCAGTTCAAAATTTTGGAGGCAATTTCTTATGTGTAATATCCAAAAAAAATGGTCTTAACATCCAACCATGTTGTTGAGTATCCTTCACAGACTTCTGTGTATTAAAATATTATTGTTACAACCAATAACCTTAGAATAAATCCCCAAATAGGGTAATTAAAGAGAAAGCAGCTTGAAGTTGTTTCTTTAAATTCCAGATACCTTGGTTAATGTCCTAAGATGTAAAAGATCTTTAAATCTATTCATTATCAGCGCCAGATCTTATTAACTACATTAAAAAGTATTGCTCGGCGGGATGCTGGTGGCTCACACCTGTAATCCCAGCACTTTGGGAGGCCAAGGTGGGCAGATCACGAAGTTAAGAGATTGAGACCATCCTGGCCAACGTGGTGAAACCCCATCTCTACTAAAAATACAAAAAAGTTAGCTAGGTGTGGTGGTGCGCACCTATAGTCCTAGCTACTGGGGAGGTTGAGGCAGGAGAATCGCTTGAACCTGGGAAGCACAGGTCGCAGGGAGCCAAGATTGTGCCACGGCACTACAGCCTGGCGACAGAGTGAGACTCTGTCTCAAAAATAAATAAATAAATAAATAAATAAATAAATAAAATATTGCTCAAAAGTACTTTAGAAAGTAAAATTTACCGCATCTTTTAGAGGTAAATGACATAACATTCCTTTTATAATATGTACAAAATTACTATGAATCAGTGGTGTCAAAAATGAAATCAAGACTAATTCACAAATATTTTAATAGGATAATTTATTTTTTAAGAATCAGTTTTTAAAGTTATGTTAAACATCGAACTTTTAAATGCATGCAATTATATATAAACAATAACCTATATTAATTTTTAAATTTTCTGCTGGATGCAGTGGCTCATGCCTGTAATCCCAGCGCTTTGGGAGTCTAAAGTGGGCGGATCTTGAGGTCAGGAGTTGGGAGGCCAGCCTGGCCAACATAGTGAAACCCTGTCTCTACTTAAAAAAAAACAAAAAAAAACAGGCTAGGTGCAGTGGCTCATGCCTGTAATCCCAGCACTTTGGGAGGCTGAGCAGATGGATCACAAGGTCAGGAGATTGAGACCATCCTGGCCAACATGATAAAACCCTGTGTCTACCAAAAATACAAAAATTAGCTGGGCGTGGTGGCGTGTGCCTGTAATCCCAGCTACTCGGGAGGCTGAGGCAGGGGAATTGCTTGAACCAGGGAGTTGGAGGTTGCAGTGAGCCAAGATTGCACCACTGCACTCCAGCCTGGTGACAGAGCCAGACTCCATCTCAAAAAGAAAACAAAACAAAATACAAAAATCAGCTGGGAGTGGTGGCAGGAGCCTGCAATCGCAGCTATTGGGGAGGCTGAAACACGGATCACTTGAACCTGGAAGGCAGAGGTTGCAGTGAGATGAGATCATGCCACTGCATTCCAGCCTGGGCAACAGAGCAAGACTCCACCTCAACCAGTACAGTGGCTCACGCCTGTAATCCCAGCACTTTTGAAGGCCGAGGTGGGAAGATCACAAGGTCAGGGGATCGAGACCATCCCGGCCAACATGGTGAAACCCCTTCTCTACTAAAATACAAAAAATTAGCCGGGCATGGTGGCAGGCACCTGTAGTCCCAGCTACTCGGGAAGCTGAGGCAGGAGAATCGCTTCAACCTGGAAGGCGGAGGTTGCAGTGAGCTAAGATAGCGCCACTGCACTCCAGCCTCGCGACAGAGGGAGACTCTGAAAAAAAACAAAAAACCAAAAACAAAACAACAAACACCACCACCACCACCAAAAAACCCTCCAACTCAAAAAATAAAAAAATAAAAAAAAGCACTTTTTAATTTTCAGGGAAAAAAAATCTAAGGCTGGTGTTCACAATGTCAATTTTATTTATGGTTTATTCTCACTATAAGCTTCCCTGCAATCCATTTCTACCCATGTTTTACTCTGCACAAACTTTTTACCTTTTTGCTCTGATTTTTTGTTTGTTTTTTTTTTTTGAGATGGAGTTTCACTCTTTTTGCCCAGGCTGGAGTGAAGTGGCGTGATCTTGGCTTACTGCAAACTCCACCTTCCAGGTTCAAGCAATTCTCCTGCCTCAGCCTCCCCAGTAGCTCGGATTATAGGCACCCCCCACCATGCCTGGCCAATTTTTGTATTTTTAGCAGAGACGGGGTTTCACCATGTTGGCCAGGCTGGTCTCAAACTCCTGACCTCAGGTGCTCCACCCGCCTCAGCCACCCAAAATGCTGGGATTAGGCTGCTCTTTGAGAGCTTTACAAATTTATTTAATCCTTACAATGACTCTGAGGTAGATCTTCTTGTCTCTGTTTGTAGATAAGAAAACTGGAACTGTCAAGAAACTTGCTTAAGATCACAGAGTGCATTAGGCTTGGATCCATAATCAAATTGGAAAAAAAGAAAAACACAAAGAACAATTAAGACTCCAAAGCCCTAATGCATAGTCTTTGTATCCTATCACACTGTGGCATTATATATATAAAACAAAAAACTTTATAATAAAGAGAAATGTATTTTCCAAACTGTGGTTCTCCAGATAACAATGTGTCTCCATGAGGACCATATAGTAAATACATCCCATAAAAAATGATTACCAACCAAAAGCTTGCAATTAATGTTCCAACTAAAGAAAAAGACTCAAAGTAAAAGCATCAGCTATCCTAGGTACTGTTTGGAGGCAACACCAAACACGACACATAAATCATTGTTGAAAAAAACCGTAAAACATAATGCTGGGTATTTAGTTATGTTGAATGCTAAAACTAATCTTTCCTTAACTAAAGGTCTCCGTCAAATGAAAAGTGTATTTTAGTCAAGTCAGGATTTCTGTTTTGCAAACTGAAAGTCTTATATTATTAAGCATATATTCAGGTTATTTTCCTGATCATAATTTTCAAATCAAATTAAGATCAAACTCTACTGTCAGGTACTGTATATTCTCATTTTGATAAATTTCAAATTAATGATAAAAATGTATTAACCTGCTGGTCAATTATACATTTTATAAATATATTTTAACCAATGACATATTACCAGTAAGTACAGATTCAACGGCAAGATTTCATTAAGAAAGTGTTTCAAGCTTCAGATGCCCAAGACTTATTTAATGTGTAAATCCTCACCACTACAATAACCACATGGTTAAACGATCACCACTTCCATTAGCAAGCTCAAGCCTAATAAGTGATCTCCTGGGACTTCAGCACAGAGGTTTTCTAATTTTATTCCTCCACTCAATGTGGCTATTCTCCCTTATCTATTCACGCTGGCAAAGCTTCTAGTTAAACTGGAATTAGTAACTATTTGATGATAATAATTAACATATACTGAGTGCTTCCGATGCCGCAGTTAATTCTTATAGTTGATAAAAGTGTGGCACAAAAAGGTTAATCAAGTAGCAGAGGCAGGATTTGAACCCAGGAATTCTGGTTCCAGGGCCCGGATTCGGAGCTACAAAGGTGAGTAAACTGAAAAGAGTCCTACTTTTATTGTCATTGCTCTCTAATAAAAATTATTTTTTCTTCCAATTGTTTAAATCTCTTCTCATTCTCTATTTAAATATTAGGCGTTCATTTAAACATTAGGCGTCTACCTTACAGTAGGACATCTTTAAACAACGTAAAAAAGGAAAGCTTTGTCTTCACCTGCACACATACCGGTCTGCCCATAAATTTTGCAATCCAGTTCTGCCTGATTCTAAACTGCTTGTCTCTTGAAGCGAATGCCTTAAAAAGTGACATTGGGATCAGGATAGTTATCTCCATCCATCCTCCCTCAGAAAAACAACTATATTAGAGTAATTCTTGGGACCATTGAGAACAATACACAGGCCTTTGGGTAACTTCAAGACAAAAAAGGCAAAAAGTCGGGGAGAAGGTGTGGGAGGATGATTTTCCCCTTCTAAACGTAAGGTATAAAAGGGCTCAGAAAGCGGAAAAAGAACCCTAAAAAGCAAGGTGCGGGACGGCGTGAGGGACCACACATTGGGCGCTCCGCCCAAGGGGTCCGGCTCCTTCTCCGCGGCGATGGCGCGTCCTTGGGCTCAGCAACCCTCCTGAAGACACCTAACCTCCTCCTTCTCCAGCCTGCCCCTCTGGGGCCTGCGAGCCCCGTCCCGGGCCGGGGGTCGGAAGCCGTGCCATGTGGGACCCCGAAAAGGCCCCCAAGCTTGGCGCGGAAGGCGCCGCCAGTGACCGGCTGCGGCTGGGGGCGGAGGCCGGCAGTTGCTCGGAGCTCCGGCGGGTCAGGAGGTGACGGGAGGAGGAGGAGGCAGGAGGAAGACGGGGGGTTGGGAGGTAGCGTCCGGTAGGTCTGCGCAGACAGCGCTGCCAGACCTCTGACTCCCCCAGTCCTGCCGCCGCCGATAGCCCCACAAGGCGACATGGGAAGTCCGCCGGAGCAGAGGGGAGAAAATTCAAAACGAGTCTACTCAACCTCGTCTTGGCTCCGAGGCCCCGCCATGGAGACCAGCATAATGCGCAGGCGCGCCCCACCGGGAGCGCGCAGAGCAGTCCCACGACAGTAGGACCACTATCGGCCACCGTCGACCGTTTCCTCTCTCATCCGTTCTTTTCTTTGTATTTCCGCCTCTCGCCTCTCTCTAAAAGCCGCAGTTAGAGGCGAGATTTAGGAAAAACCTCTGCCGAGTGAGCCTCTGGTTGGGAATATGTATGAGAAAAAAAAACTGGCAAGGCGTTAGTCAAGCAAAGCTGAAGGCAGAGGAAATTTGATATCTGGCTGGAGTCTAGAGGATTTAATGCAAATAAGATACTCTGAGGGCAGCGTGGCAAAAAAAGACTACAATTCCCGGTGGTCACAGCGTTTGAGAAGCGATGCTTTCTGAGACTTGTAGTAACTAGGAGCTGTGTTTGAACTATCCAGGCTCAGGACAGCCTCTTGAAAAAAAATTTTTTATTAATAAAGCGGATTTGAGTGGGATCTTTTTCCTAATCGATTACGGGCCCACACGTATGGGAAGAATTCTAACAATGATTAAAGGGACATGCTACCTTTACGACTATCCTTTTCTAATCGATGACTCCTAAATCTAGGAGTAGGTAGTCGATGTTTGTGGTCTGGGCGTCTGTAGAAGGGCAACCTCGTGCTTTCTGCAGAGGAGACCGGAGGGCAGAAGGCAGAGTCCAGGCTTAGACTGCAGTTCCTCGCTTACCTGTGCAGTCTAATTTTGAGCTGCCTCTTTGTAGTCTTAAAAGGCAGGAGCTTCGTGTTGTGGGTCTGCTAACCCGTACGTTTCCGTGGGCAAGTCGTGTGTACTCCTCGCCATGGCTCAGCTCCAAACACGCTTCTACACTGATAACAAGAAGTAAGTAAGCGTTCCAGCCTTCTCTCCCTTCCCCAGGTTCCTTTCCGACCACCCCTTTGGTATGACCTTGTGGATCCCTGGTTGTTTCTGCTGTCACCCCCACCCTTTTTTCTGAGATTACCTGCTTTCTAACCAGCTTCGTAGGTTCTATATAATTTGAATTGTGAGTGTGGAGGAGGCTGAAGGGCTTCAGGTTTGCTTTCTGAATGAAACATTTTATATGTGTAATTTAAAAATGAACAGTGGGCCTTGTTATAGGGTGTCTGCTAGTGGTGGTTCACAGTTTTTGAAAACGGAAAAAAAGTTTTTGAAAATGAAAAAACATATTTACCATTTATGTATATCTATATAGATATATAAACATTTTAACCAGTGGTCTCAAGGTCTGTTAGCACTCATTCGAAAACTAATTATATGCTGCCTTGTGGTATATATTGCATTGTTAGCTTTCTTTGTGTTTGCCTGGTCTCTTCCAACTATATTGGAAGTCTCTTGAGGGCAGGGACTATATATTAATTAAGCTTCTTGGATTGGCTGAGTCAACAAAAAATGTCAAATTTTTCAGTGAAAATGATAATATTTGTCGTGTTAATAAGCTAAAGTTAGCCATAAACTAGGAAACTCCCACCTGAGTTACATCTGTGGTTTTGTTTGTAGCTTTATGAGGAGAGCTAGTAAATCATCTTCTCTCCCCTTGTGTTGTTGCTGAAAGTATACATAAATCGTATTATCAATGCACCTGAGTATATGTACTTACTTACATACATTGCCTTAATACTTCTCTAGGAATGTGGTGATGCATTAACATAACCACTGTGTTTTTTAATTGAAAGTAGGTTTTTTTGTTTTTCTTAAAATAAAATTTTTTGAAATATGTGGGGCTTTTTTTTGTTTGTTTGGTTTGGTTTTTTTGGAGACAGAGTCTCACTCTGTTGCCCAGGCTGGACTGCAGTGGTGGGATCTTGGCTCACTGTAACCTCTGTCTCCCGGGTTCAAACAATCTTCCCGCCTCAGCCTCCAGAGTAGCTGGAATTACAGGCATGTGCCACCAAGCCTGGCTAATTTTTGTATTTTTAGTAGAGACAGGAATTTGTCTTGGTGGCCATGCTGGTCTCGAACTCCTGGCCTCAAGTGATCCGCCCACCTCGGTCTCCCAAAGTCCTGGAATTACAGGCATGACCCACTGCGTCCAGCCTTGAGATAATTGTTGATTCACATGAAGTTGTAAGAGATAATAGGCCACTGTGTTTTAACCCCTGAAATGAATGGATACATGTCATATGTGTGTGTGTGAATTTAGGCCCTCCAAAAGGTAAAAAAATGTAGAAATTAAAATTCTTTGCCGAGTGCTGTGGCTCATGTCTGTAATCCCAACAGTCTGGGAGGCTGAGGAACGCAAATCGCTTATCTCAGGAGTTTGAGACCAGCCTGAGCAACATGATGAAACCCCGTCTCTACCAAAAATACAAAAAATTTGCCAGGCATGGTGGTGCCCACCTGTGGTCCCAGCTACTTGGGAGGCTGAGGTGGGAGGATCTCTTGAGCCTGAGAGGCAGAGGTTGCAGTGAGCCAGGATCAATGCAACTGCACTCCAGCCTGGGGAACATAGTGAGACTCTATCTCAAATAAATAAATAAATAAATAAATAAATAATAAAATTCTTGCTTTTTCTTTTTGCTTAATATTATGGTCAGTAAAATGGAGGCGGGGGGCTAATATAATTGTCACACACACACACAAGAATATACATATATGTGAATTATATACATAAATATATAGCTATAGCCTTATTGCTCAAAGTGTGGTTTGAGGATCATCAGCATCATATTTGCAAAGTTGTGCAACCATCACCACAGTCAATTTTAGAACATTTTTCATCATCCTTGAGCTGTTTGTTAAATAATACCCCCAGCCCTAGGCAACCACTGATCTACTTTCTAGCTCTGTAACTTTCTCTCTTCTGGACGTTTTGAATAAATGGAATTATATAATGTGATCTTTTGTGACTGGCTTCTTTCACTTACTATGATTTTTAAAAAATGGTTTCATTATATCATAGTATATATTAGCACTTCATTCCTTTTTGTGGCCAAATAATAGGCCATTGAATGGAGGTACCATATTTTTCCATTCATCAGCTGGTGGGCATTTAGGTTGTTTATACCTTTTAGCTATTATGAATAGTTGTTATGTGAACACTCGTACAAGTTTTCGTGTGGATGTATGTTTTCGTTTCTCTTGCATATATGCTTAGGAGTGGAGTTTTTGGGTCAGATGTAATTCCATGTTTGAGTTTTTGAGGAACTGCCAGACTGTTTTCCAAAGCAACTGCACCATTTTACGTTACTGCCAGCAATAATCAGGGTTCCAATTGCTCCATATTTTCACTGACACTTGTTATTAGCTGTCTTTTTACTTATAGCACCCTAGTGGATGTGAAATTATATTTCATTGTGTTTGATTAACATTACCTGGATGACTAATGATGAGCATTTGCATGTCCCTATTGGGCCATTTTAAAATTTGTGTTGTCTTTTTATTATTGAGTTGTAAGTGTTCTTAATATAGTCTAGATACAAGTTCCTTATTAGATACATGATTTGCAAATATTTTCTCACAGTCTCTCTTATAAGAGTCTCCTAATCTGCCTCCTGTCATGTGTTCCTCTATTTCAGTGCCCATTGTGCAGCCAGAAAGATCTAACTAAATAAAATCTGATGATACTTCTAATTTGCACTGCTGTGATAGTTCTTCATTACCCACAAAAAAGAAGTAAAAATGATTTCACATGATATATAAAGCACTCCATGTGTATCTCTTTAGCCTTTGGTCACTTTGGAGCAAAGTCAGATTTTCTGGAAGTGGCTGGGCAGTTTAACAACTCCTAGCTATTGTTTTGATGTTCTCTCTGGTTTCGTCCACACTGCTTCTTCCAGCCTACCCTTCCCTCACCTGGCAAAAACTCACTTCTCTTTTGAGACAGGGTCTTGCTGTGTCACCCAGGCTGGAGTGCAGTGCAGTGGTATAATCTCAGCTCACTGCAGCCTCGACCTCCTGGGCTCAGGCAGTCCTCCCACCTCAGCCTCCCAAGTAGCTGGGACTACGGGCACATGCCACCACGCCTGGCTAATCACTTTTCTAAATGTTGCTTAACAGTTATCTTTTCTGTGGATCGTTTCTGGCCCTGCTCCCCTGCCCTCCTTTTCTGTGGTTAAAATGACCTATGGTGTCTTTGTTCTTTTTATACATGTCACCTAATGGCATTGTTCTTATATAACTTCATTCTATTTGATTACTAAACTTCAACCTCATCTTAGAACAGAGACCATGTTTTAATTCATTTTTGTTTACAACATGTAGCAAAATGTCTGGATGTCTGGCATTTATTTACCCAATAAATGTATGTTGAATTCGTAAAAGCATGTTTGTTCAAATATCTGTAGACTTGATCTTGACATATCATTTCCTTTTTATAGATATGCCGTAGATGATGTTCCCTTCTCAATCCCTGCTGCCTCTGAAATTGCCGACCTTAGTAACATCATCAATAAACTACTAAAGGACAAAAATGGTGGGTATATATGCTTAGGAGAGGGCACAGTGTCCCTAATTATTCTAAAATGCATTAAGTTTTTAGTTCCTTTTTTGGCCTTATGATACTGTATGAATTTTGTAGTGGTAAAATTTGTAAGTTATAAAGTACAGGTTCTTCTGCTGGATGATACTGTAAATACTGCTTTGAAAGAAAAGTTTTCAGAAAAAAATTTCTGTTTAATCTGTTTTTAAGGCCATGTGGAAATATGGTGGTTGTAGTTAAGGAATAAAGATTTTGGTATAAAGTTGTAATATAGAGGTAATCAAGACATTGATTGTTCTACAGAGGGCTGAGTTATGCAGGCATAAAACAAGCGTTTTAGTGCTTAGGCCCCATTTACTAGTGAAGCACAAAGCAAAATGACAATATCAGTATTTGAGTGTTTAGTGTAATATCAAAATGACAGTATGAATACCAGTATTTTATTTTTTGTGTCCAGAATTCATAAAAAAAGGATATAACAAAACATGGAAGAATATAAAACATTTAAAAGATACAAATATTAAATATATACTATTGTACTAATATAAGTTATTTGCCCATTAAATTAATATGAACAATGTATGTAAAAATATCAATGAAATAAGATTGGCTATGAGTTAATAATTGTTGAAGTTTGTAATCCCAGCACTTTGGGAGGCCGAGGCGGGTGGATCACGAGGTCAGGAGTTTGAGACCAGCCTGACCAACATGGTGAAACCCCGTCTCTACTAAAAATACAAAAATCAGCCAGGCGTGGTGGCACATGCCTGTAATCTCAGCTGCTAAGGAGGCTGAGGCAGGAGAATTGCTTGAACCCGGGAGGCGGAGGTTGCAGTGAGCCAAGATCGCACCATTGCACTCCAGCCTGGGTGATAGAGGAAGTCTCAAAAAAAAAAAAAATGTTGAAGTTTGGTGATAGGTGTAAGGAGGCTCCTTATATTATTTTCTGTATCTCATTGTAGTTTTGATTGATATTTCTGAACTTTTCCATATGTATGAAATTTTCTATAATAAAGTATTTTTTAAAAAGTAAAGAAACATTACATAAAATAGAGAAAATTTAAACATGAAACATTAAGTGATTCTCCTGCCTCATCCTCCAGAGTAGCTGGAATTACAGGTGCCCGCTACCATGCCTGGCTAATTTTTTGTACTTTTAGTAGAAACGGGGTTTCACCATTTGGCGAGGCTGGTCTCGAACTCCTGACCTCAGGTGATCCACCCTCCTGGGCCTCCCAAAGTGCTGGGATTACATGTGTGAGCCACCATGCCCAGCCAGAGGCAAGTGTATTTTTATGCAGATGTTTCCAATGCTGCAGAGCTCTTCTGACTCTACCGTAGTTGGAGGAATGAGGAGGTAAGAGTTATAAACTAATGTGTAGTATTTTCCCCATCTTCGTCTTCAAATAATCACATAATTTTTTTGTGAAATTTGAGGTGATGTTTTTGAGCAACTTTATTGGCTTGGGGTGGGGGAGGAGGGGACAGGGTTTGCAATCTTTTTATTGCTAGTTACAGTTCAATATTCAATATTCAAGGATATTTACATAGCATTTCCTGTTGCTCCTTGTTTTTGTTTTCATCATGGATATATAGAGATTCTGATGCATAGTTACCTTTATAAATTTCAAAACTGTTATATAGTCTATTTGTTGAACAAGTCTTTGAACTAGAATAAGAAATATTCTTTTTAATTTTTGTAGGTACGTGGTAGGTGTATCTATGGGGTACATTAGATATTTTGATACAGGCATATAAGGTGTAATAATCACATCAGGGTAAATGAGGTATCCATCACCTCAAGCATTTATCCTTTGTGTTACAAACAATCCAATTATACTCTTCGTTGTTTTTAAATGTATAATTAAATTATTGACTATAGTCATCCAGTTGTGCTATCAAATACAAGATCTTATTTATTCTTTCAATTCTTTTGTACCCATTAACCATCCATTTCCACTTGCCTCTCACTTCCCCCACTACCCTTCTCAGTGTCTGGTAACTCTCCTTCTACTCTGTATCTCCATGAGTTCAATGTTTTAATTTTTAGCTCCCACAAATAAGTGAGAATATGCAAAGTTTGTTTTCTGTGCCTGGCTTATTTCACTGAACATAATGACCTCCAATTCTACCCATGTTGTTGTAAATGACAGGATCTCATTCTTTTTTATGGCTGAATAGTACTCCATTGTGTAGAAGTATTGATTTCCTGATTTCTCTACTTTTGAGTATATACCTAGCAGTGCTATTGCTGGATCATATGGTAGCTCTATTTTTAGTTTTTTGAGGAATCTCCAAACTGTTCTCCATAGTAGTTGTACTAATTGACATCCCCACCAAGGTTTATGAGGGGTCCCTTTTCTCCATATCCTCACCAGCATTTTTTATGGCGTGACTTTCAGATAAAAGCCATTTTGGCCTGGCGTGGTGGCCCACGCCTGTAATCCCAGCACTTTGGGAGGCCAAGGTGGGTGGATCATGAAGTCAAGAATTTGAGACCAGCCTGGGCAAAATAGTAAACCCCATCTCTACTACAAATACAAAAATTAGCCAGGCATGGTGGCAGGTGCCTGTAAACCCAGCTACTCAGGAGGCTGAAGCAGGAGAATTGCTTGAACCCGGGAGGCGGAAGTTGTAGTGAGCCGAGCTCGTGCCACTGCACTCCAACCTGGGTGACAGAGCAGGACTCCGTCTTGGGAGGGGTGGGGAAAAACGCCATTTTATCTGGGGTGAAATGATATCTCATTGTAGTTTTGATTTGTATTTCACTGATGATCAGTGATGGTGAGCACCCTTTCATTTACCTGTTTGCCATTTGAATTTTCTTTTGAGAAATGTATGTTCAAACCTTTTGCCCAATTTTTAATCAGATTATTAAATTTTTACCTACAGAGCTTTTTGAGCTCCTTATATATTCTGGTTATTAATCCCTTGTCAGATGGGTAGTTGGCAAATAATTATTCCCATTCTGTGGGTTGTCTCTTCACTTTGTTAATTGTTTCCTTTGCTGTGCTTTTTAACCTGATGGGATCGCATTTGTCTATTTCTGCTTTGATTGCCTGTGCTTGTGTGGTATTACTCAAGAAATTTTTGCCCAGACCACTGCCCTGGGGAGTTTCCCCAATGTTTTCTTGTATTAGTTTCATAGTTCGAGGTCTTACAAATATTTAAGTCTTTAATCCCTTTTGTTTTGACTTTTGTATGTGGCAAGAGATAGGGGTCTAGTTTCATTTTTTTTGCATATGGATACCCAGTTTTTCCAGCACCATTATTGAAGAGACTGGCTGTTCCCCAGTGTAGGTTTGAGTTCACTGTAGATGTGTGGATTTGTTTTGGCTTCTCTATTCTGTTCCATTGGTGTATGTGTCTGTTTTTATGCCAGTACCATGCTGTTTTGGTTACTATAGCTCTGTAGTATAATTTGAAGTCAGGTAATGTGATTCCTCCAAGTTTGTTCTTTTTGCTTAAGGTAGCTTTGGCTATTCTGGTTCTTTTGTGGTTCCATGTAAATTTTAGGATTTTTTTTTTTCTGTGAAGAATGTCATTGGTATTTTGATAAGGATTGCATTGAATCTGTAGGTTGCTTTGGGTACTATGGACATTTTAACAATATTAAATTCTTCCAATCCATGATCCTGGAATATCTTTCCATTTTTTTGTGTCCTCTTCAATTTCTTTTTTTCTTTTTCTTTTCTTTTTTTTTTTTTTTTTTTTTTTTTTGAGACAGAGTTTCACTCTTGTTGCCCAGGTTGGAGTGCAATTGCGTAATCTCACCTCATGGCGACCTCCACCTCCCGGTTTCAAGCGATTCTCCTGCCTCAGCCTCCTGAGTAGCTGGGATTACAGGTGCCTGCCACCACGCCCAGCTAATTTTTGTATTTTTAGTACAGCCTTGGTTTCACCATGTTGGCCAGGCTGGTCACGAGCTCCTGACCTCAGGTGATCCACCCGTCTCAGCCTCCCAAAGTTCTGGGATTACAGGCATGAGCCACTGCACCCAGCCCTCTTCAATGTCTTTCATCGATGTTTTATAGTTTTTGTTGTAGAGATCTTTCACTTCTTTGGTTAATTCCTAGGTATTTTATTTGTGGCTACTGTAAGTAGAAATACTTTCTTGATTTCTTTTTCTGATTGTTCGCTGTTAGCATATAGAAATGCTACTGATTTTTGTATCATGCAACTTTACTGAATTTATCAGTCCTAATTGGTTTTTGGTAAAATAAAGATTATATCAAATATAACGTTATATCATTGATTTTTCCAA
This sequence comes from Homo sapiens, assembly GCF_000001405.40. Lineage (NCBI taxonomy): Eukaryota > Metazoa > Chordata > Mammalia > Primates > Hominidae > Homo > Homo sapiens. The sequence goes on along the minus strand of NC_000002.12, from coordinate 202,903,594 downwards.
ATATAAGATCAAATCATCTGCAAACAAGGATAATGTGACATCTTCCTCTCCAATTTGGATGCCCTTCCTCCCTCCCTCCCTCCCTCCCTCACTTCCTTCCTTCCTTCCTTCCTTCCTTCCTTCCTTCCTTCCTTCCTTCCTTCCTTCCATCTGATTGCTCTAGCTAGGACTTCCATTGCTGTGTTGAATAACAGTGGTAAAAGTGGGCATCCTTATCATGTTCCAGATGTTAGAGGAAAGGCTTTCAGTTTTTTCCCCATTTAGTATGGGGGTCTATTATATATGAATTTTATTATGTTGAAGTATGTTTTTCTATACCCAGTTTTTTGAGGGCTTTTATCATGAAAGGATGTTGAATTTTATCAAATGCTTTTTCAGCATCAATTGAAATGATCATATGCTTTTTGTCCTTCATTCTGTTGATATGATGTATATATTAGGGTTCTTTAGAGGGACAGGACTAATAGAATAGATGTATATATGAAAGAGAGATTTTTTGTTTTTTTGGTTTTTTTTGAGACGGAGTCTTGCTCTGTCGCCCAGGCTGGAGTGCAGTGGCACGATCTCGGCTCACTGCAACCTCCACCTCCCGGGTTCAAGCAATTCTCCTGCTTCAGCCTCCCGAGTAGCTGGGATTACAGGCGCGTGCCACCACACCCGGCTGGCTAATTTTTGTAGTTTTAGTAGAGACGGGGTTTCACCATGCTGGTCAGGCTGGTCTTGAACTCTTGGCCTCCCAAAGTACTGGGATTACAGGTGTGAGCCACTGCGCACAGCCGAGAGGGAGTTTATTAAGGAGTATTGACTCACACGATCACAAGATGAAGTCCTACGATAGGCTGTCTGCAAGATGAGGAGCAAGGAGGCCAGTCCGAGTCCCAAAACCTCAAAAGTAGGGAAGCCGGCAGTACAGCCTTCAGTCTATGGCCAAACACCTGAGAATCCCTGGCAAACCACTGGTCCAAGAATCCAAAAGCTGTAGAACTTGGAGTTCAATGTTTGAGGGCAGGAAGCACAGGAGTAAGATAAAGGCCTGAAGACTGATCCAGTCTAGTCCTTCCACATTCCTCTGCCTCCTTTTATCCTAGCCATGCTGGCAGCTGATTAGATGGTACCTACCCAGATAGAGGGTAGGTCTGCCTCTTCCATTCCACTGTCTCAAATGTTCATCTCGTTTGGCATCACCTTCACAGACACACCCAGGAACAATACTTTGCATCCTTCAATCCAATCAAGTTGACACTCAGTGTTAACCATCACAGTGTATTACATTGATTTGTGTATGTTGAACTATTCTTGCATCCCTGGGATAAATCTTACTTGGTCATGATGATCTTCTTAATGTGTTGTTGAATTTGGTTTGCAAGTATTTTGTTGAGGAAAGAATTATTCCTGTAAGAGAAGCTTTGCAATTCCAGTATGTTACCCAAATAGTTGGGTAACATTTTTCTAAACATATAGACCGAACATTATTCCTTCTGTATAGACTGTTACCATATTGCAACTCTGAAAGAAATGAATGTAAGTACAGTATTGGTTCTCAATAGCTGTTAATCCCGATAATTAGGTAAAAGACTGACAAGGAGCATTATGGTGGATAGAATCAGACTGATATAATCCAAGCCCTATGATGGGTCTTAATATCTTAAAAAGAGACACAACCAGAACCTATTTACATCCTGATGGGATGTAACAGGAAATAGACAATACTGCCTGTGAATATTCTTGTCAAAAAAAACCCAAAAAACCCTGAAATCTAACCAGGCATTTACCATTTACCTCTGACTAGTTTATAGGATATTTGTGTGATAAAGAAGCATGTTAAAGGACACCTTGGAGATGGAGTCAACAAAACCCAGAATGTTACAAAACAGATGACCCACTTTCATCAACAAATACATGGCAAGGAGAAAAAGGAGGAGGAACTGTTAAAGATTAAAAGAAACATTAATCAAATATAATGTATGGATTATGGATGCTGATTTTTGAAAGCTCACTGTAAAAGAACATTGACTATTTGATGTTAGAAGGAGTGATTGTTAAATTTTAAAATATTGTGACAAATTTTTGAAGTCCTTATATTTTAGAGATACATACTAAAGTATTTACAGATGAAATGATATAATTTCTGAGATTTGCTTTAAAATAAACCAGCCGGGGAATGGAGGGTGGAATATAGATGATGTCCCATTAGTTGGTGGATGTCAAAATGGGCAATAGTGATGAGATTCATTGTTATTTCTACTTTTGTGTATGTTTGAAATAATAAAAGTTTTCTAAACCAAAATAATTACACCAACAACAGTAAAAAGACATTATACTAACAGAACAAAGTATTTCTGATCTTAAAAATCACAGAGAAACTCAGGCCACACTGGGATAATAGGTACCTGTTTGTTTTGGGAGTTCTCATATACCTCTGCCAATATTACTTTAGACACTAAGAGTGATAATTTTGTTATGTATTTTCCTCAGAGTTCCACAAACATGTGGAGTTTGATTTCCTTATTAAGGGCCAGTTTCTGCGAATGCCCTTGGACAAACACATGGAAATGGAGAACATCTCATCAGTAAGTTCAAATTCTTATCTTCTGTATTTCACTTGAGGCATTATCGGCTATTGTAGGTAAACTCCTTTTAGAATCACACTGAATCTATCTTTAGTAGCAAAGATTCTTTTTAATATATTGGCTATATATGTTGTGTGTGTTATGTATTGTGTGTATATTTTATGTGTGTATTGAATATATATAGTGTGTGTGTATATATATATGTATATTCCTGTATATTCAATTTTGAAGCCCTCTTTTTTTGTGAGAGTGTTTTATTCAAGAAATAAATGAACACATTCTTTATATTTGTGGAAGAACTGGCAAGAAAGGGAATAGCAAATATGTGTGTACAAATACTGGTGCACAAAATAACTGGGCAAATATAAAAACTATGGGTTAAGTTACTGTTATTTTTCCCTTTTATTTTCAAAGTTTCCTTATATTGCTTTTATGATTAAAAATATAACTTATAATTGTTGCTTGTTTTGTGATTTTAAAAATTGTGGTAAAATATACATAACATAAAATTTAGAATTTTAACCATTTTTAAGTATACAATTCAGTGGCATTAAGTGCCTTTGCAGTATTATGCAACCATCACCATTTTCCAGAATTGTTTCCTTATCCTAAACAGAAGACCTGTACCCATTAAACAATGTGCTTTTTTTCTTAATTTTAATGTTTTCTTTTATCTTCTTTTTTTTTTTTTTTTCTGAGACAGAGTCTCCATCTGTTGCCCAGGCTGGAGTGCAATGGCACAGTCTTGGCTCACTGAAACCTCTACCTCCTGGGTACAAATGATTCTTGCGCCTCAGCCTCCAAAGTAGTGGGATTGCAGGCATCTGCCACCACGCCTGGCTAATTTTTGTATCTTCAGTAGAGACAGAGTTTCACCATGTTGGCCAGGCACATCTTGAACTCCTGATCTTAGGTGATCCACCCGTCTCGGCCTCCCAAAGTGCTGGGGTTATGGGTGTGAGCCACTGCACCTGGCCTAAGGCTTTCTTATATTCCTTTCCCCCCCATTTGCAGCATAAGTTGTACAAGGCGATTAATATTTCTTCTTTTTAAAATTTTTGTTAGGAGACAGGGTCTTGCTTTGTTGCCTGGGCTGGACTTGAACTCCTAGGCTGAAGCAGTCCTCCTGCCCCAGCTTTCCTAATGTTAATAGCTGGGACTACAGGTGTGAGTCACCATGCCAAGCTATTATTTCCTAATATCACTCTTAGCTTACAGTTAGGTCAAATAAAGTTCTTGACTTTTTGAATGGCTCCAAATTTGCTGAGTTATAAAGGGGACTAATATGAAGGATATAAAGGAGATATATTAAATTGGGGGTTATCTTCATAATGTAATATTTTAAAACTAGACCACCTGACTTGTTGCTGGTTTCTCTTGTGATTAGGAAGAAGTTGTGGAAATAGAATACGTGGAGAAGTATACTGCACCCCAGCCAGAGCAATGCATGTTCCATGATGACTGGATCAGTTCAATTAAAGGGGCAGAGGAATGGTATTGCCAGATTAATGCCCTTCTCTTTTTTTTGTTTTGTTTTTACCTCCTTCAGTCTTTTTAAATCCATATATACATATTTTTCTGTGATTTAATGTTATTTGTAAATTAATTTTGTGATCTCTGTATCAGTGGCCATGGCAAACAGAAAGATCTTTTCATTCAGTGTCTTCAAGAAGAAACAGGTGGCTGGGTGCAGTGGCTCATGCCTGTAATCCCAGCACTTTGGGAGGCCGAGGAGGGTGGATTACGAGGTTGGGAGATCGAGACCATCCTGGCTAACATGGTGAAACCCTGTCTCTACTAAAAAAGTACAAAAAATTAGCCGGGCGTGGTGGTGGGCGCCTGTAGTCCCCGCTACTTGGGAGGCTGAGGCAGGAGAATGGCGTGAACCTGGGAGGTGGAGCTTGCAGTGAGCTGAGATGGCCCCACTGCACTCAAGCCTGGGCAACAGAATGAGACTCTGTCTCAAAAAAAAAAAAAAAAAAAAAAAAAAAACCACAGGTATTTATTAATAGGTACTCTTTTTCTGTTCTGTTCAATATGTGGTAGTAACAATTATTGTTGCCTTTTTTTTTTTTTTTTTAAACGGGGTCTCTCTCTCTTGCCCAGGCTGGTCGCAAACTCCTGGGCTCAAGCAGTCCTCCTGCCTCAGCCTCCTGAATAGGTGGGATTTCTCTACACCCAGCAATATTTGTCTTCTGAATAAGTCATGTATCTTAGAGCATTTAATTTATTTGGTTCGATTATGTTGCTTTTAAGACCAAGGATATAGTTTGTTTCATAAAGGAAAAAAGTAACTTTTATAGCCATAGATCTCCTGGCCTAATACCTTAAAGATGCATAGCATACTATTTTAGGGCTAGAAGGAGCAGACTGGACTCAGCAAAGAAGGTACAGATATCTTAGGGCAAATCCTCACTGGCCTTACTTGTAGGAAAACAACTCAAGAGTAGATTATGGTAGGAGCTTCTTTCAAAGAATGCCTTCTTGGAGTTATTACATAAAGTTATATTTCTCCTAGTTTTACTTTTAGTTTAAATGGTTTTCACTGGTTAAGTACAAAATACTTCAGGTGGACAGCCAGGCGCGTGGCTCACGCCTGTAATCACAGCACTTTGGGAGCCTAAGGCAGGTGGATCACTTGAGATCAGAAGTTTGAGACCAGCCTGGCCAAAATATTGAAACCTGTCTCTACCAAAAATATAAAAAATTAGCCAGGTATGGCGGTCTGTGCCCATAGTCCCAGTTACTCGGGAGGCTGAGGCAGGAGAATCACTTGAACCCAGGAGGCAGAGGTTGCAGTGAGCTGAGATCGCGCCACTGCCTTCCAGCCTGGGCAACAGAGCAAGACTCCATCTCAAAAAGAAAAAAGAGTACTACAGGTTGGGTATTCCTTATCTGGAAATGTTTGGTACCAGAAGTATTTTGGATGTAGGATTTTTTTTGGGTGGGGGTGGTTTTGGAATATTAACATATACATAGTGAAATATTTTAGGGATGTGATCCAAGTCTAAACATGAAATTCATTTATGTTTCATATACAGCTTATACACCTAGCCTGAAAGTAATTTTATACTATGTATATATATGATATATATTTTTTATATATATATATATATTTTTTTTTTTTTTTTTTTTTGAAACGGAGTCTCGCTCTGTCACCCAGGCTGGTGTGCAGTGGCGCAATCTCGGCTCACTGCAAGCTCTGCCTCCTGGGTTCACGCCATTCTCCTGCCCCAGCCTCCTGAGTAGCTGAGACTACAGGCACCCGCCACCATGCCTGGCTAATTTTTTGTATTTTTAGTAGAGACAGGGTTTCACTGTGTTAGCCAGAATGGTCTCGATCTCCTGACCTCGTGATCCGCCTGCCTCAGCCTCCCAAAGTGCTGGGATTACAGGCGTGAGCCACCACGCCCAGCCATGCCAGGTATTATTTTTAGGAGGTTGAGAAACGTCAAGTGATCTGATCTAGTATGGCTTGAAATCTCAATCTTCATATCAAAAAAGAGTTTAAAAGTATAATCCTCAAAGTTACTTTGTCATTGCCAAAGAAACATTTCAGGGTTTGGAAAAACTGCTTTTTGTGTTTCATAAGATTTTTTTTTCTCATAGGATCTTGACTGGTTCTTATGATAAGACTTCTCGGATCTGGTCCTTGGAAGGAAAGTCAATAATGACAATTGTGGGACATACGGATGTTGTAAAAGATGTGGCCTGGGTGAAAAAAGGTTAGGACAGTTTGCCTACACTTAGAGGAATCCTAGATAGGGATTTGGAAATAAGCCATTTTTGGTGCTGGGGAAGAATGGGGAGTGGGTGGGAAGTATCTCATACCTCAGTTATTATGAGGTCTTTCAAAAAATACAGTGTTCAAGAAGAAAAAGATTATATAAAAAATTCATAAATTGTTAGAAGTGTATCTTTATTAAAATTACATCAGATAATATACATTTTCAAGTTAATATTGAATGTATTACATTCATCTTTTATTTTCTTCTGTTTTTGTTTGTTTGTTTTGTTTTGTTTTGTTTTGTTTTGTTTTTGAGATAGTCTCGCTGTGTCACCCAGGCTAGCGTGCAGTGGCATGATCTCGGCTCACTGCAACATCCACTTCCCAGGTTCAAGCGATTCTCCTGCCTCAGCCTCTCGAGTAGCTGGGACTACAGGCACCTACCATCACGCCTGGCTAATTTTTGTATTTTTAGTAGAGACGGGGTTTCACCATCTTGGCCAGGCTGATCTCGAACTCCTGACATCATGATCCACCCGCCTTGGCCTCCCAAAGTGCTGGGATTACAGGCGTGAGCCACTGCACCCAGCCTGTTTGTTTGTTTTTTGAGGCAGAGTCTCACTCTGTCGCCCAGGCTAGAGTGTAGTGGCTCCATCTCAACTCACTGCAACTTCCACCTCCTGAGTTCAAGTGATTCTCCTGCCTCAGCCTCCTGAGTGGCTGCAATTACAGGCGCCTGCCACCACACCCGGCTAATTTTTATATTTTTAGTAGAGGCAGGGTTTTGCCATGTTGGCCAGGCTGGTCTCAAACTCCTGACCTCAAGTGATCTGCCTGTGTTGGCCTCCCAAAATGTCAGTATTTACAGGCGTGAGCCACCACACCCAGTCATCGTCATCTATTTTTGAAGAATCTTTTCTTTATACCACATCAGCCTTTTAAAACCTGGCCATATGAGTTATCTTTTTAACATCTTTTTCAATAACAACAAAAAAATTTAGTTCTTTGGTTTCAGAACATGATGTATTCTAAATGGTATACTGATTTGTTTCTTATTCTTGTGTTCTCCTTTCTCCAGATAGTTTGTCCTGCTTATTATTGAGTGCTTCTATGGATCAGACTATTCTCTTATGGGAGTGGAATGTAGAGAGAAACAAAGTGAAAGCCCTACACTGCTGTAGAGGTCATGCTGGAAGTGTAGATTCTATAGCTGTTGATGGCTCAGGAACTAAAGTAAGTAGCTAGAATATTATTAGTACTCTGTTAAATTTGAATTTGAGCTTGTTGCTAAACATTTTCTTCTGCATATATTCATTGTGTTGGCCTAGTTTCCTAACAATCGGTGACAAAAGATAGGATTTCAAAGCAAGAGTAAATACTCATACAATAGGAGATAGTCACTTGCTCAGTTTGAATCCCTGGTTTAGAACCTTATATAAACTCCAGAAATTTTAAGAAATGAGGTATGGGCCGGGCGCGGTGGCTCACGCCTGTAATCCCAGCACTTTGGGAGGCCGAGGCGGGCAGATCACCTGAGGTCAGGAGTTCAAGACCAGCCTGACCCACATGGAGAAACCCTGTCTCTACTAAAAAAAAAAAAAAAAAAAATAAGCCGGGCATGGTGGCGCATGCCTGTAATCCCAGCTACTCGGGAGGCTGAGGTAGGAGAATCACTTGAACCCGGGAGACAGAGGTTGCAGTGACCGAGATTGCACCGTTGCACTCCAGCCTGGGCCCAACAAGAGTGAAACTCAGTCTCAAAAAAAAAAAAAAAAAAAAAGAAAGAAATGAAGTAAACAAGCCATTCATTTATATAACCTTCTTACCTCATAGTAATTGACATATTTCCAGTCTATATCAGCTACTCTTAAGTGCTGTCATCAACTGAAAACGCCTAGTTGATAGTCTGAGCATTAGCATACACTAAAGTTAGTGCTAATAGAGTTTTACTATAGTATCAATCTACTCTTTATCATGACAAAATGGTAAAAGTTAGTTAAAAGGTAACAAACCTGAGGGCAATACCATATTGATTTATTAATATGAAGGGTTATAAATCCACTTAGAATTTGAAAGTTTCCTAAGCCACATTGAAGTATTCTGGACTTAAGAGTGTTTCTTTGACAGTTAGGGTAACAGGATGCTTGTATTCAAAGGTGAAGATTTATGATTTTTCATATTGAGCCGAAAAGTTTTATATGTTGTTTAGTCCAAACTTTAGTGGATTAACTGTACCTCTTCTTTTTGGTTAAGGAGAGATAGAAACTCAACTTGAACTTATTTAACCTTAAAAGTAAATGGATTGTGAGATCCAAGGAAAGATTGAACAACCACATCACAAGAAGGGTAATGGTGCATTTGGGCCTCAGGAACCAGTGGAATAGAGGCTTGAATGTGGTCCGCACACCCTCTCGCTGTCTTGTCCCTCAAGTTGACTTTATTCTCTCTCACTTCAGATTGGCTTTCTTCAAAAGACATGGCAATAAGCTTGGCCTTCAAGATTTCCCAGATTTTATGTTCTGTCCTATCTGCCCCTGGAAAAAGGCTAATTTCAGTTCTGTGGAACACAAGTTCTTTGAAAAGGTCCTGAATGAGGAAGAGACCTACTGTTGTAGGCAAATAATATGAATCATATTACATATGTCTTTTCCCTTCATATACATCTGTTTAGTTTTGCAGTGGCTCCTGGGATAAGATGCTAAAGATCTGGTCTACAGGTAAATTAAATATTTATTTTACCTTGACTTAATAATGTTGTTTCAAAAATTTAAATTCGGAGGCTATATGGTGGCTTACGCCTATAATCTCAGCACTTCAGGAAGCCAGGGTAGAAGGATCACTTGAGGCCACGAGTTCAAGAGCAGCCTAGGCCACATAGTGAGACCCCGTCTCTACTAAAAGTAGAAAATTAAAATTAGCAAGGTGTGGTGGTATGCACCGGTAGTCCTAGCTCCTTGGGAGGCTGAGGTAAGGGGATTGTTTGAGCCTAGGAGTTTGAGGTTTCAGTGAGCTATGATACCATGCCACTGCACTTCAGCCAGGGTGATGGAGTGAGAACCTGTCTCAAAAAAAAAAAATCAGTTTAGTGAAAGGGGACTTTTTAACCCATATTTTGCCATAAAAAGAGACCAGTATGGCAACAAATTCATATATTTCTTTGTGTTTCAAGATTTTTTTTTTCCTACCCCACCACCCCCTTACTTACAGGATAGTGTCACTGAATTGCAAGTATCAAAAACATGTTTGGTGCAATAGGACATAAATACCTTGATTCTCAAAGTTCTCTTATTCAGGAAACTTGGAAGTAAATAAAAATACTTTCCGAGCCATTTTGACTTAAGTAATGTAAGAATGACTTTTGAGTCATTTTACTGTTAATTTCTTAGGTAAGCTGGTTTACTTAAAAAAATTTTTCAATGCAGTTTTACCAATATTAATATTTTTACTCTGAAAGCATAGATTAAAAGGAGCAAATTGAGGGAGGAGGAGGAAGGACTTTGAGAGGAAGGTGCTTTCATAGTAGTAAGAAGACACTGATGAGAAGAAAAGAGGAAAAAACACACACCCATAGATACTTACATTTTAAGACCTAGTAGCTACAACTATTTATTGCATAGGTAAACAAATCAGAATACCTCTGTTACTTTTTAGGTAATTGCTGTGTTACACAGTATAATACCCCAAATGCATTTCACAAAGACTTGAGGGGGATCAAGAAAAGCTTAACCAGTTTTGAATAATTATGTGTAAGATGGTGGGAAATATATAATCCGTTTTAGTAGATTTTACAAAAATGATGAAAGCAAATAATTTGGTGGCAAAAAGTGATTTAGTTTAGAAAATTCTTTAGTAGAATTTTTTATTTTTTGATAGGGCTGAGTAAATGAGATTGTATATGATTAGCTATTAACTTTAAGTGGTTTATAATCTAGTTTGAGAAATATTAATATCCATAAAAGCCACAAAACGTTTTAATGTTTTACATATTTTGTTACATATTTAATGTAACATAATATGCATGTTACTATATATAACATATAATGTAACATACATTACATATTTAATGTTGCATATTTTATGTAGTTTTCAATCTGGGTTTGCTGCTTAACCAAGTGATGTATAACAAAGATTTTAAAAACTCAAAAAAACCAGAAACATTTTTGGTAGAAAAATGAAATTAAGAGAATAAACATGGCTGAAATGTATGTGCGTTTATCATGTGTTTACTTTATCCTTCCCTCCTTCATAATGTAAATGTAATGTCATAACTCTCCTACAACTAACAGTAAGCAATTTTTCATAGCTATGATAAAATGATAAATATTTATAATGATGACCTTAAAGATAGCAAGATTTTAAATTACTTAGATTTTAGTTTTCTAATATAGTTTATGTTTTATTTTTTATTTTTAGAGATTGGTAATCTAGGTAATATTTTATATATAACTTTCTGTTAACCAAAATGATGAGGAATATTCATTCCCTAACTGTGTGATAACGTGGAAAAACTATATCTGGAAATGTAAAGAATTCTTTCAGACAGTTCACGATTAATACTGTTTTTAAAATGTCAAATCTAATTCTCTATGACACAGTCCCTACAGATGAAGAAGATGAAATGGAGGAGTCCACAAATCGACCAAGAAAGAAACAGAAGACAGAACAGTTGGGACTAACAAGGGTCAGTATTTGTGAGAACTGACTGTACTTGCCTTAGGCCTGTGTTGACAAATAGATGGTAATTTAATATGGTCTTTTTTGTTTATGTTGCCTTCTGTCTTACCTTGCTGCTTTAACCATGATTATCCTTTTTTTCAGTAGACTTGTAAATTTTTATTATAAGCAAAGTATTGTTGCTACATTTATTTGTATCTTTGAATGTAGTGGCATTGAGCCAGGCTTATGGTTGCTAGGTTGATGATTTAGTTATTATGTTTGATCTCATGTTGCATTCTGGACCTTTTAATTATTAAAACTTACACTAAAGTGAAGCATCTAATTACCTGGCTGTTGGATAATATTATCTGTTTCATGCACTGAGTATGTAATTTTTATAAGGGATCCTAGTTATATCTTCTAAATCACTAGAAACCAAGAGTTTAATTTGGGATTTGATTCTGTCATTTAGCTGTTAGATTCCATTAAGTCAAACTCAGAAAGTTTATCCAGATTTTTTCTTACTTTTAAAAATACTTAATTGATAAAGATTGAACATATTCAACGTGTACTACATGATTAGATACACATAAACATTGTGTAATGATTACTGCAATCAAATTAATTAACACATCCATCACCACCCATGCTGTACATTAGATCCCCAGAACTTGTTCATCTTATAACCGAAAGTTTGTGCCCTTGGACCAACATTTCCCCATTTCCTCACACTCCAGTTCCCGGCAACCACTGTTGTACTCTGTGCTTCCATGAGTTTGACTTTTCATGCAGATTATTATTTATCCTGTTACAAAGATATTTGTTATAATGTGACCTGACCTGTATTTATATACTTTTTGTGAAGGGCAATACTGAGTCAGGTTTAGAAAAACACTTTTCATTCATTTTCTAATAGCTATAATGAATGTGCAGTAAATAAAGCACACATTTGCACATTAATTCTTATAGTCACCAATAAAATATCTTGTAAAAATTGTTGAAAATGAATAAAATGGGATCATAAATTATTTATCAAATAGAATGTAATATTAGCGCTTACTGGTTCCAGCTGAAAGTAATGATTTATAATTTCTTAATACATTTAAACATAGACTGATGAATTGCAAGAGGAAAGATCTGGCACTTACTCAACTTCTTTACTCTGGTAGGCTAAATTAAAGCTAGAAATGGAGGCCAACTGTGGTGGCTCAGGCCTATAATCCCAGCACTTTGGGAGGCCAAGGCGGGCAGATTGCTTGAGCTCAGGAGTTTGAGAGCAGCCTGGGCAACATGGTGATACCCTGTCTCTACAAAAAATTTTTTAAAAGTTAGCTGGATGTGGTGGCTTGCACCTGTGGTCCCAGCTACGCCCAGCCCAGGAGGCAGAGGTTGCAGTGAGCCAAGATTGCACCACTGGACTCTAGCCTGAGCAACAGAGTGAGACCCTGTCTCAAAAAATAAAATAAAAAATAAAGCTAGAAATGCCTTACCATTTGGATATTGTGCCAGTGGGAGTTTATATTCATGCATGTCCCTGGTCAAACTTTTAAAGAACATATCTGAGTAGGAAAAGATTTCCTGAGTTATAAAAATGTTTTACTGAGAAGGTAGCTCTTTTATTCTCTTTTTTTTTTTTTTTTTTTTTAAAGAGACAAAGTCTTGCTCTGTTGCCCAGGCTGGAGTGCAGTGGCACAATCATAGCTCACTATAACCTCAAACTCCTGGCCTCAGGTGATCCTCCCACCTCCACCTCCCAAAGTTCTGGGATTACAGGCTTGAGCCACCATGCTCTGCCAATTTTTTCTCTTTTTAAAGTTTGGCATGTAGCTTAAATGTTGCTCAATGAAAAAAAAAATTTTTTTTTTTTTTTTGAGACGGAGTCTCGCTCTGTCACCCAGGCTGGAGTGCAGTGGCGTGATCTCGGCTCACTGCAAGCTCCGCCCCCCGGGTTCACGCCATTCTCCTGCCTCAGCCTCCTGAGTAGCTGGGATTATAGGCACCCGCCACCATGCCTGGCTAATTTTTTGTATTTTTTTTGTAGAGACGGGGTTTCACCCTGTTAGCCAGGATGGTCTCGATCTCCTGACCTCGTGATCCACCCGCCTCGGCCTCCCAAAGTGCTGGGATTACAGGCGTGAGCCACCACACCCGGCCTGCTCAATGAATTTTTATAAATATGTATACTCAAGTAATTACTACCCAAATAAAAATATAGATATACCAGTACCCTAGATGTCTGCCTCTAGCCTGCCTCTCAACCAGTAGCTCCCTAAAGGTAATCACTTTTGAGTTGTGCCATCTTAGATTAGTTTTACCTATTTTTAAAATTTCATATGATATCTGTAAGATAGATCTTTTCATTAATATATGGCATTCCATTGCAGCATCAATATGCCACAATTTATCCATTATTGAGATAGGGTCTCACTCTGTCACCCAGGCTGGAGTACAGTGGCCTGATCATGGCTCACTGCAGCCTCAGCCTCCCCAGACTGAGGTGATCTTCCCACCCCAGCCTCCTGAGTAGCTAGGACTATAGGTGCATGCCACCATACCCAACTAATTTTTCTTTTTTTTTGTAGATATTGGGTTTTGTCATGTCACCCAGGTTGGTCTTGAACTCCTGGGCTCAAGTGATCTGCTTGCCTCAGCCTCCGAAAGCCTCTCAAAGTGGTGGGATTACAGACTTGAGCCAATACGCTCAGGCTATTTATTATTCTTTTGATGGACGTTTCTTTCCCCCCTTTTGAGAGGAGTGGTGCAGTGGCATAATCATGGCTCAGCTGCAGCCTCAACCTCCAGGGCTCACACAATCCTCACGCCTCAGCCTCTTGAGTAGCTGGAACTACAGGTGCATGCCACCATGCCCTGGCTAATTTTTTTTTTTTTTAAAGAGATGGGGTCTTGTTATATTGCCCAGGCTGGTCTTGAACTCCTGACCTCAAGCAGTCCTCCCACCTCGGCCTTCCAAAGTGCTGGGATTACGGGCGTGAGCTACCATGCCTGGCTGTTACTCCACATCTTTACCAGCACTTGATATGGTTACTTATTAAAGTCATGATTAACTTTTAATAAGCCCTGGATCTTTGATAATTATGAAATGTTCATATTTTTAGCTAATTTTTAAGTTGTTGTTATTCATTTTTTTATAGAGATGGTGTCTTGCTTTGTTGCCCGAGCTGTCTCAAACTCCTGGGCTGAAGCAGTCCTCCCACCTCATAGCCCATTTTTTAAAAGTGTTGGCTCTATTTTACTTATTGATTTTTTTGTTGTTGTTGTTTTGCTTTGTTTTTACTTACTGATTTGTAAGAGTTATTTATGTATTCTGGATTCAAGTTCTTTGCTGAATATATGTATTTAAGTATTTTCTCCCACTCTACTTTGCTGATACCATTTATTTCTAGGTGCATACTTTCGTAAGCTTGCTCCCATAGTTCATTTCGTTTGAGAGAAATAATAGTATATTGAGTTTCTCATTTAGCTTTTTTCCTCCTTTCACTGATTTTTCCTGAGAAATCATTTAGCTTTTTATAGGGTTTAAATTTATACATGCATAAATTATTAGTTTAAGTCATGCCAGAAACCTTTGAAGTGCCAATTACAATGAAAATGTTGCTGCGTTAGAAATAATAGAAAAATTTGGGGCCCGAGAAGGTGGCTAACACCTGTACTTTGAAGCCAACACTGGAGGATCACTTGAGCCTAGGAGTTTGAGACCAGCCTGGGCAACATAGCAAGACCCCATCTCTAAAAATTTAAAAATTAGCCAGGCATGGTAGTGTGCATCTGTATTCCCAGCTACTTGAGAGGTTGAAGTGGGAGGATCACTTGAGCCCAGGAAGTCAAGGCTGCTGTGAGTTACGATTGCACCACTGCACTCCAGTTTGGGCGACAGAGTGAGGCCTTGTCTCAAAAAAAGCAAAGAAAAATTTGGATTTTAGCAAAATAATAGAAAAAAGAGAAAAAACATATCAAAAATAGGTATCTTCTCTTTGCATTTCTTTCTACTGCCTGAAATGTGTTAATGTGAATAATGCTGCCAGTTCATTTACCTGTCATTTGCTTGATATATTAACATACAATAGTCTTTTCCTCCTTAATTCTCAAAATTGCTTTTTTCCCTCCAGTACTTCTGTTCCACTTAGTTTGTAGTGACAATGTCAATGTTGACTTTTCTACTTTTAAAGAAAAGTTTTATTAGAGGAAAATTCACTTTTTGGTGTATAACTATTTAGTTTTGATGAATATATAGAATCATGTAACTGCTACACAACCAAGATATAGAACAGTCCATCATTCCTGAAAACTCATATTGCCCCTTCTTGTCAACTTTCCTCCCACCTCTATCCTCTGAAAACCACTACTCTGTTCTCTGTCCCTGTAATTTTTCCAGAATGTCATATAAGTGCAGTCACACAGTATAGTGTATATAGCTTTTTGTATCGGGCCCTTTTCACTTAGCATAAAGCATTTGACATTTTTTGAGGTTGTTGGGGGTTATTGATGCTGAGTAGTATTCTGTGGTATGGATATGCCACAGTTGGTTTAATCATTCACCAGCTGAAGGATATTTGATTGTTTCCAGTTTGGCAGTTATAAGTAAAACTATCAACATTTGTATTTAGGTTTTTGTGTGAACCTGTTTTCATTTATCTTGGATAAATGCCTAGGAATGGTATAGCTTATTCATATGATAAGTTTGCCTATTGTTTTTACCATGTCATTTTCTTTTTTTTTTTTTTTTTTTGAGACGGAGTCTCGCTCTGTCGCCCAGGTCGGACTGCGGACTGCAGTGGCGCAATCTCGGCTCACTGCAAGCTCCGCTTCCCGGGTTCACGCCATTCTCCTGCCTCAGCCTCCCGAGTAGCTGGGACTACAGGCGCCCGCCACCGCGCCCGGCTAATTTTTTGTATTTTTAGTAGAGACGGGGTTTCACCTTGTTAGCCAGGATGGTCTCGATCTCCTGACCTCATGATCCACCCGCCTCAGCCTCCCAAAGTGCTGGGATTACAGGCGTGAGCCACCGCGCCCGGCCTACCATGTCATTTTCTATTCTAGAGCCTTCTGATTACCTCTATGTCACCTTTTCATTTTGTTTTAGATGACATCAGAGATTGTTCTGTTTCTCACTCCTCTATCAGGTTCCTTTACTTCTTTCAGGAAAATGCTAAGAGACCTCAGGGATCATTTGGTCTAGGAGTTGGCAAATTACAGCCCAACAGCCAGTTTGGCTGTCACCTATTTTTGTGCTACAGAGAGCTAAGGATGGTTTTTACAATTATAAGTGTTGTAAAAACAACCCCTTATTAAAACAACTGTGGGCCAAGTGCAGTGGGGCACCTGTAACCCCAGCACTCTGGGAGGCTGAGGCGGGCACATCACCTGCAGTCAGGAGTGAAGACCAGCCTGACCAACATGGTGAAACCCCGTCTGTACTAAAAATGCGAAAAGTTAGCCAGGCGTGGTGGCACGTGCCTGTAATCCCAGCTACTTGGGAGGCTGAGGCAGGAGAGTCGCTTGAACCTGGGAGGTGGAAGTTGCAGTAAGCCAAGCTTGTGCATTGCACTCTAGCCTGGGCGATGAGTGAAGCTCCATCTCAAAAAAACAAAAAACAAAACTGTGGTATTATTCATACAGCAGAATATTACTCAGCAAAGAAAAATATACAACAGAAACTGTGTATGGTCTCCAAAGGCTGAAATATTTACTTGCTGGTTCTTTACTGAAAAAGTTTGCTTTCTGATCCAGTTATAACTCCTAAATATTACAGATGAGGCAATATTTAAGGAAGTTAAATGTAGCAAAGTTATATAAAAGTAGATTGACTATCCCCTATTCCAGAATTCTTTTCCTCTTTTTTTTTTTTTTTTTTTTGAGATGGAGTTTCACTCTTGTTGCCCAGGCTGGAGTGCAGTGGCGCAATCTCGGCTCACTGCAACCTTTGCTTCCTGGGTTCAAGCGATTCTCCTGCCTCAGCCTCCTGAGTAGCTGGGATGACAGGCATGCACCACCACGCCTGGCTAATTTTGTAGTTTTAGTAGAGACGGGGCTTCTCCATGTTGGTCAGGCTGGTCTTGAACTCCTGACCTCAGGTGATCACCCACCTCGGCCTCCCAAAGTTCTGGGATTACGGGTGTGAGCCACCGCACCCAGCTAGTTTTTTTGTTTGTTTGTTTGTTTTTAAGAGACAGACTCTCACTGTGTTGCCCAGGGTAGAGTGCAGTGGCACAATCTCAGCTAATGGCAACCTCCACGTCCCAGGTTCAAGCAATCCTCCCATGTAAGCCTCTCAGGTAGCTGAGACTACAGGAGTGTGCTACCACAGCCAGTTCATTTCTATATTTTTTTGTAGAGACAGGGTTTCAGCATGTTGCCCAGGCTGGTCTTGAACTCCTGAGCTCAAGTGATCCACCCACCTCGGCCTCCCAAAGTGCTAGGATTATAGGTGTTAGCCACCGTGTGTGGCCTCCTCTCTTTTTTTTTTTTTTTAGAGACAAGATCTCTCTTGTTCACACAAAAACCTAAATTACAATTATAAAGTGTTGTAAAAAACAACCCCTTATTAAAACAACTGTGGGCCGAGTGCAGTGGCCCACTGCAGGAGTGGGCCTGGCTGGAGTGCAGTGGCGTGATGGTAGCTCACTGTAGCCTCAAACTGCTGGGCTCAAGTGATCCTTCTACTTCAGCCTCCCAAATAGATATGACTATAGTCATGTGTCATTAAGCCCAGCTAATTTTATTTTTAGTAGAGACGGGGTCTTACTATGTTGCCTAGGCTGTTCTCAAACCCCTGGGCTCCAGTGATCCTCCTGCTTCAGCCTCCCAAAGCGTTGAGACTACAGGTATGAGCCTCTGTGCCTGGCTCTTCCCACTCTCTTTTATATACTCCTTATATTTAAGGTAGGTACTCTACCTAGTTACCTAGTTTGGGGCTTTTAGTTTAGAAAGACATTAGAGATTGTGGAGTATTAATAAGTGAACTGTGTACATTATTTAAAGATTAAATAATAGGACTTAAAGATACTGAGGAATGAGGTGGTAAGAATAACTTACTGAGATTAATTTACCTGGAGGAGTTGTGTAGAAATTGGCGGCATATTTTGTGTGAAGGTGCTGAAACCTATATCTGTCTGATCACAAAGGTTTTTGTGTTAACTGTGAAGCAGTTTCACTAATAACCAGTCTAAGGGAGGATTCCCACTGGTTGGAGGATAGTAAAGGTCATCGTATGCCAGGCACCAGGAATAGAAGTGTGAATACTTTCACCCACCGCATCCTGGGCTGCAGTTTTACCAGTTGCCTGAATCTGGTGAGGAAGAGCACACACGCAACACGTTACATGAAACGGGTTTATTACTTACAGATAGGCAGCAAGGGACAACAGAAGCCGAGGATCCATTGTGAGCCAGTCCCCCAAGGCTCAAGAAAGCTGCCAGGGGCAAATGGAGTGTTAACTGCATATGCCTCACTTGCAGTACAGCTGAGGGATCCCAAAAAACAGCCTGCCCTGGTTTTTGTACCCTGGGGTCACTTGACTCTGGGCAAAGTTTGAAGGACATCCTGTTTCTAAGAGCTGGAATAGAGCCCCCAGGCTATGCTGGCCAGTTGCTCCCTATCTCAGGATGTTATATTCCCAGAATATTCTATAGTTATTTTGAGAACTACAGGCAAGAAGAAAAGAGGGGGGGAGAAACTGTATCCATCAGTCCAAGGCCATTGGGAAACCATCCAGCACTAATCTTTAATATAACATTTGTCAGCTGGGAGAGTTAAGTTTGTGTTAATGCTGATCAAAATGAAAAGTAGAACAGATGAGGAGCAGCAGAATATAGTGGAAAGACTACAGACGAGTAATATTTGGGGTCAAATTCAAGTCTGCCACTTATAAGCTCTATGACCTTGGGCAAGTTATCTTTATCAGCCTCAGTGTCTTGTATAAAATAAAAACAGAAATATCCATTCCATTGTAAAGGAAGAAATAAGTCAGGATATGAAAGATGGGCAGTTTGTCTCTGTCATGTGGGCTTTGTAAGTAATAAGTACTATTATTGTTTCAATTATTCTGTAATGAAAACACTTTCCCCTTTTGGGGTTCTTCCTTTCTAGACTCCCATAGTGACCCTCTCTGGCCACATGGAGGCAGTTTCCTCAGTTCTGTGGTCAGATGCTGAAGAAATCTGCAGTGCATCTTGGGACCATACAATTAGAGTGTGGGATGTTGAGTCTGGCAGTCTTAAGTCAACTTTGGTAAGACAAATTCAGTGTTCTTTTAAGTGATAAACTTCTAGAGATGGTTTTTAGTCTACCATGGTTAATGTTCTTTCCTTTTCTTTTTCAGACAGGAAATAAAGTGTTTAATTGTATTTCCTATTCTCCACTTTGTAAACGTTTAGCATCTGGAAGCACAGATAGGCATATCAGACTGTGGGATCCCCGAACTAAAGGTGAGTCATGTAAACCACTGGGGGAATATATGTGTGAATAACATCTATTTCTCATCTCTCTGGAGATGTACAAAAAAAGGAATTTCTGGCCAGGCGTGGTGGCTCATGCCTGTAATCCCAGCACTTTGAGAGGCCGAGGCGGGCAGATCATGAGGTCAGGAGTTGGAGATCAGCCTGGCCAACATAGAGAAACCCTGCCTTTACTAAAAATACAAAAATCAGCTGGGTGTGGTGGCGCGTGCCTGTAATCCCAGCTACTCAGGAGGCTGAGGCAGGAGAATCACTTGAATCCCAGAGGCAGAGGTTGCAGTGAGCCAAGATTGCACTACTGCACTCCAGCCTGGTGACAGAGCAAGACTCCATCTCAAAAAAAAAATTTCTACAAATATTTTTTGGGTTCCTTCTACCTACTTCCCTTTTCTAAAATTCAACGCTTGTCTTTTTTGCTTTGTTCAGATGGTTCTTTGGTGTCGCTGTCCCTAACGTCACATACTGGTTGGGTGACATCAGTAAAATGGTCTCCTACCCATGAACAGCAGCTGATTTCAGGATCTTTAGATAACATTGTTAAGCTGTGGGATACAAGAAGGTAAATTCTATTTATGATCTATAAGAGAAACATATCAATTACCTGTTATAGAAAGGAAATGAATACTGAAATTCTTATCTAAAACCAGAAGAGTAAAAAAAGCCTCATGGTTTTGCAACCTCATGTGACAAATACTGATATGCAAAAGAAAAGCCAGGATCAAAAAAATTTTTGGCCAGGCACAGTGGCTCACACCTGTAATCCCAGCACTTTGGAAGGCTGAGGCAGGCAGATCACCTGAGGCTGGGTGTTCAGGACCATCCTGGCCAACATGGTGAAACTCTGTCTCTAATAAAAATACAAAAATTAGCCGGGCATGATGGCGCACTCCTGTAATCCCAACTACACAGGAGGCTGAGGCAGGAGAATCGCTCGAACCCAGGAGGCGGAGGTTGCAGTGAGCCGAGATTGCATCAGTGCACTCCAGCCTGGGCAACAGACCAAGACTCCATCTCAAAAAGAAAAAGAAATTCATGTTAATATGTTGTTTTGTTGCATATAGATAGCTAGACAAACAGTATATAAGGCCATAGTTTGGGGGTTAAAGTAGTCAAGGAAGTGTGAAAATGGGCCTAATTATAAATAAATTCTTAAAATGAAATAACATTTTTTTCTGAATATATTTGTTATAATAAATGTCTGTGGTCTACCAATGATACAGGAAAAAGAGGAGAGATGATCAAATAAACAGAATTTTAAGATTAAGTGGTTATTGGGGCAAGGTTGGTAAACCCTGTAAAGTTTTCAGATAAGTATAAGTGATTATTCAAATGTTTGTTTTAACACTGTGAATGCATATAATATGTTAATATTTTCATCTTTTAGTTGTAAGGCTCCTCTCTATGATCTGGCTGCTCATGAAGACAAAGTTCTGAGTGTAGACTGGACAGACACAGGGGTAAGAATTTATTAGTTATTTGATGAAGAGGAAAGTGACTAGAATAAATCTGGTGTTTGTGTTTATAAAATGTATTAGTTTCGGGCCGGGTGCAGTGGCTCACGCCTGTAATCGCAGCACTTTGGGAGGCCAAGGTGGGCAGATCACGAGGTCAGGAGATCGAGGCCATCCTGACTAACAAGGTGGAACCCCGTCTCTACTAAAAACACAAAAAATTAGCCGGGCATGGTGGCGGGCGCCTGTAGTTCCAGCTACTTGGGAGGCTGAAGCAGGAGAATGGCGTGATCCAAGGAGGCGGAGCTTGCAGTGAGCTGAGATCGAGCCACTGCACTCCAGCCTGGGAGATAGACTCCATCTCAAGAAAAAAAAAACATTTATTAGTTTCAATATATTTGATATTTATAATTCTGTATTATTTCACTTAATATTATTTATAAAATGTCACCTCTCATTCAAAGAAGAAACAAATTTGTCCTTTAATAGGCCAGGCATGGTGGCTTATGCCTGTAATCCTACCACTTTGGGAGGGAAAGGGGGAAGATTCTTTGAGCCCAGGAGTTCAAAACCAGCCTAGGCAACATAGTGAGATGATGTCTCTACAAAAATTAAAAAATTAGTTATCCATGGTGGTGTGACCTACTTGAGCCTACTTGAGCCTGAAGCAGGAGGATCACTTGTGCCTGGGAGGTCGAGGATGCAATGAACTATGATCGCGCCACTGCACTCTAGCCTGGGTAACAGAGTGATACCCTGTCTCAAAATAATAATAATACTAGGAATAGTAAATTTGAAATTTTGGAGCATTTTTTTTTCTTGTGAGTATAGTGGGTTTTTTGTTGTTTTTGCTGTTGTTGTTTTAAGAAACAAGGTCCTTTATTGCCCAGGCTGGAATGTTAGTGGTGCGGTCGTGACTCACTGCAGCCTTGAACTCCTGGGTTCAAGCAATCCTCCCGCCCCCATGTGTATCTTCTTTATTTATTTTTAGAGATTGAGGCTTGAACTCCTGGGCTTAGGTGATCCTCTTGCCCTAGCCTTCTGAGTAGCAGGGACTACAGGTGGGTGCCACCATATCTGGCAAATTTTTAAATTTTTTGTAGAGACGTGGTCTCACTGTGTTCCCCAAGGTAGTCTTGAACTCCTGGCCTCAAGCAGTTCTCCCGCCTCAGCCTCCCAGAGTGTTAGAATTACAGGTGTGAGCCACTGTGCCTAGCCCCCACGAGTATCTTCATGAAACATTTTACCTCCAAAAACTCACTACTTAAGACTAATTGGATCAAAGTGTTTACCAGTTGGAAAAATCTTGCATAAGTCTGCATTATAAAATGTGTTTAAAGAATTACAATTTAATTATTTTTATGTATATACGTAAGCTCTTACTGCCTAAGAATTCTTTCCAAATATAAGGCCTAGGGCTACTTGAATAATTTGTAATATACAATTAATGTGTTGTCCTTTAAAAATTTTTAATTTTCTTTAATAGGTAAAACTGTATCCCTTTCAAACTTATGTATCTTGGCAGATGCTTTATAGAAAGTGCAACAGCATATTATGTCTCAACCAAATTTAAATGATAGCTTTTAATGTTTTAATAAACTGTATCATAGTATAGTAGTGAAACAACGTTGGTCCCTTTACTCACTCTCAATGCAAGTTAACTGCTCACCCATAATTCCTTTTGTAATGAAAATCATTAGTATTTAATTAGGTTTAGCTATGATGTGAAATAATTATATTTATTTATGTTTTCTTGTCTTTTTCTCTCCTTTTACACAGCTACTTCTGAGTGGAGGAGCAGACAATAAATTGTATTCCTACAGATATTCACCTACCACTTCCCATGTTGGGGCATGAAAGTGAACAATAATTTGACTATAGAGATTATTTCTGTAAATGAAATTGGTAGAGAACCATGAAATTACATAGATGCAGATGCAGAAAGCAGCCTTTTGAAGTTTATATAATGTTTTCACCCTTCATAACAGCTAACGTATCACTTTTTCTTATTTTGTATTTATAATAAGATAGGTTGTGTTTATAAAATACAAACTGTGGCATACATTCTCTATACAAACTTGAAATTAAACTGAGTTTTACATTTCTCTTTAAAGGTATTGGTTTGAATTCAGATTTGCTTTTTTATTTTTATTTGTTTTTTTTTTTTTTGAGATGGAGTCTTGCTCTGTTGCCTAGGCTGGAGTGCAGTGGCGCAATCTCAACTCACTGCAACCTCCGCTTCCTAGGTTCAATCGATTCTCCTGTCTCAACCTCCCAAGTAGCTGGGATTACAGGCACACATCACGATGTCCTGCTAATTTTTGTATTTTTAGTAGAGACGGGGTTTTGCCATGTTGGCCAGGCTGGTCTTGAACTCCTGACCTCAGGTGATCTGCCCACCTCAGCCTCCCAAAGTGAGCCACTGTGCCTGGCCGAATTAAGATTTGTTTTTGAAATGCTGTAAAAGGTTATATTGGAAATCCAGTAATTGATTGTTGAGATTTTTATTTCTGTTAGAGACTTAGATTTTTTTAAGTTAGCTATTTTAAAAAAGCATTCAAAAAGATTAATGAAAATTGTAATAGAGAAAAAGTTAGAAATTCAGTTCCTTTTGGCAGAATAAATGTTCAAGAAAATTAGGCTGTGAGGGTACTCAGAACATTAAAAAAAATGTAGGCTGGGCATGGTGGCTCACACCTGTAATCCCAGCACATTGGGAGGCCGAGGCAGGTGGATCACCTGAGGTCAGGAGTTTGAGACCACCCTGGCCAACATGTCAAAACCCTGTCTCTGCTAAAACTACAAAAATTAGCTGGGCATGGTGGCGACCGCCTGTAATCCCAACTACTTGGGAGGCTAAGGCAGGAGAATTGCTTGAACCCGGGAGGCAGGGGTTGTAGTGAGCTGAGATTGTGCCACTGCACTCCAGCCTGGGTGACAGTGCAAGACTCTGTCTCAACAACAACGATAACAAAATATTGATTCGGCAGGGCACGGTGGCTCATGCTTGTAATCCCAGCATTTTGGGTGGCCAAGGCAGGCGGCTCACCTGAGGTCAGGGGTTCGAGACCAGCCTGACCAACATGGTGAAACTTTGTCTCTACTAAAAAAAAAAAAATCCAAAACAAATTAGCCGGGTGTGGTGGCACACTCCTGTGGTCCCAAGTACTTGGGAGGCTGAGGCAGGAGAATTGGTTGAACCCAGGAGGTGGAGGTTGCAGTGAGCTGAGATCATACCACTGTGCTCCAGCCTGGGCAGCAGAGCCAGACTCTATCTCAAAATAAAGACAAGTAGATTGCCAATTTTTGAAGAATTCATCAAGATATTTTAAGGAAGGCACTTTATATTAAATATATGTCAGATCCTTTAGAAATTGCATACAGTTGGTTGGGCACGGTGGCTCACGCCTGTAATCCCAGCACTTTGGGAGGCTGAGGCGGGCGGATTGCCTGAGCTCAGGAGTTCGAAACCAGCCTGGGCAACACAGTGAAACCTCGTCTCTAATAAAATACAAAAAATTAGCTGGGCGTGGCAGCATGTGCCTGTAGTCCCAGCTACTCCGGAGGCTGAGGCAGGCAAATTGCTTGAACCCGAGAGGCAGAGGTTGCAGTGAGCTGAGATTGTGCCACTGCATTTCAGCCTGGGCAACAGAGCAAGACTCTGTCTCAAAAAAAAATAAAAAATTGCATTGCATACAGTTTTCACTGTAACCCTAATCTTTCCTCATGTGTAGATTAGAATAAATTTTTTAGACAAAACCTTTCATCAGTATTAAACATTCTACAGATTTTATGATATCATTAGCATTTATCTTTATGCATGTGTTATATAAAAATATTTAAAGTAAATGTATTTTTTAAATGTTATTTCCATTATTAATGGATTGATACTCCTTAAGTAGAGCATTCACAACCTTTTAGTAATATTTGGGAAATATGTTTGGTCTCATTATTAGATGGTATTACATCTCAAATGATGTTCCTGTTGCAGAAGTCTGCGAAACAATATCTAAACTTGGCTGCAGTTGAGAGCTAAACAGTGTATTGAACCAGTTAGGAGTTTAGTTCTCTGTAGAAAACCAGAGGCAGTCCAGGGCTGATGTAGGTTTTGTTCCACATTCTTTAGGATCCTAGGCTCCCTCCATCCCTGGTATGTGGTCCTCATTTTCATATAGACCAAGAGCTAGAGCTCCAGTTACCATTTCTTAAAGTATATTTTAATGCCAAATAGTGAATAAAGGTGGCCAGAAAATTCATGCACAGAATCCTTCTTTTTCTCATTTTGTGCTGATTGGTATAAATTTTATTGTATTTGTAGTCTCTGGAAATCTTCTAACTTTGAGAGGACAAAGATGAATTCCTAGTCCTGTTTTGGATGGTCTTCAAATGATCCTTAAGGGCAGTTATTTAAAATGTCTTTCTTAACTCACCCAACCTAGGCTGACCGAATGTAGTCTGTATAAACTAGATGGTTAAAGATAAAGAAGCCTATATATCAGATGCATAGACAAAGAATAAAATGGCATCCAGAACTGGTCCCCACCTATTCCCAATCCTGGTTCCACAGCAGAATACATTCATAGTTCAGGCATTCTTCCTTGAGATAGATATAATGTAAGTGACCAAGTCTCTTGGACAAGTATTGTCTCTGATCAATCCCTGCCAAACTCCTTTCCTTGGTTAACTCAAGTGGTTAGATCTTACTCCCTGAACAGAAGGAATATGAGAGGTCAATACATGCCTAGACTATTCAGTCCTCTGATATTGCTCCACACCCTTTCCCTCAAAAGCCATGAGACCTTTCAATGGTCCCAGTTCCTCTACCAGAACACCAGAGATGCCTGCTTTACATGGACTTATATATTCCCAAGAATCACTTGGATAAATGAGTGGTGCTGCTTTCCCGTGGTTGGGGAAAAGCTAGGAACCTGACAATGCAGTGCTCAGAACCTGCTGACCGGTACTAGTTATGCTGTCTTGCCATAGTAGTGCAGTTCTTTAAAATGTTGATACTTGCTCTCTTATCAAAGGTTGGTTTTTTTGTTTTTTTGTCAAGACAGGGTCTCACTATGTCACCCATACTGGAGTACAATGGTGTAATCTTGGCTTACTGCAACCTCCACCTTCTGGGCTCAAGCTGGCCTCTCACCTCAGCCTTCCAAGTAGCTGGGACCACACCCAGTCAATTTTTTATTTTTTATTTTTTAATTTATTTTTATTATTACTTTTTTTGTAGAGAGAGGGTTTCGCCATGTAGCCCATGCTGGTCTTGAACTCCTGGGCTCAAGCTGTCTGCCCACCTGGACCTCCCAAAGTGCTGAGATTACAGGCATGAGCCACCGCACCCAGCCCAAATAAAGTTTTAAGAAATTACTTGGCCAGGCATAGTGGGGCCTTTGTAGAAAAACATAGCTTTTCTATGAGAAGATGATCAATATTTTCTTTTCCTTTGAATTTGGAATTACCATTTTGGAACTGTTGTCAACAATGCATAATAATATATCAGAATGCTTCCTAGTATATTATTGGAGAAAGAACAAACAAAAGTTTAAATTGATATAAAATGCATATAATGGAACAAGCAACCCTGCAAAAAAAAAAATATATATATATATATACCATCTGGGAATTTCTGATAATAACATTGAAATCTGTTCACACAGTCTAAAATTCTTTTGATGTATCGTAGTTTTGAAAAAAAGGTAACAGTTTACTATATATAACAAATATAAGGAAAATATTAAATTTTTTGAAAGATACTAGTTTTTATTTTTGTTCATTTTTTAGAGACAGGGTCTCACTATGTTGCCCAAGCTAGAGTGCAGCGGCCCGATTATAGCTCACTGCAGCCTCTAACTCCCGGACTCAAGGGATCCTCCCACCTCATCCTCCTAACTAGGACCACAGGCGCATGTCACCACATCTGGCTGATTTTAAAATTTTTTTGTGGAGACAGTCTTGCTGTGTTGCCCAGGCTGGTTATGAACTCTTGGCCTCAGGCAGTCCTCATGCCTCAGCCTCCCTAAGTGCTCGGATTATAGGCATGCCACTGTGCCTGGCCAAAAATACAGATTTTTTAATAGATATTACTATGGCTCCTATTCTTAAAGGAAAAAATATGACATTTTAAGACTATATGCAAGGGATATTCCAATAATATCTTTTTTATTTAAAAAGCCACTAATTAGAATCAGATTTCATTAGGCAAGTGAAATCCAGATTTTACTAGCCAGAAACTGCCAGGTGTAGAAACAGCAAGAACATTTTAGTCACTTCATTGTTGACATTTTTGACTATCATAGATTAAGTATCAAACACAATAACAGTATTTTGTTATATGAACCAAATATATCTCTTTTTACGAGACATAGTCTAGCTCTGCCATCCAGGCTCAACTCCTGGGTTCAAGGGATCCTCCTGCCCCAGCTTCCTGAGTACGTACCTGGGAGTACAATTGCATGCTGCCACACCCAGCTATTTTTTTTATTTTTGTGGAGATGGCGTCTTGCTATGTTGCCCAGGCTGGACTCCAACTCCTGACCTCAAGCAATCATCTCACCTTGGCCTCAAAAGTGCTAAGATTACAGGCATGAGCCACTGCATCCAGCCTGAACCAAATATATCTTTATTATAACTTAGGAGAGAAACGTTTTTGGCTGGTTAGTTTTACAGAATTAAACCTAATGGTTGTTCTAATAGCAGTTCCAATGATTTGCAGATTTGAGGAAGTAAATTATTTTCTTACAGTGTCCATAAAAGTAACAATGAAACTATATCCTACCATAATAATCCTCTATAGGTAATAAATTATTTGCATTTTATAGGAGAGAAAAATATATGTTAAAGTTTTTGAACAGTCACACAGGCAGGAAATAAATGGCAGTGAATTTGAACTTGGACTTATCTTGGACAAGCTCTTAACTGGTATATATTTTGTCAATCTTATGTCGTGCACAAGAATGATGTTTTTATAAATGGAAAGAATGAGTGTGGAAGTGTCTTCACTTGCCTAACAGAAAGGTTATATGTGGCTGGGCGCCGTGGCTAACGCCTGTAATCCCAACATTTTGGGAGGCTGAGGTGGGCATATCATCTGAGGTCGGGAGTTCAAGAATAGCCTGACCAACATGGAGAAACCCCGTCTCTACTAAAAATACAAAATTAGCCAGTCATAGTGGCACATGCCTGTAATCCCAGCTACTTGGAAGGCTGAGGCAGAAGAATTGCTTGAACCCAGGAGGTGGAGGTTGTGGTGAGCCAAGATCGCGCCATTGCACTCCATCCTGGGCAACAAGAGCGAAACTCCGTCTCAAAAAAAAAAAAAAAAAAAGTAATACATAAATTTAAGTGACATTTGTGGGTACTAAATTACAATAATATGTTCAGCTTTGCATTTTTTTGCCTTTAAAATTAATTTCAATTTTAGCGTGCCACTAAACGTATTACTGTAATAGTATATAAATGTATAAAGATCAATTTCTGTATATTCTAATAGGAATTGTATATAAGCAAAAATGAATTTTAGAAATTATCCTATTATTCATGTAATTATGTCATTCATGTTATTTAAAGGAAACCACAATGCAGACAGGTTAAGTACCTAGTGTGAAGGTATGTAACCAATTAATGGAGCTGTGCGACATACATCTGAGTAATAAAGACTACAGAGAAAGTATCTTGTTAGGTACTATCTGATACAAAGTTTAGAAACATGTCAAACAATTCTATGTATAGTTGGTGAAAGTGTAATAACATGGCTGAGACTTAATACCAGATGAAGTTCAGTGGTTTCAGGGGGAGGAAATAATTTTTAAAACGATGTCGATAACACTTCACATTTAAAATCATCATAATAATTCTAATTCTAGAATTGTGTCTAATTCTAATACTGTTTCTAGCTTTGCTTGAATAAACAGAAATGTAGTAGGGAAGAGACAGAATGTTTAGCTTGCAGTATCTAATTACTCATTTGGGTATCTGGGAAGATAGCTCTCCATGGCCCCACTGTCACTGACCTATAATGCTTCTCCTGACGTCTTCGGTAAAATCCAACAGATTACAAAGAAACTGGAATGCCTTGAAGAAATAGAGCTTTTTGTGTGATGTCAGATTCAATAGACCTCTAATCCTTAGTAAAACAGTACAAAACAGTAGAATAATTTTTAGTGTTTTCTAATATCAACTGAGGTTTTATTTGGGAGATTAACCAGAGGTTTGCACAAAAACAAAAGTGAAGACCATTAGTCTTTAAAGAAACTAAGACTCTAGGTTTGGATCCCATTTGTGGAGCCCTACATTCCAAGTCATCTAATGTTCTTGTCTAGTTAGCTTGTAAAAGTCTATACAATGGAGGAAAACCCCTTTTTTCCCCTTAGTATAAGTGTATTATATGTTGATAGAAAGGATAGAAAGTTAAATAACAGTTCAGTAAATGTACTTCTAAATGAAATTTAAAAGTACTTTAAAGGTGTTAAATTATTTCACTTTCTAAAGAGGTTTTATGCAACACTAAAATGTAATGACTGAGCTGCCTCCTTTTGTTAAGAGACTAGTGCAAGTAGAGTCTTGCTCTGTCGCCCAGGCTGGAGTTTAGTGGCACAATCCCGGCTTGCAACTTCTGCCTCCTGGGTTCAAGTGATTGTCGTGCCTCAGCCTCCCAAGTAGCTGGGATTACAGGTGCACGCCACCACATGGGGCTAATTTTTGAATTTTTAGTAGAAACAGGGTTTCACCATGTTGGCCAGGCTGTTCTCAAACTCCTGACCACAAGTGCTCCGCTTGCCTCAGTCTCCCAAAGTGCTGGGATTATAGGCTTGAACTACCACGCTCTTCCTAGTGCAAGCCATTTAAACATTGTATCCAACAGCTAAAGAAAGAATTCATTCCACAGGCATTTATGAAATATGAGAGACTTGACTCCTGTCCAGGAGAAGCATCAGCAGCTAGCTCTACATTATTTTCTGATACTATTCCTACACTGTGCCACCGTGTTTCCTTAGCGACTTGTGAAGAAAAAGTGATTATATGAAGTGTAAATACTACACTTCATTAATGGCTTGGAGATACTGTGTATCTTTCTGTAATTTTACCCAGTTAAGTGAATAAAAGCAACAGGCCCGGCCGGTAGCCATTATTCTGACTTCCAGGTGTGTTCCTTGGAGGACTTTAGTCGGCCTCAGATTGAGCTGAAGAAGATATTAGTTTACTGTTCTCTTGACTTAAAACTTCATCTTGTTGGAACAAACATTTTCTAAAATACCCCAAGAACTTTACTATGGGGCATAGTAACATTTGAAAGTCATTTCGCTTGCCACTTTATTTATTCCTTGGTGAGAAAGATAATCTGTTCTTTTCAGATATTTTATAATGTATCCTTCAGTTGTGAATTAGCTATCTTTGTTTCATTTCGTTCATTGATGGATTCAACATTCATTCAGGACCTAGTTTGTATTAGGCACTGTGCTAGGTGCTAAGGCTGCAGAAATGCGTAAGGGAGGAGCAGCTTTGAAGCAGCTCGGCACCTAATGGGGAAGACAGGCAGGTAGATCG
Source organism: Homo sapiens (assembly GCF_000001405.40). NCBI lineage: Eukaryota > Metazoa > Chordata > Mammalia > Primates > Hominidae > Homo > Homo sapiens. The sequence continues at coordinate 202,873,167 of NC_000002.12, read as the reverse complement.
TTACAGCCAGAGAGCAGTATGCCCCTTAGGAGAAATGCCTCATTTGGTAAGATTCAGGAAAGCCATCCCAAGGAAATAGGTCAATCACTCATGTTTGCCAAACGCTAATTTTTACCCTTCTGAGGAAAGCTGTAGACTCCTCAAAAAAACAAACAAAATTTTGCACATAATCTCAGGTATTTGCCTATTCCTTGAAATCCAAATATCTCAGGGTAAAAGTCTAAAGACATTTAATGTTTTCAGTCCAAATTAACCCTCTGTAGCTTGCCACTTTTCCTATTCTAAAAGTATAATTTCCAGGTTAAGGTGAGTATTTTGTACTGTTAATATTCCAGAACCTCGGCCGGGCGCGGTGGCTCATGCCTGTAATCTCAGCACTTTGGGAGGCCGAGGCGGGCGGATCACGAGGTCAGGAGATCGAGACCATCCTGGCTAACACGGTGAAACCCCGACTCTACTAAAAATACAAAAAACTTAGCCAGGCGTGGTGGCAGGCGCCTGTAGTCCCAGCTATTCGGGAGGCTGAGGCAGGAGAATGGCGTGAACCCGGGAGGCGGAGCTTGCAGTGAGCCGAGATCGCGCCACTGTACTCCGGCCTGGGCGACAGAGCGAGACTCCGTCTCAAATAAAATAAAATAAAATAAATTCTAGACTCACCCCATCTTTGTCATCATACAGATTTTAATTATCACCTCGAGTGTTAACCTTTTAATTCTTTGCTAGCCTATGTGTCGCAGTTGTAATTAATAATTCGTATTCTGCTGTTTTAGGAAAGTTCTTTTAAGTTTTGGAGTCACCTTTAAAAAGAATGAAGTTTGAATTTATTAAATTATCTCCTACTAGTAGTAAATAGTTTTGCCTTCCTTTTTGTTTTTTTCCTGAGACTTTCAGGATCCGGTTTTACCTTTTACTCTTGAAGATTCATCATAAACATTATGGATATGGATATGTGCATTTGAGATTGGTTATGAACGGTTGTTAACTTAGACCTCTTTAAACCTTTAACACGGGAGTTAAATACAGCGGGCGAACGCTTTCCGCCTAAGGAGCACTGGTGCTAAGGGGCCGCCCCAGAAGGCCCGGCAGGTCCGGGGGTGGGGGTGCTCGGAGGGAGCCGGGAGGGCCCCGGGCCAATGCCTTCCACTTCCCCACGCCTCAGAGAGCTCACACTCAGCTCCTCGTAATGTTCTGACCGGTTTGGTGTTTGTCATTTCACTTTATTAAGTAAAGAGGAAATCGGGAAAGGAGGAATAGAGAGGGTCCCCGAGTTCATTCAAGAGCAGACCGAGAGATGCTCCGATCCCGAGTCGGGCCGGTGGCGGGGTCAGGCCGGCGCCCGAGGGGGGCGAACGCGGACGCCAGGTCGCGCGGTTTAAATCTCCCGCCTCCCGCAGCGGGAGCCTGACACCTCCACGCACTGGTGCGGAGGGGCACTGGCTGCCGGAGGGCCGGGAGTCGGCGCGGGGCTCGCGGGCGGTGGCCGGAACGGGTGCCGGGACGGATCACCGTACGGCCGAACGCGACCCGAGGAGGCGGAAGAGCGGCGCCGGTAAGCTTCTGCTGCCTCCTGTCCGCCCCTATTCCCCCTCAGGCGGCGGTCAGGCCCGGAGACCAAATCCCGGGTTCCCATGGCGACGCCGGGAGGCGGGGGCGCGGCGGGAGGCTCCGGCCACACGCGCGCGCGCGCGGCTTCTCGGGGCCTTGCTGGCCTCCTCGGTTCTCTGGGGGACCCCGGCCGCTGCCTGCGGCCTTCTTCCAGGCGAGGCCCTGCTCGGGGTTCTTCCGGCCTCCCCCCAGGCAAAACCCGCAAGGAGCGGTTTCTGGCGTGGCTGGGTCCCCTGCGGCGGAAGGGCGCCTCCCGGCCACGCTCGCTGTAGTGAAGGAGCGCGGCAGCCTGGGGCTCGTTTGGGTGATTTCCCTCGGCGGTGGAGGTCGCTCCTAATAGAGGCGGCGGCGGATCACCCGAACAGCCTTCAGGTGCTTCCCTGCTGACCTCTTTTTAACGTGGTGCTTATTTTTATTTCGCTATTATTTTGTAATGGGAATGTCTTCCTTAGAAACTAATTGGCAACCGATGGATAAAAACAAAACATAGTAAATGTGCAGTTTGAGCTGAACTGCAGAATGCACGGGCCCGCGAGGGGCTCCGCGCACAGATCCTGCTCCTTAGGCCGGCAACCCGACCCCACGGCACAGATATGGCTCCTGGAAACGCGCGTCAGCTGGTCAGGTGCCCAGGTGATGTCAGTGGTCAGATACCTGATGCTCTAAGGAAGACGGAGAGGGGAAAGCGGGGAGTCCATCCTGGCAGCTCACCCGCGATGCTGGGGCGTTGCCAGTAGAGGGGGTGGAATCATTTTTCGTGTAATAGATGATCTTGATGCACACAGCATAAAAGCTGTTATAAACTATGGGTCTCTGTAAAATAGATTGTTGGGAAGGTAACATTTTTCCATGGTTTTGATTTTTCCCAAAAGTATTTATGTATTGATTTATTTGGTTCTGACTCAGGCGACGTACTGTAAGACGATATTACTTTAATCATCTTCACATCAGTATTTATGGAATAGCCACAGGTGCCTCATCCTTTAGTAGGAGTTAATTATACATTTACTGGCCGAGTAAACATCTCCGAATGGTATGTATGTATTTTTATGTGACCAAAATTTTAAATCGTTTAGTATTTGTTATCTGTGCCTATCATACCCAGTATTCTTTGAAATCTCTTTATTTAATAGTTCAAAATGATTGTTTATCTAGTCGTTGAAACAGCTATGTGGAAGGCAGTGTTCTAATTACCAGTTTAATTTTAGAGTTAGAAGGGTGCTCAGAGATCAGCCAGTCCAAAGAGGAAAAATTGCAAATATGAGAACTGGTGGAAAAAGTAGGATGCCATATTTTTATTATAAATATCATAAAAATATAAAACAAAGTTTATACCAGTTATGGAACTAGGACCAGATATCAAAATATTAGATACAAAATAGATAATATACTGTCTTGTTCTACTATACTGCCAAACTTGGTGATTTCATTGTGTGATTCTATATTTACATTTTTTCTGTACTTTTATACTTTAGCTTTTTCAGTACTCACTGCGCTTCCTTTAAAATTTTATTCTTTTTATATTCTTTAACAACAACAGATGGGATATGTGAGTTTTAAATATATCTGTAACTGGAAAGATTTCCTCGTTCGAAGTAGATTTTGTTATTTAATAATATTCTTATTACCCTCTTCCATTTTGTCTATTTTTCATTCATCACTTAAGTTTTGTGTTTTTTTCGGAAATCAAAATTTTCAAACTTGTACTTGGATCCAGTATTCACCATTAAAATTTAGTCACCTTCTATGTATCTCATTATTATTTTGCCATTATTGACTCACTTGCATGTAACACTAGGGTTTTAAAATTCCTTTTTTAATTTAGTTGAGATAAAAAAAGACTAAAATTCCTTTTTTAATTTAGTTGAGATTAAAAAAAAGACTAAAGTAACACAATATCTATATTTACAGAGGCCGACATTAACAACTGTTAACATTTTGTTGTATTTCTTTCTAGTATTTTTTTAGATAAGGAAATAAAACATTTCCAATAAAGCTGAAGTCTCATCCCACCCATCCGTTATCAGGTACTCAACATCATGAGTTGGTATCTGTGTTTTGTGTTTTTTAAATTATATTTTATACATGTCTATTATTGCATGTGTTTTTAAATTTTAAATAAGTTACATCATATTGCATATAGCCTGCACTTGTGTTTTTCACTCAGTGTTATTTTATTTTATTTTATTTCTTATTTTATTTTTTTGAGACAGAGTCTCGCTCTGTCGCCCAGGCTGAGTGCAGTGGCAGGATCTCGGCTCACTGCAAGCTCCGCCTCCCGGGTTCACGCCATTCTCCTGCCTCAGCCTCCGGAGTAGCTGGGACTACAGGCGCCCGCCACCACGCCTGGCTGATTTTTTGTATTTTTAGTAGAGTCGGGGTTTCACCTGTTAGCCAGGATGGTCTCGATCTCCTGACCTCGTGATCCGCCCGCCTCAGCCTCCCAAAGTACTGGGATTACAGGCGTGAGCCACCACGCCTGGCCTCACTCAGTATTATTTTAAAAATTGATTTGGATTGATATTGATAGTTTTAGCCACTGATGTATTTGTTTTAAATGTTTTTTGTTGTTGTTGTTGTTGTTGTTGTTGTTTTGAGACAGAGTCTTGCTCTGTCACCCAGACTGGAGTGCAGTGGCGCGATCTCAGCTCACTGCAACCTCTGCCTCCTGGGTTCAAGCGATTCTTCTGTCTCAGCCTCCCAAGTAGCTGGGACTACAAGCACATGCCATCACGCCCAGCTAATTTTCTTATTTTTAGTAGAGATGGGGGTTTTACCATATTGTTCAGGCTGGTCTCGAACTCCTGACCTCAGGTGATCCACCAGCCTCAGCCTCCCAAATTGCTGGGATTACAGGCGTGAGCCACCGCGCCCGGCCTTAATTGTTTTATATAGTATTCTGTCATATGAATATACTACATTTTTATCTGTATAGCTTTTTATTAATATACTTAGATTGTTTCTAGTTTTTTATTACAATGCTAAAATAAGTAGACATTCATTTGGTAAATACTTATTGAGTATCTACTGTGTGTCTTGCACTGTTTGCTCACAAACAGATGAAAATCTCTGCCCACATAAAGCTTTAAATACCTAGCGGTGGAATTGCTAGGTCATGAAGTAGCAGCATGTTTAGTTTTATGAGAAACTGCTAATCATTTTCCAAAATGGTTATACTATCTAATGCTTTCATCAGCAATATATGAGTTCCAGTTACTCACATTCTCACCAATTTTGGTGTTGTCAGTCTTTGTCATTTAAGCTATTACCATGGATGTGTATTGGTATATCATTGTGGGTTGAGAATTCATTCCTGCTCTTTTATCAAAAGTTTTTTTTTGTTTTTGAGGGGAAATTCAGATAATATACAATTAGCCTTTTTTTTTCTTTTTTTACTTTGGCTAAACAAACCCAAACAACCGTTTCGAAGTGTACAATTCAGTGATATTTATTGTTTTCACAATGTTGTGAGATCACCAGTTCTCTCTAGTTTGAAAACTTTTTCATCACCCCATAAAAACACCCCTTACTCATTAATTACTTGGTTTGTAGTTTTTCTGTTGCTGAGTGGTATTCCATTGCGCAGTATACTATAATTTGTTTATTCACCTGTTAATAGATATTCTAATTTTTGGCCATTTTGAATAAAGCTGGCAAGAACATTTACAGGTCTTTGGGCATATTTTTCATTTATCTTAGGTAAATACATAAGAATACAATTGCTGGATTGTGTGCGTTTCCAAGAAACTCAATTTTTTCTGAAGTGGTTATACCCATTTTATATTCCCACGACCAATGTATGAAGGTTCCAGTTGTTCCTCATTGTTGCCAGCACTTTGAATTGACAGATTGGTTGTTAGCAAGATCAAATGGGGGTGTGCTGATATCTCTTTGTGGTTTTAATTTTTGTTTCCCTGATGAATAATGTTGAATATATTTTTATGTGCTTAATGGCCATTAGTATACAGTCATATACTGCATAAAGGTGTTTTGGTCAATGATGGACCACAGATATAATAATAGTCACATAAGATTGTAATAGCATATTTTTATTGTACCGTTTCAGTGGTTAGACATGTTTAGATACACAAATACTTACCATCATTGTGTTGCAGTTGCCTACAGTATTCAGTACAGTAACATGCTGTACAGGTTTGTAGCCTGGGAGCAATAGCTCCTAGGTATGTGGTAGGCTTATAACATCTAGGTTTGTATAAGTACATTCTATGATGTTCTCACAATGATAAAATCATCTAATGGCACATTTCTCAGAACATATCCCCACAGTTAAGCAATGCATGACTGTATATGAATATCTTTTGTTAGTTTGCTCAAATAATTTATGTATTAAAATGAGATTTTCTTATTACTCAGTTGTAATTATTCTTCATATATTCAGAACACGGGTCTGTTCATATGTGTGTGTACGTATGAAAAGTTTCTTCCAAACTTTTCATTTTCTGAATTGTGTTTTTCAAATAGCAATTTTAAATTTTGGTGAAATCTAACTTCTTGATTTTTTTTCTTTTATAATGCATGTTTTAAATAGTCTAAGAAATCATTGTCTGCCCCAAGGTTGCAAAGATTTTTTTCTTCTGGGAATTTTACAGTTTTTTGAGATGGAGTCTCGTGCTCTCGCCCTGGCTGGAGTGTAGTGGCACGATCTCGGCTCACTGCAACCTCTGCCTCCTAGGTTCAAGCGATTCTCCTGCCTCAGCCTCCTCAATAGTTGGGACTACAGGAGCCTGCCACCTCACCCAGCTAATTTTTTGTATTTTTAATAGAGACGGGGTTTCACCATATTGGCCAGACTGGTCTCGAACTCCTGACCTTGTGATTCGCCCGCCTCAGCTTCCCGAAGTGCTGGGATTACAGGCGTGAGCTACCGCGCCTCGCCGGGAGTTTTACAGTTTTAAATTTTACATTTAAGTCTGTTACACATTTTGAATTACTCTTTGTAAATGATGTTAATTAAGAGTTGAGCAATTCTTTTGACATATGGATATCTGGTTGTCCTTGTATTGTCTGTTAAAAGTCAGTCCTTTCCACCAATGAATTGCTTTGGCACCTCTGTTAGTCCATTTTGTGTTACTATAAAGGAATACCTGAGACTGCGTAATTTATAAAGAAAAGCAGTTTATTTGGCTCACAGTTCTGCAGGCTGTACAAGAAGCATGGTGCAGCATCTGCATCTGATGAGGGGTTCAAGTTTCTTCCATCATGGAGGAAGGTGAAGTGGGAGCAGGCATCGCATGGTGAGAGAGGGAAGGGGGCCGAACTCTGTTAAACAGCCAGCTCTCACATGAACTTAGAGAGTAAGAACTCACTCATCACCAAGCCATTCAGGAGGAATCTGCCCCCATGACCTCCCAGAAGGCCCAACCTCCAATATTAGGGATCACATGTCAACATGAAATTTGGAGGGGACAAACATCCAAACTATGTCAGTGCCCTTGTCAGAAATCATTTGGTTGTATATTTATGGATCTATTTCTGTGTGTTCTTTAATTTTTCTCAGCAATGTGCTAATAGTTTTTAATAGCACTGTGGTACATATTTCACTGAATTTGTTGCTAAATATTTCATGACTTTCGATGTTATTAAAAATGAGAATGGATTTTAAATTTCACTTTCTAGGCTGGGTGTGGTGGCTCACACCTATAATCCTAGCACTTTGGAAGTCTAGGCGAGGGGAATCACTTGAGGCCAGGAGTTTGAGACCAACCTGGGCAACATAGGGAGACTCCATCTCTACCAAAAAAAATAAAATTTCACTTCCTAATTGTTTGCTACTAATATATAGAAATGTGATACTTTTGTTTTACATTGTCTAATTCACTAATTGCTGAATTTGCTCAGATCTGTTGCATTAGATCTAGTAGATTTTTAAAAGATTCTTTAGGATTTTTTGCATACATAATCATGTCACCTGTGAATAAAGACATCTTTGCCTTTTCCTTTTAAATGTGGAAGTGGTGTGAGCAGTCATCTTTGCCTCTTTCCCAATATTAAAGGTAAATATTCACTATTTCACAGTTAAGGATGATGTTAGCTCTGTGGGTTTTTTTGTTGTTGTTTTCTTTTTTTTTTTTTCGGGATGGAGTCTTGCTTTGTCACCCAGGCTGGAGTACAGTGGTGCACTCTCGGCTCACTGCAACCACCTCCTCCTGGAATCAAGCTATTCTTCTGCCTCAGCCTCCTGAGTAGCTGGGATTACAGGAGTGCACCACCACGCCCGGCTAATTTTTGCATTTTTAGTAGAGACAAGGTTTCACCATGTTGGCTAGGCTGCTCTTGAACCCCTGACCTCAAGTGACCCGCCCGCCTCGGCCTTCCAGAGTGCTGGGATTACGGATGTGAGCCACCATGCCCGGCCAAAGAGGAGATTTTTTTTTTTTAAAAGACAGAGTCTCACCCTGTCGCCCAGGCTGAAGTGCAGTGGTGTGATCTCAGCTCACTGCAACCTCCACCTCCCGGATTCAAGCAATTCTCCTGCCTCAGCCTCCTGAGTAGCTGGGATTACAGGCAGATGCCACCATACCCAGCTGATTTTTGTATTTTTTAGTAGAGGCAGGGTTTCTCTGTTGGCCAGGCTGATCTCCAACCCCTGACCTCAGGTGATGCACCTGCCTCAGCCTCCTGAAGTGCTGGGATTACAGGCATGAGCCTCCATGCCCAGCCACACCTGGCTAATTTTGGTATTTTTAGTAGAGATGGAGTTTCACCATGTTGGCCAGGCTCCTCTGGAACTCCTGATCTCAGGTGATCCACCCACATCAGCCTCCTAAAGTGCTGGGATTACTGGCGTGAGCCACCGCACCTGGCCCATAGACTGATTTTGAAATGCTAAACAAATCTTGCATCCCTGGCATAAATTCCACCTAGTTAGTCATGTTTTATCCATATATATATATACACACACACACACACACACATATATATATACACACACACATATACATACATACACACACACTACTACATTAGATTTGTTAGGATTTTGTGAAGGGTTTTTGCATTCATATTTAATAAAAATATTGGTCTGTAGGCGCCTGTAATCCCAGCACTTTGGGAGGCCGAGGCGGGTGGATCACGAGGTCAGGAGATCGAGACCACGGTGAAACCCCGTCTCTACTAAAAAATACAAAAAAATTAGCCAGGCGTGGTGGCAGGTGCCTGTAGTCTCAGCTACTGGGGAGGCTGAGGCAGGAGAATGGCGTGAACCCGGGAGGCGGAGCTTGCAGTGAGCCGAGATTGCGCCACTGCACTCCAGCCTGGGCGACAGAGCAAGACTCCGTCTCGAAAAAAAAAAAAATTGATCTGTAATAATCTTTTCTTGTAATGTCTGTTTGGTTTAGAGGGCAAAGTTATGCTGGCTCATAAAATGAATTGGGAACTATTCTTTCCTCTTCTACTCTATGAAAGAGTAAGTTTGGTTACATCCTAAATGTTTGACCGAATTCAGCAGTGAAGCCATCTGGTTCTGAAAGGGTTTCGTTTTGTTTTCATGGGATTTAAACAATTATTTATTCACTTTTTAAAATGAGTATAAGATAATATGGATGATTCTTTCTTGTGTTAGTTTTTGGTAAGTTGCATTTTTCAAGGAATTTGTCTATTTAACTTAAGTTGTAGAATCTTTTGGCATAAAGTTGTTAAAAATATACCTTTCTTAATCTTTTAATGTCTGTAGGATCTATAGTGACGTTCCTTCTTTTATTCCTTTTTTTTTTTTTTTGAGACGGAGTCTCTCTTTTGCCCAGGCTGGACTGCAGTGGTGCTATCTCGGCTCACTGCAAGCTCCGCCTCCCGGGTTCATGCCATTCTCCTGCCTCAGCCTCCCGAATAGCTGGGACTACAGGCGCCCACCACCACGCCGGGCTGATTTTTTGTAATTTTTTTAGTAGAGACGGGGTTTCACCATGTTAGCCAGGATGGTCTCAATCTCCTGACCTCGTGATCCGCCCACCTCAGCCTTCCAAAGTGCTGGGATTACAGGCGTGAGCCACCGCGCCCGGCCTTTTTTATTCCTAATATTGCTCATTTATGTTTTTCTTTCTTTGTTGATCAGTCTTACTAGAAGCTTTTTAAATTTAATAATTTTTTCAAATCAACTCATTTTTAACTTTAATTTTCTTATTTGTCCATTCTCTATTTACTGACTTTATTATTTTATTTCTTCTACTTGGGGTTTAATTTGCTCCTCTTTTTCTAACTTCTTAAGGTGGAAGCATAGATAATTGATTTTATACCTTTTTTTCTTTTTTTATTGAGATGGAGTCTCACTTTGTCACCTAGGCTGGAGTGCAATGATATGTTCTTGGCTCATTGCAACCTCCGCCTCCCGGGTTCAACTGATTCTCCTGCCTCAGCCTCCCAAGTAGCTGGGATTACAGGTGCTTGCCACCACACCCGGCTAATTTTTGTATTTTTAGTAGAGGTGGGGTTTCACCATGTTGGCCAGGCTGGTCTCAAACTCCTGACCTCAAGTGATCTGCCTGCCTCGGCCTCCCAAAGTGTTGGGATTACAGGCGTGAGCCACCGTGCCAGCCTTTTTTTTTCTAATGTAGGTATTTAAAGCTGTAAGCTTTTTTCTAATCATGCTTTAGTTGAATTCCACAACTGTGGGTATGTTTTTATTATCATTCAGTTTAGAATATTTTAAAATTCCTCTCTGATTTCTTTGACCCTTTATTTATTTATTTATATTTATTCTTTTTTTTTTAAGATGAAGTCTCACTCTTGTTGCCTACGCTGGAGTGCAATGGCACAATCTCAACTCACTGCAACCTCTGCCTCTCGGGTTCAAGAGATTCTCCTGCCTCAGCCTCCCGAGTAGCTGGGATTACAGGCACCTGCCACCATGCCCAGCTAATTTTTGTATTTTTAGTAGAGACGGGGTTTCACCATGTTGGCCAGGCTGGTCTCGAACTCCTGACCTCAGGCCATCCACCCGCCTCGCCCTCCCAAAGTGCTGGGATTACAGGCGTGAGCCACCATGCCTGGCCTATTTATTTAGATATATGTTATTTCCAAATATTTGGGAATTTTCTAGATATCCAATTGATATTGATTCCTGTTTAAAACTTTTTACTTTTTTTTATAGAGACAGAGTCTTGCTCTGTCACCCAGCCTGGAGCACGGTGGCATGATCATTGCTCACTCCCTGCAGCCTCACACTTCCTGGGCTCAAGTGATCCTCCCACCTCAGCCTCCAAAGTCGCTTACACTACAGGCGTGTGCCAGCACTTCTGGCCTTTTTTTTTTTTTTTTTTTTTTTTTTTTTTTTTGTAGAAATGAGGTCTTACTGTGTTGCTCAGACAGGTCTCAAACTCCTGGCCTCAAGCAATCCTGCTTCACCCTCCTGAATCACTGGGATTACAAATGGGAGCTACAACACCTGGTTTCTATTGATTTCTAAAGTAGTAATATTGTAGCCCAAGAATGTTATCTGTGTTATTTCAATACTTTTATTTTTCTGCCTAGCATATGGTCTGTTTCGGTGAATCTTCCAGTTACTCTTAGGGAAAAATAATGTATTCTGCTCTTGGTGGGTGGACTGGTGTATAAATGTCAATTAGGTCAAGTTGGTTAAAAGTGTTGCTCAAAAAAAAAAAAAAAAAGGCGGAGGCTTGCTTAAAACTTTCATGGTTTCACTTTTTTTTTTTTTTTTTTTTTTGAGTCTGAATCTCACTTTGTTGCCCAGGCTGGAGTGCAGTAGCATGATCTCGGCTTACTCACCCTCTGTATCCTGGGTTCAAGTGATTCTCCTGCCTCAGCCTTCCCAGTAGCTGGGATTATAGGCATGTGCCACCACACCCAGCTAATTTTTGTTTTTAGTAGAGATGGGGTTTCACCATGTTGGCCAGGCTGGTCTCGAACTCCTAACCTCAAGTGATCCGCCCGCCTCAGCCTCCCAAAGTTCTGGGATTACAGGTGTGAGCCACTGCACCTGGCCTTCACTTTTTAAAAAAATGTCTACTTATGTCAGTTACTATTCTGGGGGCAGTGTTAAGTCCCTCATTGTGATTGTAAATTTGACAGTTTCTCCTTTTAGTTCTGTCAGGTTATTTTTTTTTCTTGTATTTGGGAGCTTTGTTATTTAGTAACATCCATAGTTAAGACTGCTATGTCTTTTTTTTTTTTTTTTTTTTTTTTTTTGAGATAGTCTCGCCGTGTACCCAGGCTGGAGTGCAGTGGCACAGTCTTGGTTCACTGCAACCTCTGCCTCCCAGGTTCAAGTGATTCTCCTGCCTCAGCCTCCCTAGTAGCTGGGACTACAGGTGCGAGCCACCACTCCTGACTAATTTTTGTATTTTTATTATTTTTTTATTTTGAAATGGAGTCTCGCCCTGTCCCCCAGTCTGGAGTGCAATGGCACAATCTCAGCTCACTGTAACCTCTGCCTCCTGGGTTCTAGCAATTCTGCCTCAGCCTCCCAAGTAGCTGGGATTACAGGCACCCGCCACCACACCCAGTTAATTTTTGTATTTTTAGTAGAGACGGAGTTTCACCACGTTGGTCAGGCTGGTCTTGAACTCCGTACCTCAGGTGATCCACCTACCTCGGCCTCCCAAAGTGCTGGGATTACAGGCATGGGCCACTGTTTCTGGCCTGCTATGTCTTCTTGATAAATTGACCCTCTTATTATTAAATGTCCATCTTATCCCTGGAAATATTATTTATCTTGAAACCTGTTTTTTCAGACATTAATATATAGTTAATGTTTATGCAGTATATCTTTATGCTTTTCCTTTTAACTTCTCCGTGTATTTGTGTTTAAAGTATGTTTCTTTCTTTTCTTTTTTTTTGAGACACAGTCTTTCTCCCTTGCCTAAGCTACAGTGCAATGGCGTGATCTTGGCACACTGTAATCTCCGTGTCCCGGGTTCAAGCAATTCTCCTGCCTCAGCCTCCCAAGTAGCTGGAATTACAGGCATGAGTCACCACATTGGACTAATTTTTGTATTTTTAGGAGAGACGGGGTTTCACCATGTTGGCCAGGCTGGTCTCAAACTCTTGACCTCATGATCTGCCTGCCTCGGCCTCCCAAAGTGCTGGGATTACAGGCGTGAGCCACTGCACCCAGCCTAAAGTATATTTCTTTTAAATTACATGCATTTGGGTTGTACTTGTCTATCCTGTATTACAATCTCTGCTTTTTAATGGTGTTACATAGTCCATTTATATTTAATGTCATTTTTAATGTGTTTGGATCAACCATATTGGTGTTCCTTTTCTATTTTCCCATTTATTATTATTATCATTATTATTATTATTATTATTATTTTGAGACAGAGTCTCATTCTGTTGCCCAGGCTGGAGTGCAGTGGCATGATCGTAGTTTACTGTAACCTTGAACTCCTGGGCTCAAGCAATCTTCCCCCATCAGCCTCCTGAGTAGCTAGGACTACAGGTATGTGCCACCACACACAGTAAATTTAAAAAAAAATTTTTTTTAGAGACAGGGTCTCACTGTGTTGCCCAGACTGGCCTTGACCTCAAGTGATCCTCTTGCCATGGTCTTCCAATGTACTGGGCATAAGCCACTGCACCCAGACAAAAATGTTCTTAATGCATGTGAATTAAAGAAATTTAAGAAAATTCCCTTAATTTTACAGGGTCTTGGCTACTTCCTTTATGAAACTGGGATAATAAAACCTGCCATTTTTAGCTTTCTGGGGATATTATGAAGACCAAAGGAGATAAAATGTGTGAAAATGTTTAAAAAGTTTTCAGGGTTCTATAGGTATAATGATTATTATTTTAGTAAGCAGTAGTACTAAGATTATCAGGAACTTTAAAATATCTTAAACTCTAAGAAAAGTACCTTTTGCATAATTTTGAATCCTTTTTGAAAAATTATTAAGATCTAGTCCTTTCATAAGAATATTAGGTCAAGATGGTAACCTCTCTGTGGGTAACTTACCTGCTTAGTGTGGGATTTGTGGGACTCATTGAATGGTGAAAAGTAATTGCCATATTCTTTCTACTTTAGATAAACACAGGTTTGCATTTAATGTAATTGAATTTTGCTATGTCAATGTCTTATTGATGTTATGATTACAGTGCCAATCATAGCACCCAGAACAAAGCTGGCATTAAATGTGCATATGAAACTGACTGTCATATTGGGACTATTTTAAAATTTCAGCTAATTTTTGTTCTGCATGAGTTATAGTATCTCTGTGTGTAAATTTCAACTACTGTAGTCCTGGACTAGATCAGTATCTCAGTAACCAAATCATGTTTGGCTAAACAGTAATTAAGATCTGACCTGAAAAGATTTATATTTATAATCTGAATTCAATTATAATCTAATGTTGAAGCCGATACTTTATAAAATGTATTCTTTAGGGCAGTTTGAGGGGCAGATCCTCAATTTGTCACTTGTTGGTTTGTCTTTCATATCAGTTACCCTTAATAATTGTAGTAAGGCTTCATTTCATCTCCATCCATGAAAGGAGACAGACAAAAGAGCCTATAATCTAATATACTTATTGATTTGCCAGAGCCAAAAACCATTTCTGAATTAATGGGCGGTTGATGAAAGATTAGGCAGAGCCTTTAAAGTATGATGTATATGATATAGCCATCCACCACATAGCAACAGGGATACGTCCTGAGAAATGTGTCCTTAGGCAATTTTGTCATTGTATGAACTTCATAGAGTGTACTTACACAAACCTAGATGGTGGAGCTTGCTACACCCCTAGACCATCTGATACAGTCTGTTGCTCCTAGGCTACAAACCTGTATAGCATGTTCCTGTACTGAATACCGTACGCAACTGTAACACAATGGTATTTATGTATCTAAACAAAGGAAAGGTTTGCTCAGTGGCAAACCATGGCTATGACATCACTAGGCAATAGGATTTTCTCTGCTCCATTATAATCTTTTTTTAAACAGGTTTCTTTTTTAACTTTTACTTTAAGTTCTGGGATACATGTGCAGAACATACAGGTTTGTTACATAGGTACACATGTGCCACGGTGGTTTGCTACACCTATCAACCTGTCATCTAGGTTTTAAGCCCTGCATGCATTAGATATTTGTCCTAATGCTCTCCCTCTCCTTTCCCCCAACCCCTGACAGGCCCCAGTGTGTGATGTTCCCCTCCCTGTGTCCATGTGTTCTCATTGTTCAACTCCCACTTCTGAGTGAGAACACGCAGTGTTTGGTTTTCTGTTCTTGTGTTAATTTGCTGACAATGATGGTTTCCAGCTTCATCCATGTCCCTGCAAAGGACATGAACTCATTCTTTTTTAATGGCTGCATAGTATTCCTTGATGCATATGTGCCTCATTTTCTTTATCCAGTCTATCATTGATGGGCATTTGGGTTGGTTCTAAGTCTTTGCTATTGTAAATAGTGCTACAATAAACGTATGTGTGCATGTGTCTTTATAGTAGAATGATTTATAATCCTTTGGGTATATACCAAGTAATGAGATTGCTGGGTCAAATGGTATTTCTGGTTCTAGATCCTTGAGGAATTGCCACACTGTCTTCCACAATGGTCCAACTAATTTACACTCCCACTAACAGTGTAAAAGCATTCCTATTTCTCCACATCCTCTCCAGCATCTGTTGTTTCCTGACTTTTTAATGATCATCATTCTAACTGGCGTGAGATGGTATCTCACTGTGGTATTGATTTGCATTTCTCTAGTGACCAGTGATGATGAGTTTTTTTTCCGTATGTTTCTTGGCCACATAAATGTCTTTTGAGAAGTGTCTGTTCACATCCTTTGCCCACTTTTTGATGGGGTTGTTTTTTTCTTGTAAATTTGTTTAAGTTCCTTGTAGATTCTGGATATTAGACCTTTGTCAGAAGGATAGATTGCAAAAATTTTCCCCCATTCTGTAGGTTGCCTGTTCACTTTGATGATAGTTTCTTTTGCTGTGCAGAAGCTCTTTAGTTTAATTAGATCCCATTTGTCAATTTTGGCTTCTGTTGCCATTGCTTTTGGTGTTTTCGTCATGAAGTCTTTGCTCATTCCTATGTCCTGAAGGTTATTGCCTAGGTTTTCTTCTAGGGTTTTTATGGTTTTAGGTCTTACATTAAGTCTTTAATCCATCTTGAGTTAATTTTTATATAAGGTGTGAGGAAGGGGTCCAGTTTCTGTTTTCTGCATATGGTTAGCCAGTTTTCCCCACACCATTTATTAAATAGGGACTCCTTTCCCCATTGCTTGTTTTTGTCAGGTTTGTCAAAGATCAGGTGGTTGTAGATGTGTGGTGTTATTTCTGAGGTCTCTGTTCTGTTCCATTGATCTATGTATCTTTTCTGGTACCATGCTGTTTTGGTTACTGTAGACTTGTAGTATAGTTCAAAGTCAGGTAGCATGATACCTCTAGCTTTGTTCTTTTTGCTTAGGATTGTCTTGGCTATATGGGCTCCTTTTTTGTTCCATATGAAATTTAAAGTAGTTTTTTCTAATTCTGTGAAGAAAGTCAATGGTAGCTTGATGGGAATAGCATTGAATCTATAAATTACTTTGGGCACTATAGCCATTTTCATGATATTGATTCTTCCTATCCATGAGCTTGGAATGTCTTTGCATTTGTTTGTATCCTCTCTTATTTCCTTGAGCAGTGGTTTGTAGTTCTCCTTGAAGAGGTGCTTCACATCCCTTGTAACTTGTATTCCTAGGTATTTTATTTTCTTTGTAAAACTTGTGAATGGGAGTTCACTCATGGTTTGGCTCTCTGCTTGTCTATTATTGATGTATAGGAATGCTTGTGATTTTTGCACATGAATTTTGTATGCTGAGACTTTGCTGAAGTTGCTTATCAGCTTAAGGAGTTTTGGGGCTGAGATGATGGGGTTTTCTAAATGTACAATCATGTCTTCTGTAAACAGAGATAAGTTGACTTCCTCTCTTCCTATTTGAATACCCTTTATTTCTTTCTCTTGCCTGATTGCCCTGGCCAGAACTTCCAATACTATGTTGAATAAGAGTAATGAGAGTGAGCATCCTTATCTTGTGCTGGTTTTCAAAGGGAATGCTTCCAGCTTTTGCCCATTTAGTATGATATTGGCTATGGGTTTGTTTTAAATAGCTTTTATTATTTTGAGATATGTTCCATCAATAGCTAGTTTATTGAGAGTTTTTAGCGTGAAGGGGTGTTGAATTTTATCAAAGGCCTTTTCTGCATCTATTGAGATAAATCATGTGGTTTTTATCATTGGTTCTGTTTATATGATGGATTATGTTTATTGATTTGCATATGGTGAACCAGCCTTTCATCCCAGGGATGAAGCAGACTTGATCATGGTGGATAAGCTTTTTGATATGCTGCTGGATTCAGTTTGCCAGTATTTTATTGAGGATTTTGGCATCGATATTCATCAGGGATATTGGCCTGAAATTTTCTTCTTTTGTTGTGCCAGGTTTTGGTATCAGGATTATGCTGGCCTCATAAAATGAGTTAGGGAGGAGTCCCTCTTTTTCTTTTTCTTCCCTTTTTTTTTTTTTTTTCTTGAGACGGAGTCTCGCTTTGTCACCCAGGCTAGAGTACAGTGGTGCAATCTCGGCTCACTGCAACCTCTGCCTCCCGGATTCAACCAGTTCTCTGCCTCAGCCTCTTGAGTAGCTGGGGTTCCAGTCACCCGCCACCACACCCAGCTAATTTTTGTATTTTTAGTAGAGACGGGGTTTCACGATGTTGGCCAGGCTGGTCTTGAACTCCTGACCTTGTGATCTGCCCGCCTTGGCCTCCCAGAGTGCTGGGATTACAGGGGTGAGCCACCGCGCCCAGCCGAGTCCCTCTTTTTTTATTGTTTGGAGTAGTTTCAGAAGGAATGGTACCAGCTCCTCTTTGTACCTCTGGTTCAGGCTCTGAATCCATCTGGTCCTAGGCTTTTTTTGGTTGGTAGGCTATTAATTACTGCCTCAATTTCAGAACTTGTTATTGGAGGCCAGGCACAGTGGCTCACAGTTATTGGTCTATTCAGGGATTTGACTTCTTACTGGTTTAGCCTTGGGAGGGTGTATGTGTCCAGGAATTTACCCATTTCCTCTAGATTTTCTAGTTTATTTCCATAGAGGTGTTTATAGTATTCTCTGATGGTAGTTTGTATTTCTGTAGGATCAGTGGTGATATCCCTTTATTATTTTTTTATTGTGTCTATTTGTTTCTTTTTTCATTAGTCTGGCTAGCAGTCTATTTTGTTAATCTTTTTAAAAAACCAGCTCCTGGATTCGTTGATTTTTTTGGAGGGTTTTTCATGTCTCTCTCTCCTTCAGTTCTGCTCTGATCTTAATTATTTCTTGTCTTCTGCTAGTTTTTGAATTTCTTTGCTCTTGCTTCTCTAGTTCTTTTAATTGTGATGTTAGGGTGTCGATTTTAGATCTTTCCCACTTTCTGATGTGGGCATTTAGTGCTATAAATTTCCTTCTTAACACTGCTTTAGCTGTGTCCCAGAGATTCTGGTACGTTGTGTCTTTGTTCTCATTGGTTTCAAAGAACTTCTTTATTTCTGCTCTAATTTCATTATTTGCCCAGTAGTCGTTCAGGAGCAGATTGTTTAGTTTCCATGTAGCTGTACGGTTTTGAGTGAGTTTCTTTTTTTGTTTGTTTGTTTTTTGAGACCTCTGCCTCCTGGGTTCAGGGAATTCTCCTGCCGCAGCCTCCCAGGTAGCTGGGACTACAGGCGCCCACCACCACGCCCAGCTAATTTTTTTATTTTTAGTAGAGACGGGGTTTCACCATATTGGCCAGGCTGGTCTCAAACTCCTGACCTTGTGATCTGCCCGCCATGGCCTCCCAAAGTGCTGGGATTACAGGCCTGAGCCACTGCACCCGGCCTCAGGTGAGTTTCTTAATCCTGAGTTCTAATTTCATTGCACTATGGTCTGAGAGACTGTTTTTTATGATTTCTGTTCTTTTGCATTTGCTGAGGAGTGTTTTACTTCCAATTATGTGGTTGATTTTAGAATATGTGCTATGTGGCACTGAGAAGAATGTATATTCTGTTGATTTGGGGTGGAGAGTTCTGTAGATGTCTATTAGGTCCGCTTGGTCCAGAGCTGAGTTCAAGTCCTGAATATCCTTGTTAATTTTCTGTCTCATTGATCTGTCTCATATTGACGGTGGGGTGTTAAAGTCTCCCCCTATTATTGTGTGCGAGTCTAAGTCTTTTTGTAGGTCTCTAAGAACTTGTTTTATGAATCTGGGTGCTCCTGTATTGGGTGCATATATATTTAGGATAGTTAGCTCTTCTTGTTGCATTGATCCCTTTACCATTACGTAATGCCCTTCTTTGTCTTTTTTGATCTTTGTTGGTTTAAAGTCTGTTTTATCAGAGAGTAGGATTGAAACCCCTGCTTTTTTTTTTTTCTTTCCATTTGCTTGGTAAATATTCCTTCATCCTTGTATTTTGAGCCTATGTGTGTCTGCACATGAGATAGGTCTCCTGAATACAGCACACTGATGGGTCTTGACTCTATCCAATTTGCCAGTCTGTGTCTTTTAATCGGGGCATTGAACCTCTTTACATTTAAGGTTAATATTGTTAAGTGTAAATTTGATCCTGTCATCATGATGCTAGCTGGGTATTTTGCACATTAGTTGATGCAGTTTCTTCGTAGTATCATTGGTCTTTATATTTTGATGTGTTTCTGCAGTGGCTGGTACTGGTTTTTCCTTTCCATAGTTAGTGCTTCCTTCAGGAGCTCTCGTAAGGCAGGCCTGGTGGTGACAAAATCCCTCAGCGTTTACTTGTCTGTAAAGGATTTTATTTCTCCTTTGCTTATGAAGCTTAGTTTGGCTGGATATGAAATTCTGGGTTGAAAATTCTTTTCTTTCACGTGTCTGTTGGCTGCATAAATGTCTTCTTTTGAGCAGTGTGTGTTCATATTCTTTGCCCACTTTTTGATGGGGTTTTTTTTTCTTGTAAATTTGTTTGAGTTCTTTGCAGATTCTGGATATTAGCCCTTTGTCAGATGAGTAGATTGCAAAAATTTTCTCCCATTCTGTAGGTTGCCTGTTCACTCTGATGGTAGTTTCTTTTGCTGTGCAGAAGCCCTTTAGTTTAATTAGATCCCATTTGTCAATTTTGGCTTTTGTTGCCATTGCTTTTGCTGTTTTAGACATGAAGTCCTTGCCCATGCCTATGTCCTGAATGGTATGGCCTAGGTTTTCTTCTAGGGTTTTTATGGTTTTAGGTCTAACATTTAAGTCTTTTTTTTTTTTTTTTTGACGGAGTCTCGCTCTGTCGCCCAGGCTGGAGTGCAGTGGCACAGTCCCGGCTCACTGCAAGCTCCGCCTCCTGGGTTCACGCCGTTCTCCTGCCTCAGCCTCCCGAGTAGCTGGGACTACAGGTGCCCGCCACTACGCCCAGCTAATTTTTGTATTTTTAGTAGAGACGGGGTTT
Organism: Homo sapiens; assembly: GCF_000001405.40. Classification (NCBI taxonomy): domain Eukaryota; kingdom Metazoa; phylum Chordata; class Mammalia; order Primates; family Hominidae; genus Homo; species Homo sapiens. Next base: position 202,853,178 of record NC_000002.12, on the reverse strand, counting down.
CATCATGTTAGCCAGGATGGTCTCGATCTCCTGACCTTGTGATCCACCTGCCTCGGCCTCCCAAAGTGCTGGGATTACAGGCGTGAGCCACCGCGCCCAGCCACATTTAAGTCTTTGATCAATCTTGAATTAATTTTTGTATAAGGTGTAAGGAAGGGTTCTGGTTTCAGCTTTCTATATATGGCTAGCCAGTTTTACCAGCACCATTTATTAAATAGGGACTCCTTTCCCCATTTCTTGTCAGGTTTGTCAACGATCAGATGGTTGTAGATGTGTGGTATTATTTCTGAGGGCTCTGTTCTGTTCCATTGGTCATATGCATTTCTCTGATGGCCAGTGATGATGAGCATTTTCATCACTGGCCATCAGAGAAATGCAAATGAAAACCACAATGAGATACCATCTCACACCAGTTAGAATGGTGATCATTAAAAAGTCAGAAAACAATAGGTGCTGGAGAGGATGTGGAGAAATAGGTACACTTTTTTTTTTTTTTTTTTTTTTTTTGAGACAGAGTCTCGCTCTGTCACCCAGGCTGGAGTGCAGTGGTGCAATATCTCGGCTCACTGCAAGCTCTGCTTCCTGGGTTCACGCCATTCTCCTGCCTCAGCCTCCCGAGTAGCTGGGACCACAGGTGCCTGCCACCACGCCCGGTAATTTTTTTGTGTTTTTAGTAGAGACAGGGTTTCACCATGTTAGCCAGGATGGTCTCGATCTCCTGACCTTGTGATCCGCCCGCCTCAGCCTCCCAAAGTGCTGGGATTACAGGTGTAAGCCACCGCACCCGGCTGAAATGGGAGCACTTTTACACTGTTGGTGGGACTGTAAACTAGTTCAACCATTGTGGAAGACAGTGTGGCAATTCCTCAAGGATCTAGAACTAGAAATACCATTTGACCCAGCCATCCCATTACAGGGTATATACCCAAAGGATTGTAAATCATGCTGCTATAAAGATACATGCACACATAAATAGTAAAGACTGAAATGTTAGACCTAAATAGTAAAGACCTAAATAGTAAAGACTGAAATGTTAGACCTAAAACCATAAAAACCCTAGAAGAAAACCTAGGCAATACCATTCAGGACATAGGCAGCGGCAAGGACTTCATGTCTAAAACACCAAAAGCAATGGCAACAAAAGCCAAAATTGACAAATGGGATCTAATTAAACTAAAGAGCTTCTGCACAGCAAAAGAAACTACCATGAGAATGAACAGGCAACCTACAGAATGAGAGAAAACTTTTCCAATCTACTCATCTGACAAAGGGCTAATATCCAGAATCTACAAAGAACTCAAACAAATTTACAAGGAAAAAAAACCCCATCACAAAGTGGGAGAAGGATATGAACAGACACTTCTCAAAAGAAGACATTTATGCAGCCAAAAGACACATGACAAAATGCTCGTCATCACTGGCCATCAGAGAAATGCAAATCAAAACCACCATGAGATACCATCTGACACCAGTTAGAATGGCGATCATTAAAAACTCAGGAAACAACAGGTGCTGGAGAGGATGCAGAGAAATGGGAACACTTTTACACTGTTGGTGGGAGGTAAACTAGTTCAACCATTTTGGAAGACAGTGTGGTGATTCTTCAAGGATCTAGAACTAGAAATAGCATTTGACCCAGCCATCCCATTACTGGGTATATACCCAAAGGATTATAAATCATGCTGCTATAAAGACACATGCACACGTATGTTTATTGTGGCACTATTCACAGTAGCAAAGACTTAGAACCAACCCAAATGTCCATCAATGATAGACTGGATTAAGAAAATGTGGCACATATACACCATGGAATACTATGCAGCCATAAAAAATGATGAGTTCATGTCCTTTATAGGGACATGGATGAAGCTGGAAACCATCATTCTCAGCAAACTATCGCAAGGACAAAAAAACAAACACTGCATGTTCTCACTCATAGGTGGGAATTGAACAATGAGAACACTTGGTCACAGGAAGGGGAACATTACACACTGGGGCCTGTTGTGGGGTGGGGGGAGTGGGGAGGGATAGCATTAGGAGATATACCTAATGCTAAATGATGAGTTAATGGGTGCAGCACACCAACATGGCACATGTATACATATGTAACAAACCTGCACGTTGTGCACATGTACCCTAGAACTTAAAGTATAATTAAAAAAAAAAAAGAAAATTATTTTCTTTAAGAATGTTGAATATTGGCCCCCACTCTCTTCTGGCTTGTAGGGGTTCTGTAGAGAGATCCACTGTTAGTGTGATGGACTTCCCTTTGTCGGTAACCTGACCTTTCTCTCTTGCTCCCCTTAACATTTTTTCCTTCGTTTCACCTTGGAGAATCTGACAATTATATGTCTTGGGGTTGCTCTTCTTGAGGAGTATCTTAAGTGGTGTTCTCTGTATTTCCTGAATTTGAATGTCAACCTTTCTTGCTAGGTTGGGGAAGTTCTCCTCGATAATATCCTGAACTGTGTTTTCCAACTTGGTTCCATTCTCCCTGTCACTTTCAGGTAAACCAGTCAATCATAGGTTTGGTCTTTTCACATAGTCCCATATTTCTTGAGGGCTTTGTTCATTCCTTTTCATTCTTTTTTCTCTAATTTTGTCTTCATGCCTTATTTCAGTAAGTTGATCTTCAGTTTCTGATATCCTTTCTTCCGCTTGATTGATTCAGCTATTGATACTTGTGAATGCTTCACGAAGTTCTCTTGCTGTGTTTTTCAGCTCCATCAGGTCATTTATGTTCTTCTCTAAACTGGTTATTCTAGTTAGCAGTTCCTGTAACCTTTTATCAAGGTTCTTAGCTTCCTTGCATTGGGTTAGAACATGCTCCTTTAGCTTAGAGGAGTTTGTTACTATCCACCTTCTGAAGCCTACTTCTGTCAATTCATCAAACTCATTCTCCGTCCAGTTTTGTGCCCAGAGGAGTTTCATCATTTGGAGGAGAAGAGGCATTCTGTTTTTTGGAATTTTCAGCATTTTTGTGCTGTTTTTTCCTCATCTTGGTGGATTTATCTACCTTTGATCTTTGAGGCTTGATGACCTTTGGATGGGGTTTTTGTATGGGGGTCCTTTTTTGATGTTGATGTTATTGCTTTCTGTTTGTTAGGTTTTCTTCTAACAGGCCCCTCTTCTGCAGGTCTGCTACAGTTTGCTGGAGGTCTACTCTATAACCTGTTTGCCTGGGTATCACCAGCAGAGGCTACAGAACAGCAACGATTGCTGCCTGTTCCTTCCTCTGAAAGCTTTGTTCCAGAGGGGCACCAGCCTGATGCCAGCTGGAACTCTCCTGTATGAGGTGTCTGTTGACCCCTGCTGGGAGGTGTCTTCCAGTCAGGAGGCATGGGGGTCTGGGACCCACTTGAGGAGGCTGTCTGTCCCCTAGCAGAGCTCAATTGCTGTGCTGGGAGAATCCTCCTTGTCAGGATCAGATGCTCTCTTCAGAGCCAGCAGGCAGGAACATGTTAAGTCCGCTGAAGCTGTGCCCACAGTTGCCCCTTCCCCCAGGTGCTCTGTCCTAGGGAGATGGGAGTTTTATCTAAAAACCCCTGGCTGGGGCTGCTGCCTTTCTTTCAGAGATGCCCTGCCCAGTGAGGAGGAGTCTAGAGAGGCAGTCTGGCCATAGCCACTTTCCCGCACTGTGGTGAGTTCTGCCCAGTCTAAACTGCCTGGCCTCCTTAGCACTGTCAGGGGAAAACTGCCTACTCAAGCCTCAGTAATGGCAGATGCCCCTGCCCCCACCAAGCTTGATCGTCCCAGATCAACTTCAGACTGCTGTGCTGGCAGTGAGAATTTCAACCCAGTGGTTCTTAGCTTGCTGGGCTCTGTGGGAGTGGGACCCACTGAGCGAGACCACTTGGCTCCCTGGCCTCAGCCCCCTTTCCAGGGGAGTGAACGGTTTTGTCTCGCTGGGGTTCCAGGCACCACTGGGGTACAAAAACAAAAACAAAAACCTCCTGCAGCTAGCTCGGTGTCTGCCCAAACAGCCACCCGGTTTTGTGCTTGAAACCCAGGGCCCTGGTGGTATAGGCACATGTGGGAATCTTCTGGTCTGCGGATTGCAAAAACTGTGAGAAAAGCATAGTATCTGGGCCAGACAGCACAGTCCCTCGTGGCTTCCCTTGGCTGGGGGAGGGAGGGCCCCAGCTCCTTGCACTTCCTGGATGAGGCAACGCCCCACCCTGCTTCTGCTTGCCCTCCGTGGGCTGTACCCACTGCCTAACCAGTCCCAGTGAGATGAACTGGGTACCTCAGTTGGCAATGCAGAAATCACCTGCCTTCTGCGTTTGTCTCCCTGGGAGCTGCAGACCAGAGCTGTTCCTATTCGGCCATTTTGCCAGATCTCTGCTCCGTTATAATTTTATGGGACCACTGTTGTATATATGGTCCATCACTGGCTAAAATGTCATTATGCGGTGCATGACTATATATATCTGTACACACACAAAATATATATGTATGTATACAAAGACTAGACATTGTCTTATTACAATAATACAACTTAAAGAGATTTATGACTTTTCAGACTATATTTTAGAACCATGGCTGAGATCAGGGGTCTGCAGACTTTTTCTGTAAATGGCCAAATAGTAAATAATTTTTTGCTTTGTGGGCTGTGCAATTTGCTGGATGTACCTAACTGCCTTTGTAGCAAGAAAGCAGCTAAAGACTAATTTGCCAGCAGGCCATAGTTTGCCAGTCAGCTCAGATCTCTGAATTGAGCTGGGACATGTTCTTGGTTAGGGAGATCATTTGCCCACAGATGACTTTCTTCTGAAATGAGTTAGATCACTTCAGTAAACTTGTTTCGGTTCCTTTTATTAGATTGAGTCCCATGCAATTGCTGTTTTTATAGGTAAAAAATGGCCTAATGTTGGCACTTTCACATAGTCAACCAAAAGTTTAAAAATATGCTGTTTGGCTGGGCGCGGTGGCTCACGCCTGTAATCCTAGCACTTTGGCAGACCGAGGCAGGTGGATCACCTGAGGTCAGGAGTTCGAGACCAGCCTGCCCAACATGGCGAAACCCCATCTCTGTTAAAAATACAAAAATTAGCCGGGCATGGTGGCTAATCTCAACACCTCCTCCCTTCTCCCCACTCCAGTAGTCCCCAGTGTCTACTATTCCCATCTTTATGTCCATGTGTACTCAATGTTTAGTTCCCACTTAAAAATGAAAACATGTGGCATTTGATTTTCTGTTCCTGCATTAATTTGCTTAGGAAAATGGCCTCCAGCTGCATCCGTATTGCTGCAAAGGACATGATTTTGTTCTTTTTTATGGCTGCATAGTATTCCATGGTGTATATGTATCACATTTTCTTTATCCAGCCCACTGTTGATGTGTATCTAGGTTGATTCCATGTTTTTGCTATTGAGACTAATGCTGCAGTGAACATACAAGTGCCTGTATCTTTTTGTTTACCACCCTTTCTATTTTATTGAAGGTCTCATTTGTTCTCACTGCTTAACTATATATATATATAATTCCCATATAATATTTCATTCTAAGCTCTGATAAAAAGTAAAATGAAAAAATATAACATGAATTCTTAAGTGCCAGCAATTTCTATTCCAAGCACTTTACATATATTTCTCATTTAATTCTTATAACAATCCATTTACTTCATTATTCGTATTTTACTGATGAGGAAACTAAAAGAGAGATTAATGTAACTTGCACGAGGTCCCACAGCTAATAAAAAAAAGTTCTTAGGTTCAAACCTAGACAGTCTGACTAGAGACCCAAGCTTGAAACAATTTTTTATTACTACAGTTTTAATTACCTGTTGGAAATTTTGGAAAACTCTGATGTTCTTGATCATTTCAGATTCAAGATGTCACAGATGAAATGTGTAACCTTCCCACTTAGAGAACTGCTTCTTCTAATTGCCCTTATTTTTCTGGGGCAAAACTGCTTAATCATTATTTACCAAGTTCTGTAGATATCTGCCTTTATAGCCATTCTTACACTAATGGCTTGGTCCAGGCTTTTATTAGATTATGTCTGGAATATGGAGAGATTGTTCTGAACTCTCTGTGTTTAGTCTCTCTGCTAAACAGGTCTCTACAATCTGTACCATCAATCTGCCTTTCTCTTCTTCAGCCTGTATTTGGAATAGTATTTCCTTGCCTCCTGCTGTTAAAATCTGTTTTTCTTCAACATACAGTTCAAAGGAAATTTCACTCATGGTACCCAGCACATCAGAATTTCAATCCTATTTCTGTTATTAATTAGGTGTTCGATTGTTAGCAGGAGAGGGGGAGACCAGCTCCCTTACAAATAAAGTTCATGTGATTTAATATATAGTCTTGTAATAACTATTTTAACTTCTCAGATATTTTTATATGCACTTACTGATTATTAGTCACATTTCAGGTAAGATTGCTACATAAAACTATAAGCACTTAATATATATTTAACAATGAATGAATGAATGAATGAATGACTCACTTTTGGATAAGGGCTTGCAAGTGTTGGATAGTGTGGTGTTATTTTTTATCAACATTTGCTGGTTCCTAACTTCCGTAGCTCTCATTACAGTCTTGTTACAGTGTTGGGTGTGTTAGGCTTCAGGGACAGGCCTCTGACCTTCTGCCCTCCTTTGACCTGCCTTGAGACTCTGAGTGTTTCCCTGAGTTCTGTGAACCACTCTGGCAAATTAATCGAGCCCAAAAAGGAGTCTTGGGAACCCCCCACTTGAAGCTGGTGGGTCAGAAGTTCTGGAGACCCTGACTTGCAACCAGTCTCTGGTCTAGTGGGGGTGAGGGCACAGTCTTAGGATCTCTACAAAAAAAAGAAAAAAAAATTAGCCAAGTGTGATGGCATGCACGTGTGGATCACTTGAGCTTGGGAGGTCAGAGCATAATGGCACTGCTGCACTCCAGCCTAGGCAACAGAGCAAGATCTTGTCTAAAAAAAAAAGAAAGAAAGAAAAACCAAAAAGGGTAAAAGTATAACTGGTCTTGATAAGAAAACATTTTTATAATAATAATAGTTATTCAAATAATAGTTATACATGTTAATTGTAGCAAATTTGCTGCAGAAAACTATCAGAAACTACAGTAAACTGTCATCCATGATCCCACTGCAGAGAAAACCATTGCCGACATTTTTGAGCATTTCCTACCAGTTCCCCCCTTCCAAAGTTGAATTATTTATAAACCGTCACTCTGAGGAATGTTGATTGTGTTCGTAAGAAAACTCATGGCTTAGGAGCCAGAGTAAGCAGGACTACTATGTTAAACAGCAGGTTTGACTAATATATTTTCTTAATTGCATCAAACACTAGTGTTATATTAAGTCAAAAGTCTTCACAGATTATTTTTCTCAAGAGGATTTCAGTGCTTCAGTGTGCACATTAATATCAGTTCCACTTGCTTTTCAGTGATGTCATAGTAATGAGACGTTATAAGTGAATACAAATCTACCTCTAAAGAGATTATTGATTTGTTTTATTTTACTTAAGATTTGAATTCCAAATCCAGGACACAGCTGAAAATTTAAATACTGTATAGTGTAAAAAGGAATAAAGTATTCCTTTTTTTTTTTTTTAAGACAGATTCTTGCTCTGTTGCCCAGGCTTGAGTGCAATGGCGTGATCTTGGCTTACTTCAGCCTCCGCTTCCCGGGTTCAAGTGATTCTTCTGCCTCAGCCTCCCAAGTAGCTGGGATTACAGGTGCCTGCCACCACGCCCAGCTTATTTGTATATTTTTAGTAGAAACAGGGTTTCACCATGTTTGCCAGGCTGGTCTTGAACTCCTGGCCTCAAGTAATTCACCCGCCTTGGCCTCCCAAAATGCTGGGATTACAGGTATGAGCCACCATGCCGGGCCTCAAGTATCTTTTATGAAGAAATTACTTGAGCCTATCCTTTTGCTAAATAAGAGTGAAAACTGATAGAGGCTGTAGTAGAATAATGGCCTTCCAAAGATGTCCATGTCCTAATTCCTGAAACCTATGAATATGTTACTTTCTGTTGCAAGAGACTGTGTTCAAAGAGACTTTGAAGATGTAATTAAGTTAAGGATATTGAGATGGGGATATTATCCTGGATTATTTAGGTGTGTCCAATATAATCACATAGGTCTTCTTAAGGGGAAGGCAGAAAGGTCAGAAGAAGATAAGACAATGTGATGACATATAGAATTAGAGAAAGATTAGAAGATGCTATGCTGCTGGCCTTAAAGATGGAGGAAGGGGGACCACATGCCAGGAAATGTAAGTGGCTTCTAAAAGCTATAAAAGACAATGAAATGGATTCTCCTTTGTAGCCTCCAGAAGAAATGCAGCCGTCTGACAACTTTATTTTAGGACTCTGACCTCCAGAATGGGAAGACAGTAAATTAATTTTGTTGTAAGTTACTAAGTTTGTGATCATTTTTTATAGCAGCAGTAGGAAATTAATACACAGGGAATATATCTTTCTCATTCTTGACGTTTCCTCCTATGTTAAAGGAGCTCAATTAGTTTAACTCCTAGTCTCTCTCTACCCTCTCATTTCTTTCTAGAGGAGGAGTGGCTTGTCTGGTAAATTTGGGAAGCAAAAATTGGGCAAGTTTATCTCAATTCCTTCTTTCTTCTCTCATACAGGGAAGCCTCTGGTGATTCAGTTACCTCTGACTGGCTTGTTGAATTTAATTTTAGTGCTCGGTTATGAAGATTATTTGGCTCTCACAGTAAGCTATATCCAGAAACTTGACCATTGTCAGTAGCAAAAATTATATGTTGGCCTCCAGCTGCTACTCCTTATTTGTTTATTTTTTATTTTTTTAATTTTAATTTTCTTTTTTTATAGATTTTTTGAGATGGGGTCTCACTGTGTCCCTCTGGCTGTAGTGCAGTGGCACATTCATAGCTCACTACAGCCTCAAACTCCTGGGCTCAAGTGATCCTCCCACTTCAGCATCCCAGGTAGCTGGGACTACAGGCATATGCCACAATGTATGGCTAATTTTTTTATTTTTGGTAGAGATGGGGTCTCACTTTGTTGCTGAGGCTGGTACACCAATCCTTTGACACAGCAAATCCAATTCTGGATTTTTATCCAAGAGAAATGAAAACATTTTTCTGCAAAAATACTTGTATAGGTATGTTCATAACAGCCTTATTTACAATAGTCCCAAACTGGAAACACTGGTATATTGATACAATGGAATTCTATTCAACAATCAAAAAGAATAAACTGGGAAAAGCTAAGGAAAAAAAACACATTCATTGCTTCTGATAAGGTAGGGATTGGCAAGAAAGTGATACAAGGAAACTTTCTGGGAAGTTGGAAATGTTCTATATAAGATATCCATTTGTCAAAAGTATACAGCTAAAGAGTTTGCACCCTGGGCCCTAGAGCCAAGCTCTTGCTGTGTGTGGCTGAACGCTGGGTACCAGCTCTGCTGCCACAGAGATCTTGGCTTTACCCCAATCCTAGAGCTACTCTAATGCTGCACTCACTAGTGCTCTTATTCTCAGTTCTCTTAGCTGTTTAACAAGCATCTGCATCTCGCATTCTGTTACACAGCAGCAAGGATCCCTGCATCCCAGACACCAATGCCATTACTACCTGGGAACTCAGAACTGCAGTACCTCCACACATTTGTGCATCAGGCCTGAGTTCTGTGATTATTCCATGGGTGCTACTCATCAGGCACCAGTGCCAAGAGGGATCCCTTCAGCCATAGCTTCTCTGATGGGAAAAAAAATAGATTGGGGTGATCTTAGCAGTCATTGCCACCAAAGACCCCAACAACTCTTGCGCCACTGCAGAAACTCAGAACGTTGGTTGCTATGGATCCCTGTGATTTTTATCCATACCAATCTCAGCAGACAGAGCTGCACAGAGACCACACAGCTGGCACCCTGACTAGTGCCAGAACCACTGCACCCCACCCCATGGAGGAAAGTCAGTCCACAATGAAACTAGCCCATAAAGTCTACAAAAGGTAACTGTTCCACTAAGAGCACAGACATTAATGTAAGGCAACAAGAAAAATGGGAGACATAATACCACCTAAAAAACATAACCTCCCAGTAGCTGACCCCAAAGAAATGGACATATATAAACTGCCTCTCAAATAATATAAAATAATTGCTTTAAGTTTAGTGAATTTAAAGAAAAATACAGAGAAACATTTCACTGAAATCAGCAAAACAATAGATGACCAAAATAAGAAATGTAACAGATTAAAATTATTTTTTTAAAAAAATCAAATTCTGGAGCTGAAAAATACAATTAATGAACTAAAAAATGCAGTAGAGAGCATTAACAGCAGACTTGATGAAGCAGAAGAATTAATATGTGAACTCAAAGACAGATTATTTCAAAACATACAGTCAGAGAAGAAAAAATGAAGCTTAGAAGATTTAAAGCTTATAAGATTTTCTCAAAAGAGCAAATATCCTAGTTATAGGAGTTTAAGCAGAAGAAGAGAGGGACAAAGGACCAGAAAGTTTACTTAAATAAATAATAGCAGAAAAATTTCCAAATCTGAGGAAAGGTATAAATATCCAGGTATGAGAAGGTCAAAGGTCTCCAATCAGATTCAACCTGAACAAGATTACACTAAGATATAATCAAACTGTCAAAAATCAAAGATGAAGAGAGCATCCTGAAAGTAGCAAGAGAAAAGCAAATCACATACAAAGGAGTTCCAATAAGGCTAGAAGTGGATTCTCAGGAGAAACCTACAGGCCAGTAGAGAGTGGGATGATAAATTCCATGTGCTGAAGGAAAAAATAAAACTGTCAAACAACAATACTTTACTTGACAAAGTAGACCTCCAGAAATGATGGAGATAAAAGCTTTCTCAAACAAAAACTGAGGTAGTTCATCACCACCAGATGTGTCTTACAAGAAATGATAAAGGGAGTTCTTCAAGCTGAGAGGAAAGGATGCTAATGAGTAACACAAAAACATCTAAAAGTATAAAACTCATTGGTACAATTACACAAATTTAGAATAATAGTATAATGGTGGGTCTTTAATATGAATGTTAAAAAACAAAACTATTAAAAATAATGGCTGCAATAGGCCTGGTGCGGTGGCCCATGCCTGTAATCCCAGCACTTTGGGAGGCTGAGGCAGGCAGATCACCTGAGGTCAGGAGTTCGAGACCAGCCTGGCCAACATGGTGAAACCTCGTCTTCACTAAAAAAAAATACCAAAATTAGCTGGGCCTGGTGGTAGGTGCCTGTAATCCCAGCTACTCGGGAGACTAAGGCAGGAGAATCACTTGAACCTGGGAGGTTAAGGAGCCAAGATCATGCCACTGCACTCCAGTCTGGGCAACAAGAACAAAACTCTATCTAAAAAAAAAAAAAAAATAGACCAAGAAGCAGCTTCCCTGCTCCTTCTGGGATCTCCATCTGGTTCAGCCCACCTGCCTCCACTCCTGCATCAACCATGTCCATCATGGTGACCCAGAAGTCCTACAAGGTGTCCACCAGAGGTGGTCCTCTGGCCCCCAGGCCTTCGGCAACTGCTCCTATGCGCGTGGGCCCGGTGCCTGCATCAGCTCCTTGAGCTTCTCCCGAGTGGGCAGCAGCATCTTTCGGGGTGTCCTGGGTGGAAGTTATGGTGGGGCCAGTGGCATGGGAAGCATCACTGCTGTCACAGTCAACCAGAGCCTGCTGAGCCCCCTTAACCTGGAGGTGGAACCCAACATCCAGGCCGTGTGCACCCAGGAGAAGGACCCTCAACAACAAATTTGCCTCCTCCATAGACAAGGTACAATTCCTGGAGCAGCAGAACAAGATGCTGGAGACCAAGTGGAGCCCTCCTGCAGCAGCAGAAGATGGCTTAGAGCAACACGGACAACATGTTCGAGAGCTACATCAACAGCCTTAAGCAGCAGCTGGAGACTCTGGGCTTGGAAAGGCTGAAGCTGGAGGCAGAGCTTGGCAACATGCCAGGGCTGGTGGAAGACTTCAAGAACAAATATGAGGATGAGATCAACAAACGTACAGAGATGGAGAATGAATTTGTCCTCATCAGGCAGTATGTGGATGAAGCTTATATGAACAAGGTAGAGCTAGAGTCTTGCCTGGAAGGGCTGACTGAAGAGATCAACCTCCTCGGGCAGCTGTATGAAGAGGAGATCCAGAAGCTGCAGTCCCAGATCTTGGACACATCTGTGGTGCTGTGCATGAACAACAGCCACTCCCTGGACATGGACAGCATCATCGCTGAGGTCAAGGCGCAGTATGAGGAGATGGCCAACCACAGCCAGGCTGAGGCTGAGAGCATGTACCAGATCAAGTATGAGGAACTGCAGACGCTGGCTGGGAAGCACGGGGATGACCTGCGGCATGCAAAGACTGAGATCTGGGATGAACCAGAACGTCAGCCAGCTCCAGGCTGAGATTGAGGGCCTCAAAGGCCAGAGAGTTTCCCTGGAGGCTGCCATCGCAGATGCCTAGCAGTGTGGGGAGTTGGCTGTTAAGGATGCCAATGCCAAGCTCTCCGAGCTGGAGGCTGCCCTGCAGCGGGCCAAGCAGGACATGGCGTAGCAGCTGCATGAGTACCAGGAACTGACGAACATCAGGCTGGCCCTGGACATCAAGATCACCATCTACAGGAAGCTGCTGGAGGGCGAGGAGAGCCAGTTGGAGTCTGGGATGCAGAACATGAATATCCATATGAAGACCACCAGTGGCTATGCAGGTGGTCTGAGCTCGGCCTATGAGGGTCTCACAAGCCCCAGCCTCAGCTATGGCCTCGGCTCCAGCTTTGGCTCTGGCATGGGCTCCATCTCCTTCAGCCACACCAGCTTCACCAGGGCCATAGTTGTGAAGAAGATTGAGATCCACGATGGGAAGCTGGTGTCCGAGTCCTCTGATGTCCTGCCCAAGTGAACAGCTGCAGCAGCTCCTCCCAGTGTGCCCCTCCTGCAGCTGCCCCAGAGCTTGGGAGGGAGGCCGCTGTGCAGGGGAGCACAGGGAACAGGAGACCCACCTGAGGCTCAGCCCTAGCCCTCAGCCCACCCGTTCGTGAGTTTACTGCCTGGGGATCCCCCTTGCCCATTCCTCCAGCTACAAAACAATTCAATCGCTTTTTTTTTTTTTTTGGTCCAAAATAAAACCTCAGCTAGCTCTGCAAAAAAAAAAAAAAATTAAAAATTAAAAAAAATAATAATAATGGCTACAATAATTTATTAAGGGATATACAATATAAAAAGATGTAAATTGTGACATCAAAACCATAAAATGTCAGGCAGGGTAAAGTGTATACAATCAAAGTTAAGTTGTAATCAGCTTAACATAGCCTGTTATAACTATAAGCTGTTTTATGTAAGCCTCATGGTAAACACAAAGCAAAAACCTATAGTGGATAAACGAAAGATACAAAGTAAGGAATTAAAGCATACCACTAGAGAAAAATCGTCTAATCACAAAGGAAGAAGGCATGAAAGGAAAAAAGAACAAAAGAGCTGTAAAACAACCAGAAAACAATGAACAAAATGGTAGTACTAAGTCCTTACCTATCAATAATTACCTTGAATGTAAATAGATTAAATTCTTCAACCAAAAGGCAGACTGGCTGAATAGGTTAAAAAACAAAACAAAACACACACACACACACACACACACACACACACACACACACACACACACACACACACACACAGACTTAACTGTATGCTGCCTGGAAGAGACTCACTTCACCTTTTTTTTTTTTTTTTTTTTTGAGACGGAGTCTCACTCTGTTGCCCAGGCTGGAGTGCAGTGGTGCACTCTTGGCTCACTGCAAGCTCTGCCTCCCAGGTTCATGCCATTCTCCTGCCTCAGCCTCCTGAGTAGCTGGGACTACAGGTGCCTGCCACCACACTCAGCTAATTTTTATATTTTTAGTAGAGACGGGGTTTCACCTTGTTAGCCAGGACGGTCTCGATCTTCTGACCTTGTGATCCACCTGCCTCAGTCTCCCAAAGTGCTGGGATTACAGGCTTGAGCCACCGCGCCCAGCCAAGACTCACTTCACCTTTAAGGACACATTTAGATTAACTGAAAGGATGGAAAAAGATTCCATTCAAATGGAACCAAAAGAGAGTGGGGTTAGATATAATTATATCAGGTGCAGTACACCGATATGGTTTGGATATTTTGTCCCCTCCCAATCTGATGTTGAAATATGACTTCCAGTGTTGGAGGTGGGCCTGGTGAGAGGTGTTTGGATCTTGGAGCAGAGCCCTCATGGATGGCTTGGTACTGTCCCCATGGTGATAAGTGAGTCCTCACGGGATTTGGTTGTTTAAGGGAGTATTGTGCCTCGCCCTTCTTCTCTTACTCCTTTTCTTACCATGTGATGCACTGGATCCCAATCCCTTTCCACCATAAGGAAAAGCTCCCTGAGGCCTCATCAGAAGCAGTGCTAGCACCGTACTTCCTGTACAACCGGCAGAACCATGAGCCAATTAAACCTCTTTTATTTATAAATTACCCAGCTTCAGGTATTTCTTTATAGCAACACAGAAATTGACACACACTTTGTCAAAAAACTATAAAATGAGACAATTATTATATAATGAAAAGGGATCAATTCATCAAGAAGATATAATAATTGCAAATATGTGTTACATGCAACATCAGAGTTCCTAAATATATAAAGCAAATATTAATAGATCTGAAGAGATAGATAGCAATGCAATAATAGGAGACTTTAATACCCCACTGTCAACAATGGACAGATACCCAGAAAGAAATTCAGTAAGGAAACACTGGAATTCAACTACATTTTAGACCAAATGGATATAACATATATATGCAGAACATTCCATCCAATATTAACAGAATACAAATTCTTCTCAAGAACACATGGAACATTCTCCAGAATAGATCATGTCTTAGGCCACAATATAAGTCTTAAAAATTTATTAATTGAAATTAGGTAGCTTTTTCAATTGCAATGGTATGAAACTCGAAATAATAAGAACATTTGAAAATTCACAAATATGTGGAAATTAAACATCATGATCCTAAACAACAAACGTGTCAAAAAAGAAATTTAAAAGGAAATTTTAAAAATCTTAAAACTGCTGGGAACAGTGGCTACACCTGTAATCCCAGCAGTTTGGGAGGCCGAGGTGGGTGGGCCACCTGAGGTCAGGAGATCGAGATCAGCCTGGCCAACATGGTGAAACCCCGCCTTACTAAAAATACAAAAAATTAGCCAGGCGTGGTGGTGGGCGCCTATAATCCCAACTCCTTGGGAGGCTGAGACAGGAGAATCTCATGAACCCGAGAGGCAGAGGTTGCAGTGAGCCCAGATCACACCATTGCACTCCAGCCTGAGCAACAAGAGTGAAACTCCATCTCAAGACAAATAAATAAAATCTTGAAACAAACAAAAATGGAAATACAATATCCCAAAACTTAAGAGATGTTGCAAAAGAAGTTCGAAGAGAGAAGTTTATAGCAATGAATGCCTGTATCAAAAAAAAAAGAAAAGCCCTAAATAAACAACCTAATGTTATCCCTTAAGGAACTAGAAAAAGATGAACAAACTAAGCCCAAAGTTAGGAGAAAGAAGAAAATCATAAATATCAGAGCAGAAATAAATAGAGACTAGAAAAACAGTAGAAAAGATTAAAAGAAGAGCTGGTTTTGAAAAGAGAAGGCCGGGTGCGGTGGCTCACGCTTGTAATCCCAGCACTTTGGGAGGCTGAGGTGGGCGGATCACGAGGTCAGGAGATCAAGACCACGGTGAAACCCTGTCTCTACTAAAAATACAAAAAATTAGCTGGGTGTGGTGGCAGGCGCCTGTAATCCCAGCTACTCAGGAGGCTGAGGCAGGAGAATGGCGTGAACCCGGGAGGTGGAGCTTGCAGTGAGCCGAGATCGCACCACTGCACTCCAGCTTGGGTGACAGAGACTCTGTCTCAAAAAAACAAAAACAAAAAAAAACAACAACGGAAAATTGGTAAGCCTTTAGTTAGATTAATAAAAAAGAGGAAATGCTTAAAATCAGAAATGAAAGAGGGAGACATTACAGCTGATACCACAGAAATACAAAGGATCATAGACTACTATAAAAAATGATACACAGGCCGGGTGCAGTGGCTCATGCCTATAATCCCAGCACTTTGGGAGGCCGAGGTGGGCGGATCACTTGAGGTCAGGAGTTTAAGACCAGCCTGGCCAACATGGCGAAACCCCATCTCTAATAAAAATACAAAAATTACCTGGGCTTGGTGGCACACACCTGTAATCCCAGAAACTTGGGAGGCTGAGGCAGGAGAATTGCTTGAACCCGGGAGGTGGAGATTGCAGTGAGCCAAGATCGTGCCACTGCACTCCAGCCTGGGCATCCAAATGAGACTCCATCTAAAAAAATATCTATATCTATATATCTGTATCTATATCTATATATCTATATATATCTATATATATAGATATACACACACTAACAAATTGTATAACCTAAAAGAAATGGGTAAATTCCTAGACACATACCAACTTATAAAGACTAAATCATGAAGAAATTGATAATTTGAAAAGACCAATAATGAGTAAGGAGATTGAATCAGTAATAAGAAGTCTCCCATTAAAGAAAAGGCCAAACTTGATGATGCCACTACTGAATACTACCAAACATTTAGACAATTAAAACCAATCCTTCTGAAACTCTTCCAAAAAATTGAAAAGGAAGGAGATCTTCCAAACTAATTTTACAAAGGCCTGATACCAAAGGCAGACAAAAACAGTACAAGAAAAGCAAATTATAGGCCAATATCTTTGATAAACATAGATGCAGAAATCCTCAAGAAAATACTAGCAAACCAAATTCAACAGCACATTAGAAGGGTCATTCACCATGATCAAGTGGGATTTATCACTGTGAATCTGCATATTCACCATATGCGAATCAATAGTGATACACCATATTTACAGAATAAAGGACAAAAACTTTATAATTATCTCAATAGATACAAAAAAGGCATTCAACAAAATTCAGCATCCTTTCATGACAGAAACACTCAACAAATGAGGTAGAGAAAGAATGTCTCTCAACGTAATAAAGGCCTTGTATGACAAGCCCGTAGCTAACATAATGCTCAGTGAAAAATTGAAAGTTTTTTTTTCTGAAATCAAGAACAAGACAAGTATGCCCACTTTCAGCGCTTCCATTCAACACAGTATTGGAACTCCTAGCTAGAATAATTAGGCAAGAGAAAGAAATAAAAGGCTTTCAGATTGTCAGTGAAGAAGTTAAATCGTCTGTTTGCGGACAATGTGATTTTATATTTAGAAAACTCTGAAGACTCCACCAAAAAACTATTACAAGTAATACATTCAGTAAAGTTGCAGGATACAAAATTAACACAAAAATCAGTAGTGGTCAGACATGGTGGTTTATAACTGTAATCCCAGGACGTTGGGAGGCTGAGGTGGAAGGATCACTGGAAGACAGGAGTTTGAGACCAGCCTGGACAACATAGTGAGACACCCATCTCTACAAAAAATAAAAAAAAAATTAGCCAGGTGTGGTGGCACAAACTGTAGTCCTAGATGCTTGGGAGCCTGAGGTGGGAGAATTGCTTGAGCCCAGGAGTTTGAGGTTACAGTGAGCCATGATCATGCCATTGCACTCCGGCCTGGGTAACAGAGTAAGACTACGTCTCAAAAAAAAAAAAAATCAGTAGCATTTCTACATACTAACAACAAACTATCTGATAAATCTGGCCAGGTGGGGTCCCTCACGCCTGTAATCCCAGCACTTTGGGAGGCCAAGGTGGGAGGATCACTTGAGGTCAAGAGTTTGAGACCAGCCTGGCCAACATGGTGAAACCCTGTCTCTAGTAAAAATACAAAAATTAGCCAGGTGTGGTGGCATGCACCTGTAATCCCAGCTACTCAGGAGACTGAGGCAGGAGAATTGTTTGAATTTGGGAGGTGGAGGCTGCAGCACCACTGCACTCCAGCCTAGGCAACAGAGCAAGACTCTGTCAAAAAAAAAAAAAAAAAAAAAAAGGAAGAAATCAATAAAACAATGCCATTGACAGTAGCTAGTAAAAAAATTAAAATACTTAGGAATAAATTTAACCAAGGAGATTTAAAATGTATACACATTTTAAAACATTATGTCATACATCATAAATATAAATATATACAATTTTTACTTGTCAATTAAAAATAAGTAAGCCTGGGCAACATAGTGGGACATTGTCACTACAAAAATAAAAATAAATTAGCCAGGCATGTTGGTGTGTTGCCTGTGGTCCCAGCTACTCCAGAAGCTTAGGTGGGAGGATTACTTGAGCCCAGGAGTTTGAGACTGCAGTGAGCTATGATTGTGCCACTGTACTCTAACCCAGGCAACAGAGTGAGACCCTGAATCTGTAAGTAAAATAAGTAATGAAAAAAATATATAGCTAAAAATTAGAGATTTCAGTGTATGTAAATTTAATGAAAAAGAACTATATGATGATGATGATGGAGTGAGGTGGTAAAGAATGAGTAAACATATCAATGATGTTTTTAAAATGGCAGCACCTTGATAATTGAGCTGCTATTTTATTGTTGTCTGTGTGTGGTAGGGTTTTTTGTTTTTGTTTTTTTGAGACAGAGTCTGGCTCTGTCACCCAGGCTAGAGTGCAGTGGCACAATCCTGGCTCTCTGCAACCTCCACCTCCCAGTGTCAAGTGATCCTCCCACCTCAGCCTCCCTAGTAGCAGGGACTGCAGGTACTTGCACCACGCCCAGCTAATTTTTGTATTTTTTGTAGAGAAAGGATCTTGCCATGTTGCCCACGCTGGTCTTGAACTCCCAAGCTCAAGTTATCCACCCGCCTCAGCCTCTCAAAGTGCTGGGATTACAGGTGTGAGCCACCACACCCGGCCTCTATGCATGTTAAAGTTATATAATGTGAAGAAATTAAGAAAGAAACAATAATCTTATATTTACCAGGACATTTAACAATTACAGTCCTTCCATTCTTTTCTATAAATCCAAATTATCTGGTGTAATTTTCTTTAAGACTGAAGAATTTGTTAAAATTTTACTTCAAAAATTATTTTTAATTGAGAAAATGGTAAATATTTGTCATGTACATTACGTTTGAAACACTGTGGAATGGCTAAATCAACATAATTAACATATGTATTACCTCATCTTTTTTTGTGGTAAGAACACTAAAAATCCTGCCTCATAGATATCTCCAAGAATATAATACATTGTTATTAACTATAGTCCCTTTGTTGTACAATAGAACTTACTCCTCCTAACTGAAATTTTGTGTCCTTTGACAAACATCTTCCCAATACCCCTCCCCCCAGCCTCTGGTAACTACCATTCTACTCTCTACGTCTATTAGTTCAACTTTTTTAGATTTTACATGTAATTGAGATCATGTGGTATTTGTCTTTCAGATTTATCCATGTTGTCACAAATGACAGGATTTCTTTCTTTTTAAAGGCTGAATAGTATTCCATTGAGTATATATACCATATTTTTTAATATGTTCAGCTGTGATATACATAACATCTGTAATGTTAGCATTTCTGAAAGTCTCCAGATCTGATCAGGTAGTCTCTCAGAGCTTTATTTGAAAATATCTTTATTTTGCTTTCCTTCTTTTTATTTTTTAATTTTTTATTTTTTTAGAGACAGGCTGTCACTCTGTCGCCCAGGCTGGAGTGCAGTGGTGTGATTATAGTTCACTGCAGCCTCAAACTCCTGGGATGAAGCAATCCTTCTGCCTCAGCCTCCTGAGTAGCTGGGACTAAAGGCTCACACCACCATACATGGCTAATGTTTCTTTTATTTTTTTGTAGATATGGAGTCTTGCCATCTTGGCCAGACTGGTCTTGAGCTCCTGGGCGCCAGTGATCCTCCCCCACAGCCTCCCAAAGTCCTGGGATTACAGGCCTGAGCCACTGTGCTCCCACTACTTTCATTTTTAAAAGGACAGTTTCAGTAGATGTGGAATTAGGGGTCAACAGGTTTTTCTCCTCTCAGTACCTTAAATATATCCTTCCATTTAGTCTGACTTTTTTTTGTTTTTATTGAGAACTGACCTGTTTGTATTTTTGTTACCTTGTGTGTAATATGCCATTTTTCTCTGTTGCTTTCAAGATAGGTTTTCTTTGCTATCTTTTTTTTTCCCTATATAGATTTAAGCAGTTTGTCTGTGATGTGTCTATTTGTGTTTTCTTTGTATTATCCTGCGTGGGGTTTGTCATTTAGCTTATTGGATCTGTAAATTAATGTCATTCACAAATCTGGGGATGTTTTATTTATTTGAATATTTTTCTATCCCATTCTATCTCTTCTTTGGGTTCTCCTCCTTCCTCCTCCCACCCCTTGCCCCAGTTTTTAGATTGGTAATTTTTGGTAAGAAGAACTTTTGACTTCTGCCATCTTCAGTTTGCTCTTAATCTTGTCCAGTTATTATTATTTTTTTAAGAGGCAGTCTGTCACACAGTCTGTCACCCAGGCAGGAGTGCAGTGGCATAATCATAGCTCACTGTAACCTCAAACTTCAGGGCTCAAGAGATCCTCTTGTATCAGCCTCCCAAAATGCTGGGATTACAGGTGTGAGCCTCCACATCCAGCTGCAGTGAATTTTAAATTACAGTTACTGAACTTTGTAACTGGAGAGTTTGAGTTTTACTTGTTTTCTAATATTTTCAGTGTGTTCATTTATTGTGCATACATCCTACTTTAAGTCTGTGTATATGTTAATAATAGTTGGTTTAATAATTATCTCATAATTGCAGTATCTGGGAAATCTTTTTTTTTTTTTTTTTTTTGTGACGGAGTCTCACTCTGTCGACCAGGCTGGAGTGCAGTGGCTCACTGCAACCTCCGCCTTCCGGGTTCAAGCGATTTTCCTGCCTCAGCCTCCCATATCTGGGAAATCTCTGGAGTCTGTTTTTATTGACTGCCCTTTCCCCACTGGAGTATGGGTCACATGTTCCTATTTCTTTATATGTCTAGTGTTTTTTGATTGGATACTTGGGATTTTGAATGATGCATTTGAGAGATTCTGGATTCTGTTTTGCTTCTCTGAAAAAGAATTTTTATTCTAGAAGCCAGTTAACTTGACTGAACTCAGACTCCAAACTGTCTCCTCTGGAGTGGTAGTGCTGAAATCTTCACTTAGTTATTTCCTCTTTCAATGGCTGATTTTCTGCCACGATTCCTGGGTTTCCCTCCCTTGCCTCATGATTCGTTTAGTGATTAGCACAGGTCTTGGGAGGACTTTATACACAAATTTTGGGGTTTCCTCCTCTTTGGCTCCCTCCCTTTTATGAAATCCCTCCTAAATATCTGATAGTTCTGCCAGCCTTGAACTCTGTTATCTGATATGTCAAGCCAGTAAGACTTGGCTTCCTGCCTAACCTACCCCCAGTGGCAAGCAGATTTAGCAGTGCCCTTGGTCATAAAAACCACAAATGTGCAAATCTCACCTTTTGCAGATTTATCCTCCCAGTCACTTTCTCCCTTTGCCAGGGAACGTGTGCCCTCTGCAGGCAAGATAGTTTCCAGAAATGGAGGAGTCTAGTTTTTTGCTGTCCAATCAGATGTTACTCTTTCTCTCCCAAAGAGATATGGAGAGAGTGGTTGCGAGGACAGGAGTATATTGTTTGAGCTACATCAATATGGAAGTTGATGTAGGGAGAGGTATTCTCTCCTGATACTCCCTAGTATTTTGTTCTTCGAATTGAGCCTAAACCTGCAGTCAGTTTAGTAGAAGAGATTAACAGTTTGTCATATAGTTGGACTGCTGATAATTATAAAGTTGGGAGTGGAGGGAAGGAGGAGGAGGACTGAAAGCAGTTGAGAGCAACCAAAAGCAGAAAGAAACTGGATGGGAAAGAAAAACTAAGTTTCTCTCAAGACGCTTGATGTGTCAGGACAGTATAATGCTTATATCAAATCCATGCTCCCTAGGTACCCAAATTAAATTCCCTCTCTATTCCAAATTATGTCCAGAGAAATTATTCAGGATAACATATTAAGAGGTTTGGCAATTAAATGGTGATTAATATATACTGCCCAGGAATATGGGAGGATATCCAAAGGATAATAATCTAGAGGCTATCTGGAAAATTGGCCACTTTGTGGACTTTACAGCTTGTCCTTGTTCTATTTTATGCTTTTTATTTAAATCTACTTTGTCTGATATTAATATAGCTATTCTAATTTCATTTTGCTTCTATTTACCTGGTATATCTTAACTCATATCTTTATTTTTATCTTTGTGTCCTTTTGTTTTAGGTAGATCTCAAATAGCATATAGTTGGATTTCGATTTTTGTTTTTTATGATTCGAGATTCTTTGTATTTAAAAAGAAGTTTGCATCTATCATACTAAATAATATAATTGTTCTTCTTCCATCTTCTTGTTTTGTACTGTGTGTTACATGCCTTACTCTTGTTTTTCCCACTCGGTCTTTTGCTTTTGCTAAAGTTTTTCTGGCTCTTTTGTTTTACCCCCAGTAATTTGGAAATTAGACATTCTATTTTTATTTAATTAGTAATTACTTCAAATTAAAAGAAAGTGAACCTCTATTTCTTTACTAACATGAAAAATACAATAGCATGTATCGATGTGCCTGGAAATAACGAATGAGTCACATACTTTAGTATTTCCCTTTTGTTCCTACTCTTACAGTTTGTTGGAATAATTTGGGCTTTAGATCCAAAATGTTATTAGTATTTATTCTTTTTACATATCCTTAAAGAAATACTTTTCACTCTGCATTTCCTTATATAGCCATGTTAACCTTGTTAAGAATAACTTCTTGGAGGTTATTTTTTATTTTTTATTTTTTTTGAGACGGAGTCTCGCTCTGTTGTCAGGCTGGAGTGCAGTGGCGTGATCTTGGCTCACTGCAACCTCCGCCTCCTGGGTTCAAGTGATTCTCCTGCCTCAGCCTCCTGAGTAGCTGGGATTACAGGTACGTGCCACCATGCCCGGCTAATTTTTTGTATTTTAGTAGAGACAGGGTTTCACTATGTTGGCCAGGATGGTCTCGATCTCCTGACCTCATGATCCACTCACCTCGGCATCTGCCCACCTCGGCCTCCCAAAGTGTTGGGATTACAGGCATGAGCCACTGCACCTAGCATATGTTAATTTTTATGTTTACAGTTTACAATGTCCATCTGTATTTCTTTTATAACATATCTTCCCTTATACTTAAGGACTTTATTTGTGTTGATTTATTGGACACTAAAATATTTCTTTGAGTGATTTTTAAAGAGTATGTGTTGGAATCTTTGCATATCTGAAAATATTAAATGGATGTTTGACATAGCGATTATAACTATAGGAAATTTTCCTAAGGAACTGATACTAGTATGTAAAGATGTATGTACAAGTTTATTTTGCAGTTTTATTACAAAAGCAAAACTTAGAAAGTAATAAACATCTATAAATAGATATCAAATAAAATATAATTTTTTCTAGACATAACTGCAAAATCGTAAGTTTTATTACGTTTGTCATCTAACTAAAATTAATATAAATATAATTAATCTTTTGCCTGTTTCTTGTGCAAGTTGAAATTATAGCATACATTTAGACCATATAAAGCAAGTATTAGCATGTCTGACTGAGAACATTAATATTAGGGGCCAGATGTGGTAGTTCGCACCTGTAATCCCAGTGCTGCATGAGGCTGAGGCAGGAGATTGCTTGAGCCCACATTATTCTGAACTATGATTGCACCACTACACTCCAGCATGAGCGATGGAACGAGACCCTGACTCTAAAAAAAAATTACATTTAGTACCTTTTTTCCATTTGTCAGATTAAATATTGGCTAGCTAAACATATTTATTGAGTTTTTTTTGGTTTTTTTGTTTGTTTGTTTTTTGTTTTTGTTTTTGAGACGGAGTCTCGCTTTGTCTCCCAGGCTGGAGTGCAGTGGCGCGATCTCGGCTCACCGCAAGCTCCGCCTCCCGGGTTCACGCCATTCTCTGCCTCAGCCTCCGGAGTAGCTGGGACTACAGGCGCCCGCCACCATGCCCGGCTAATTTTTTTTTGTATTTTTAGTAGAGACAGGGTTTCACCGTGTTAGCCAGGATGGTCTCGATCTCATGACCGCGTGATCCGCTCGCCTCAGCCTCCCAAAGTTGTGGAATTACAGGCGTGAGCCACCGTGCCCAGCCTATTATTGAGAATTTTTAAAAGAAGTTTAATTTTAGTCTGTTCATTGTAGTCACTCCATGGATTCCTTTGGGCAACCCAGACCAGAAGATAATCAGTCAGTAGTCAGAAGAATGCAAAAGAAATACTGGAAAACTAAACAGGTCTTTATCAAAGCAACAGGAAAAAAAGAGGATGAGCACTTGGTGGCGTCTGATGCTGAACTGGATGCTAAACTTGAGGTAAATTTGAGGATTCTATGTATTGCATATAACCAGCCATTATTTGGGGCTCCAAGGGGAACTGCAACAGGTTTTCACACTGGAGAGTTTATGAGGATAAATGCAAATTTGATAATAGAATGTTTAGTTGTATCCATCTGTCAATCAGAGCTCTGAATAGGAGGTCACGGCTCTCACAAACTGAAAATTTGCAAAATTGGTATTCACTAACTTAGATAAAATATGAATAAAGTAGTTTCTCTGGCATGCATAGTTTTCAAGCTAAGTCTTAATGATTACATTCCCAGTTGAGACCATATACTCATTATATATCAAGTCATACTATTTTGTAGTACTTTGATGTGAAGTCTTATACCTCACTGAAATAATTAAAATCAAATAGCAAATGAAGATAATAGTTATTGTTTCTATTTTATTAAAAGATAGAGTTATTGAAATATTTCCTAATGCCTTTTTTGGCTGTTTTTTATTTTAAATAATTGCCATGAAACAATTTTAAACCAATAAATGGTTTAAAGTAATTAGGCTAATAGAGAAGAGTGTAATATAAATGAATTAAAAAGTCTGTTTTTTTTTTTTTTTTTGGATGGAGGTTCGCTCTGGTTGCCCAGGCTGGAGTGCAATGGGGCGATCTTGGCTCACCACCACCTCTGCCTTCTAGGTTCAAGGGATTCTCCTGCCTCAGCCCCCTGAGTAGCTGGGATTACAGGCATGTACCACCATTCCCAGCTAATTTTGTATTTTTAGTAGAGACAGGGTTTCTCCATGTTGGCCAGGCTGGTCTCGAACTCCTGACCTCAGGTAAGCCACTGTGCCCAGCCCAAGTCTGAATTTTTAAATGCAGATTTACTAACTCAGCATATATATACTAATTAAAGCTAACTCTTAACAAATATTTCTAAGCAGGGATTCTGTTATGCTTGGAATATAATCATTATGGTGGGATTCTTAAAAATATGAGTCTAATTAAACTGGTCTTGATCAAGTATTTTCATCCTGCAAAAAGTAAACTTACCTCATTGCCAAAACAAATATGGAAATAGATAAAAATTTAACGAGCTTTTACTATTTGTGTTGAAAAGTATTTCTAGGATTCAATGACAAATGTGTAAAAATGAAGACTTTATTATTATTGGTGTTGTATGTTTTAACGCAACAGGAACTTGTTCCAGATATATTCCCATAGAAGTGGGAATATATAAGGTTTTGGTATTGTTTTACATTGTTAGGTCATCTGTGGGTGACATGTTTTATATTCAGTGTAAATCTGGCCATTAGATGAATATTTGGAATCAAGAACTTTCTCCCACATTTGTACTATTTTTTTAAGAATGAGAAACAGTTTTATTATAAAAATAAAAATAGTACATAAACCTTGCAAAGACCTATGGAAAAAATAATCAAGCATAGTCACTTCATCTTAGTAGAACTATCTTTTCTGTATTTTTTTTTTTTGAGATGGAGTCTCACTCTGTTGCCCAGGCTGGAGTGCAGTGGCACGATCTTGGCTCACTGCAACCTCCGCCTCCCGGGTTCAAGCGATTCTCCTGCCTCAGCTTCTGAATAGCTGGGATTACAGGAGCCTGCCACCATGGCTGGCTAATTTTTGTATTTTTAGTAGAGACAGGGTTTCAGCATGCTGGCCAGGCTGGTCTCAAACTCCTGACCTCAGGCGATCCACCCGCCTCAGCCTCCCAAAGTGCTGGAATTACAGGCATGAGCCACCGCGCCCAGCCTTTTGCATTCTTTTCTAATCTTCTTCCATATGCATTTAAAACAGATTTTACAATTGCCAAATCCAGATACCAAATGCACTTCAAACATGTCTAAACTCATAAGGAAAATTGATGCCTGCTCCTCCTTTTAAGATTTTAGTGTTTATTATCAATCTTCTTTAGGTTTGATCAAACATCAAAATAATAATAAAAACTGCTCCACAGATAGAATGTTCAGGCTTCTTGATGATATTAGGCATCTGACAATAAAAGGGTTAGGGCTTAATATTATATAGCAGTACCAAGGTCTTCTTGAACTAAGTCACATAAAAATTATTTAGTGTAGATTCTGAACAGACAGGCCTTGCTAAAAAAAAAAAAAAATCTGTAATCCCAGAACTTTGGGAGGCTGAGGCAGGTGGATCACAAGGTCAGGAGTTCAAGACCAGCCTGGCCAAGATGGTGAAACCCCATCTCTACTAAAAATACAAAAATTAGCTGGGCACGGTAATGGGCATCTGTAATCCCAGCTACTCAGGAGGTTGAGCCAGAAGAATCGCTTGAACCCAGGCGGTAGAAGTTGCAGTGAGCCGAGATTGCACCACTGCACTCCAGCCTGGGTGACAGAGTGAGACTCCATCTCAAAAAAAAGTCCTCATTGTATCTGTACTGTAAAACTTATGCTTGCTTGTTTATCTGGGAACACCTACATTAATGTGTGTGAAGAGTTATGTCATGTATATAGTGTGGCCTCATCTCAAATTTTCACGTGCTTAATTTTGAAATGAGAGTCTACTGGATATTTTATTTCTTTTCTGTTAGCAATTAGCAGCAGTAGTAATGAAAGAATTAATATCTATAGAAAATTCTAAAAAAAGAATATAAAAATAATTTATATTTGATGTTATAATACATTATTTAATTTTTATAGTAAATTCACTAATCTGTTTTGTTTAGACCAGTATGAGAGAAAAGCCAGACTTCGAGTTAATACTTTGTAAGGTTATCTGCACTCTCATCTGTGGTTGGCAATATTTGATGCAGTTTATATTAGATTTATGTTGTTGTTATTTAGATAGTTTGGAGCTGAGATGAGGACAGGAGCTGAGATGAGGACAAACTCTTCAGTTTTAATTTTTTGTTTGCTCCCATATATTTATCATTTTTTTCCAGCTCTCATGGGGGAATGTGCTTTCTACATCGGAAGTAAAACCAAAACTGAAGCATGTCATAGCCAAGAAAAATAGACATAATGTTTTTAAAACAGACATAATACTTAGAAGAAAATGTTATGCTTTTGGGGTGCTTATAACATATATTTGTTTATAGTTCTTTAAATTGTCCTAATAAAATTTATATCTCAAGGTTTTTCACTCTGTTCAAGAGACATGCACTGAACTTCTGAAGATAATCGAGAAATACCAGCTAAGACTCAATGGTATGAAATCATAGTTATCTATCTGATAATCCCCATTTAAAATAAATATTAGCATTTTTTAAAATGAAAGATTTAATGTAAAAACAATTTTGTGAATAGCTTCTTATGGCAAAATATGAATATTTACAGTTACCTGTTCTCAAAGGCCCCAGTATTCTCTCTTCTTTCCTCAGTTAATCAAATCCTCTGACCCAGATTTATTTTTTGCTGATATTTTTTTTCTTTGAGACAGGGTCTTTCTCTGTCACTCAGGTTGGAGTGCAGTGGTGCAATCACAGCTCACTACAGTCTCCACCACCTGGGCTCAAGTGATCCTCCCACCTCAGCCTACCAAGTAGCTGGGATTACAGGCGTGTGCCACCATACCTGGATAATTTTTGTATTTTTTTGTAGACACAGGGTCTCACTATGCTGCCCAGACTGGTTTCAAACTCCTGGCCTCAAGTGATCCTCCTGCCTCAACCTCCCAAAGTACTGGGATTACAGGTGTGAGTCACCATGCCTGGGCCTGCGCAGCATCTGAAATGGATTTGTTTCCATCACTTAAACCTCTCTTTCTTGACTCCCACTTGCCCTTGCAGTTAAATTCCATTCCTCTGCTGCTCTTTACAGAAAAATGTGATGTAATTGTCTGTATTCATGATCTCTGTTCCTTTCCTTCCAATTTCTCTTGTACTCACTCCAGTCAAGTTTTCATCCCCATCACTCCACCAAATTTCTCTTGTCAAGGTCATGATTAACCAACTCCTTCTAAATCTGGCTTATCACATTATTTAACACATTTATTATTTCCTATTCCTTGATACACTTTCTTCACTTGGCTTTCCTGGTTTTCCTCCTCCTGGTCACTCTTTCTTGGCATCCTGCCTTTGCTGATTCTCTTCTCTCCTGGACTTGTTCAGGTTAAAACTCAATCTTTGGATCTCTTCTCCTTTTTTAATTACAGTGGGCCTGCTGGACATGGCTACCTCTCTAATCACACCTCCTAAAAGCTTCTCCTCTTTAGCCATATTAATATCTTACATAGTAGGCATATCTGCATAGTGGAATCCCTAACTTCCTTTGGGTATTTGGTCAAATGTCATCTTTTTAAATGAGGCCTTCCCTGAACTGCATATCTAAAATGCAATACTCTCTGCCCTCAGAGGGTACAAAAAATACAATACAATACAATACCCCTTTCCCTCAAAACTCCCTGTCCAGTTAATAATATTCAACATTCTGTATATTTTGTCCATTGTTTTTCTTCCCACCACTAGAGTATGCCCTCCTTAAGGACAGAATTTTTTTTTTTTGAGGTGGAGTCTCACTCTGTCGCCCAGGCTAGAGTGCAGTGGCGTGATCTTGGCTCACTGCAACCTCCGCCTCCCAGGTTCAAGCAATTCTCTGCCTCAGCCTCCCAAGTAGCTGGGATTACAGGCACCTGCCACCATGCCTGGCCAATTTTTGTATTTTTAGTAGAGACGGGGTTTCACCATCTTGGCCAGGTTGGTCTTGAACTCCTATCCTCGTGATCCACCCACCTCAGCCTCCCAAAGTGTTGGGATTACAGGTGTGAGCCACTGCACCTCGCCAGGACAGAATTTTTCTGTTTTATTTCTGTGTCCCCAGTCTAGAAACAATGTCTAGCATGTAGTCAGTACTCGATAAATATTTGATTTCAATGAATCAATAATTTTTCTCATGTAGCTATGTAAATTAATCTCATTGCTTTATAATCAAAGCTTATACATTGTCCCATTAAAGAAATAAATCCAATAAAGCATGATTATTCAAGTATTTTTTTGACTACCTGCCATGTGCTTTTCCCAAGGAAGTAGTTGGAGAAACAACTTTTTGCACAAAAAGAGAGACAATGTAAGTAGTATGTAATTGAGTTCAGAATAATGATACAGACATAACTCTGAATTCCTAGGAATGAAGAATAACTGTGGATTAGAGTAATTGGCAAAGGCAATTCCATAGACAGGAATTGAGGTAAAACTTAAAGGATTTATAGAAGTTGAACATGTAGAGAAGAGACTTGGAGTTTAAAGAGCTTAAAGAATGAGAACAGCCTGCATAGGCAGAAGAGTCTGTCATTGAAACTAATGGGAGGATAAAGGAACAAAGGAAATTTGGGGTCAGATTACTAACGACCTTATGGCCTTTTACTGCTTGGTAAAATATATCACAATCACTGGACCAAGTGAGTCCTGTGACAGAAATGAAAATGTGAAGAAAATCAGCAAGTTTATATACCCTGAAATCACTAGATCTTTTAGCACTCTGGTGGAGCATTTCAGAATAAGGAAGGGAAACACATATAGATTTAATTGTGTATTTTCACTTCAAGATTGTGTATAAATATGTGATTTCTTGAAGACGATTGTATTAATACATGTGTTGGGAGTAACATCAGACAAATGCAGTAGGTTAGTCCAGCACCATAACTTTATGGGACTCTCTTGACTCAGGGGAGAACAGGTCAGGGAGGGGTCTCTGTAGATTTTGGCAGGCAGGTCTCAACATAGAAGCAGCACAGACTCAGCCTCATTGACTGCTCTTTCTGCAATGATAAAGGTAAGCTTCAGTGATCATTTATGTTCAGTTGATACTTGATAATGAAGTATTCCAAGTACTCAAAGTGCTTTCTGAACCACCATACCCAAATGAATATTTTCTAGTAGTTTTAATTGAGGTATATTTTATGAAGTTCTGATTCAAATAATGTGTAAACTGTACATCTCTCAAGTAATCAGCATTAAATTAGCATGACTCCCCAAACCCCATCTGCTCTGGATCAGGTCAGTTGTTCATGGTTTTATTAGAGATGAGACTACAGACTGTGTAGACACCTTCCTCATTACACCATTGTGCTCTCCTTGGGTCACCCTTGTAGGCATGGCAGCGGGGACAGGGGTAGTGGGGAGGCAGCATGAGGAGGCCTGAGTTCTGTTGCTGCCCCACAAGTAGCCAGACACTTCCCTTTCAGTTTTAACTTTGATTTTTCTATCAGTGAAGTGGGATGAAATTAGGCATGACATTTGTTGTTGTTTATTTACTTTAAGCTTATAATTGGAGCACTGTGGGCTTTCCCCCTTATTAGTCTTATTGTGGTTACAGGATCAGCTTACACTAGATCAGTGTTTCTTAAATTGTGGTGAAGGACCTTTTTTTGTTTCATGGTTTGCTTTCAATCTGTTGTAAACTGATACCTTTGTAAAATTCAATAAAAATGAATTTTTAGCTGAGCACTGTGACTCGTGCCTGCCTGTAATTCCAGTGCTTTGGGAAACTAAGGTGGGAAGATGGCTTGAGGCTAGGAGTTTGAGACCAGCGTGGTCAACATAGTGAGACCCTGCCTCTAAAATAATTTTTAAAAAATTAGCCAACCACTGTGGCTCATGCCTGTAGTCTGAGCTACTCAGGAGGCTGAGGCAGGAGGATCACTTGAGCCCAGGAATTCGAGGTTGCAGTGAGCTATGATCAAGCCACTGCACTCCAGGCTGGATGTCAAAGCAAGATCCCATCTTTTAAAAAAATAACTTTTAGAAAAATGAAATAAAATACGTGAAAAATGTATTATAAGCTCACTTTATTAGATTTGACAAATATAAAATGCTCAAAGTCTCTACACAGTTATTCTCAGTTTCCTTACTTCTTCGCTTGTCACAGCTTGGTAACAGAGGATTCTGGACCAATACTGGTCCATGGCCTACACTTTGAATAGCAGTGCACTAGATGACAGTTTTTAGGGTTGCTGGAGCAGAACTGTGGACATCTGTGAGTCTGCGATACCGAGCACAGGAAACTGAAGCCAGGAGGGAGTCAAGAATAAATTAACAAGTTTAAATAGGGAACAAATACTTTGTAAGAGGCAATGATCCTAAAATACATCTCTGCACATTTGAAAATGCATCATTTATGGCTTTATTTTATAGTTTTGAGGGATTTTTGTCACTAAAAATCAGTCCTTCTCAAAGCGAGGTCCATGGATTCACTGTGTCGAAACCATCTGGAGTGCTGATAAGAAGCCAGATTCCCTAGACCTATGGAAAGTAGAGTCTCTGGAAATGGAGCCCAGGAATTGCATTTAAAAAATAAGTCTCTCTTCTTCTTCCCCTAAGTAAATCTTGTATAGAGAGTTATTGCTGTGAGATTTTTAGTTGTGTGTATGTTTTAAACAAATGATGAAAGGAAACAATTAACTACACTGTAATTTTTTTCCTAGTTATATCAGAGGAAGAAAATGAGCTAGGGCTCTTTTTAAAATTTCAAGCAGAACGGGATGCAACTCAAGCTGGCAAAATGATGGATGCCACTGGCAAGGCACTTTGTTCTTCAGCCAAGCAAAGGTTTACCATGGTTGTTCATTATCTTGAATCTGTAGTCAATCTGACAGTTTTGACATGTGTACTTAAATTTGCATATTTGTAAAGGTCACTGTTCATTCTAATAAAGGGTTAAAGAGAAATATATCACAGTTATGTTGTGACACCTAATTCTTAATTACTAATTTTGTATTCAAAATAATTATTTAATGATTGATGTTCTTGGTTGCTTAATTTCTAGAAATAACCTTTAGGCCTGTATTTATATTTCTTTTATTTCCCCTAAAATCAGACAAGTATCAGTTATATTTCTCAACTGGTTTAATGTAACAGTCACAGAATGACTAACATCTTAAAAATGTGTATTTCCAATTTCGCTTTTTGATACTATACTATAAATATAGTGGTACTTTTTAAGTAGAAGAAATTTTTTCTTCTTAATTACATACTTTCCAGTTATTATTTCAGTTTCTAATATAATGATACCTACTGCAAAGAATCTCCTGTAATTACTAAACCTAGCCCAAATCTTTTGCATTTAAGAAGAATAAAACAGTCCTTATCAGACCTATAATGATGGTGTCCAGTTTATATAGCTTTATTCTGAAACATCACATCAGTGCAAAAGTCTATCTTGAAGGAAGTGACGTGGAGGTACTAAGTACAGGGCCCTCCAATGGTCACTAAGCAAAAAGGAGGAATTGGATTTAATCTGTGTTTCTTAAATACTTGTTATCTTGTCCTCATCCTCAGCTGCTAAGAACTCCATACTCATTAGTTCTGCTAGCAAAACCCAGGTTTTCCCTGAACTTGTCAAATGAAAGGCTTTCTGTTAATTGGATTATGCTTTATGAATGCAGGTTCTCTGTTCCCCTCAGAACTGTTTTCTAAATGGCAGATTTACTTGGCAGGTTATTTATACATGGAATAACTTCCAAAGTATTGCAAAAATGACATATTTCCTAAAGTAACAAGGGAGGAGGTGTAGACACTTTTTTTTTTTTTTTGAGATGGAGTTTCGCTCTGTCGCCCAGGCTGGAGTGCAGTGGCGCCATCTCGGCTTGCTGCAACCTCCACCTCCCGGGTTCAAGCGATTCTCCTGCCTCAGCCTCCCGAGTAGCTGGGATTACAGGCACCCACCATCACACCTGGCTAATTTTTTGCATTTTTAGTAGAGACAGGGTTTCGCCGTGTTGGCCAGGCTGGTCTCAAACTCCTGACCTCAGGCGATCTGCCCACCTTGGCCTCCCAAAGTGCTAGGATTACAAGCGTCAGCCACCGCGCCCGGCCAACACATCTTTATTGATAATTCAGAGTTGGCTATATGATCCTTATTTGCTTTCAAAATCTCCTTAGGAACTGAATAATTTTTTACTTGTAGATTCATCTTGTTAGCAAATATGCTTTTTCATTGGTTTAAACCTTTGTTTTGTTTTACTTATGATGTGTTCAACCCTCTGATTTTTACCTCTCTGCCATTAGATTGGCCCTGTGTACTCCTCTGTCTCGTCTGAAGCAAGAAGTAGCAACATTCAGTCAAAGGGCAGTATCTGATACCTTGATGACAATTAATCGGATGGAGCAGGCACGCACAGAATACAGAGGAGCTCTACTGTGGATGAAAGATGTATCCCAAGAGCTGGACCCAGACACCTTAAAGCAAATGGAAAAGTTTAGAAAAGTATGAAAACGTATCCCTTTCCTTTTCTTGGTGTATGAAATATGAAACTGCCACAGAATAATTAAGATAATAAAATTTCAGATGTTTTTTGGTAAATATATGTTTCATTATACATTCTTGGTTGCTTGGAGACTGTAGTTGAAGTACAAAAGTTTGTCACACTTTTATTTTTACTCCTGGAGTGGCATCTTCACACCATCTACCTTTTTTATTAATTTTTTAATCTGTCTCATGATAGATCTAAATTACTTCTTAAATGTTGCTTCCTTGGACTTTTGAGATTCGTTTGCAGGAAGAAAATAGTTTATTACAGAGGGACAAAAGGAATTTAAGTAAAAATTCATGTAAAATGATTGTTAATTATAAGGAAATATGAAGGTTATCAAAATTTTTATTCTGTCACAATACAAAGTTTGGCCACAGACTTCCTAAGTAACTATGTATGAACATATGTTTTTGCTAAATAAACTCCTTATTATAAATTATAGCCCCTAATTATACTATACATAAATAACAAAATTCATTTTATCATTCATTTCATAAATAGAGAACCCATAATATAAATCATAATATTTAATACTGATGGAGCCTGACTCTGGGCCAGCTATTAAGTGGTTTGCCTCATTGATTACACACAACAGCCCTATGAAGTAGGTGAATACATGGCCTCAGGCCACAACTACCTCGTATTCCATCCCTTTTACAATCTTTGACAGTGAGAATACAGTCCAAGGGAGTGATTGAACAACATTGCGAATGCACTAAATGCCACTTAATTGAACACTTTAAAATTGCTAATTGTATGTTATGCAACTTTCACCTCAATTTTTAAAAGAAGAATAATGTATTAGTCTATTTTCATGCTGCTGATAAAGACATACCCAAGACTGGGAAGATAAAGAGATTTAATAGACTTACAGTTCCACGTGGCTGGGGAGGCCTCACAATCATCATAGAAGGCAAGGAGGAACAAGTCATATCTTACATGGATGGTGGCAGGCAAAAAGAGCTTGTGTAGGGAAACTCTCCATTTTAAAACCATCAGATCTCGTGAGACTTATTCACTATCACAAGAACAGCATGGGAAAGACCTGCCCCCATGATTCAGTTATCTCTCACTGGGTCCCTCCCATAACATGTGGGAATTCAAGATGAGATTTGGGCAGGGAAACAGCCAAACCACATCAAATACAATCCAAGTCCCTATCTGGACCCTAAAAACCCTGCATGGCCTGATCCCTGGTCCCTCCACAACCACGTTGTACTTGCTTCCTACACTCCAGGAAGAACGTGCTCTACCTCCTTGCTTCTTGTTGTTCTAACATGATAAGGTCTTCACCCCCTCCCACTCTCAGGACCTTTGTCCTTGCTTGTCCCTAGTTCTGGAATGCTCTCCCCAGGGTCTTAGCATAGCCTGCTCATCATCTTTCTGTCCCAGTTCAAACATCATGCATGATCTCACCAAGGACTTCCATGTCATCCTTCACTCATTTCTGTTTACTTATTTGCTACCTTTGCAACTATATATTTATTTACTTCTTTTTTTTCCTGTGCCTCCCTACCCAAGGATGGTGGGGAAGAACATTGTTTTGTTCACCACAATATCTCAGTGCCTAGAACAATGCCTTGCATATAATAGGTGCCTTATATTTGTTGAATAAATTAATATATTAAAAGGTTGAGTATTCACACTACCTGATGGCATGACTCACCATTTATTCAAGAAATATAATAGGCCTCTACTGGAATTTATAAATATCTGCATGATTCAGAAATATTATTAATGTTTCTCAGTGCTTTAACGAGGTCCCCTTTCCATTTATTCTTCTGCTCTTAGCTAAGTGCTATCCATGAATAGTTTTAGATGTTTCTTTTTATTTGGAATACTTTTTAAAAAACTATTTGCTTTCCATCTATTATCTCATACTTTCTCAGCATAAAGATATCTTCTGGAAAGAATCTCCTACAATTACTAACAGTAGCAAAATCTTCATCATTACTCATGAAATATTAATGATACAGGGAAAAGAAATTAGTCTTTATTATAATTTATTTCTGAAAATATTTATTATGAACCTGTATACTATATTTATGTCTGTAATAACATACTATATTTATAGTATATATCTGTAATAAAAATTAGCATTTTTATTGCAGGTACAGATGCAAGTGAGAAATAGCAAAGCTTCTTTTGACAAGTTAAAGATGGATGTTTGTCAGAAAGTGGATTTACTTGGAGCTAGTCGCTGCAATATGCTATCTCATTCGCTCACTACCTACCAGGTACCCACCTCCATGGTCAGCATATCCTTGCAGTAAAGATGAGTGGTGAGATTTCTTTTTAAAAGTTGTCTAAAGGGTGTAAAAATTTATGTATGATTAGATTCCTTTGACTTTGCTTTATTGAGGTTATGAAAGTCAGAGAGTCAAAAAGTTCTGAAAAAGACCTTAGAGACTGTTTACTTCTGTAGCTCTTCTCTTTGGTGTCAAAGGAGAGAGAGAGACTTAGGGACCATTTGAGGTTGAAGAGGGGAATGTTGAAGAGGCAAAATTTAAGGCCCATTTGCCCTGGTTTAACCAGAGCTGTTCCACTTCTGGGTTTGAAGTTCTACATACAATTTCATCTGAAGCAAAGATTCTGTGCCCCCAAAAGTTTAAAACCTTTTCTGTCATTTTATGGATGAGGAAAGTGACACCTATGAGAATTAAAGTGAACGGCAATGTTGGCTTAGAAACCAAAGTTTTCTATTTCTAAGTTATATGTTCTTTTCATTCTGTCAAGTTGCCATCCCATACCACTTTAACCTCAGAAGTCTCACTTGTGCTTATAGTACCACAAATCACATATAAGTAACACACAATGAATAAGTTAGATATTAATAAGTAGCAGCTATTGATTTTTACATATATTTTTCAATGGAAAAAATTGAATAAACTGTACTTACATAAGAAAAGAGTAATAAACTACAGGAAATGGACATTCACTCCTGCTTTTAGGGAGTCTGCCTATTTCAGTTCAGTACTGTGGGATTCAGAAATGGAGAAAGGATGCACTTGAAAATAACAGTGTGTGATATCTGTTTAGCATCTTGCCTGAAACACAATAGCTATGAGTTCAGTTTTCCTTTATTCTCTCCATTCATCCTCCTCACTTTAATCAGGAACCTTGAAGCAGCAAGAAAAATGTCCAATTACTTGAGTTAGCTTGAGAACACATTTTTTGGCAAATCTTTCTTGAACTCTAGATGAAAGGCCAGATTTAGTGGTAAATGTAATTTTTCTCCAATTAAAAAGTTTTATATATTCCCATCAACATAAAGATTACACATATGTTCCTCCTTTAACAGAGATTGGTATTTTTGTGCTTTTAACATTTCTCTTTTTGATATCTCAGATGTTCTGATCCCTAAGTTTTCATTCTCTTAGCTGCAGTCACTCTCTGGGTGGCTCCAGTGTGCATTCCTGTGCTATTTATACAGTTAACTCCCACACGTGCAGACACAGATGCCGATTCTTTTGCACAAGTACTATTTGCAGTGCTTTATGGTTCCCTAAACTTGGAAAATTGAATTTAGTTCCTGCTTCTTATTTTTTGGCAACTGTTCATCTACTAAACTAGTAAGGAAATATAGCACTTAAAAAATCATGGAGGGGAAGCAGAACTGTAGTGTCACCTTTTCTTTTTTTGCAGAGAACACTGCTTGGATTCTGGAAGAAAACAGCTCGAATGATGTCCCAAATTCATGAAGCCTGTATTGGCTTTCATCCGTATGATTTTGTAGCTCTCAAGGTACATTGTGTTCCATGTTCTCTTGTTTAGATGTATTACTCTTCATTTGGGTGATAACATTGAAACTTTTTTTTTTTTTAACCAAGGTTAATTTAAAATTTACAAAACATTGAGAAACATTTTCCTTCAGCCAAGGGTCAGCACTTTCCTAATTGCAAATGTTGCCAGCAACACTGAAATAACATAGGAATACTGCTGGCAGGCCCAAGATACTAGTAGGACAGGGAAAAAGAGGGAGAAAGTAAAAAGAAAATTTAAATGAAAAAAATTTAAAAGTAAAAAAAAAATTAAATTTAATTTAATTTAAAATTAAAGGAGATAAGAAAAGGCTATGCAAAGGAAGATCTTAAGAGGAACAAGTGATGGAAAGTGGTCATGTGCTCTTAAAAATAACCAGATTACCTACCTGACAGTATTAGAAGTTAGAGAAAAACTTTGTTTTACTTTTACACTGATGTCATGGATATGGTTCATGATAACCAACATTATGCCAGGTTTCAGTACCTTTTAACTTACCATTCATTCTGCCATATTTTCAGTAAAGCTTGAAAGTGTTGCTGGCTGGTTTGTTCAAGCTGGATGTGGTATTTGTGATAGGCTCATATCTTGCATATTTCTGGGGTTTAGGATGGATGTTAAAGTCATGTTCTGACATGGCATCTTCCAGCACCAAAGATACCCTTGAATTAGGTTGTTTTTTGTTTTGTTTTTACTTTTAATATAATAAATGCTTCGCTGTATGGCATACTGTGTATTTAGGCAAATTTTATATCCAATTTCTGCTCAGAATCAAAATTGAAAATCTTTAGCTGTATTTAGAGCATTGTGATACAGACTAGAAACACAGTTTAAGTCTTCTTTAGGCCTATTACTAAGTTGTTAAACTAATCTGTGGCTACCCCACATCACAATATGTGCAGTTTGCACAGGCAGCCAGGAGAAACAAGTGTATGAAGCTCAGTAGCTCAGTTCAGATTACATTAGCATACATGTCCTATATCTTTCACTCTCTAGTTCAGAACTTCCTATTTCATATGGTTCTTTAGAATTTATATTCTCATTTTCTTTGCAGAGAAGAAGAAACAGATTCATTCTATATACTTAACATTGACTTTCTTATCTTTAGCAACTACAAGACACGCCAAGCAAGATTAGTGAAGACAATAAAGATGAACAAATAGGCGGTTTTCTTACTGAACAGCTCAATAAGTAAGCAGGCATAAGTCATCTGTGTCATGTTATAGAAGTCCTGGATACCATCATATGATATATGTGGAAAGAATTGTTTCTTCTCTTACTGAATATTTATTCCTATGTCATTTTTCCAATCAACACTAAACATTTGTATCATAGTCTGTTTTGTGTTGCTATAACAGGATACCTGAGACAGGGTAATTTATCAAGTAAAAAAGTTTAGCTCATGGTTCTGCTGGCTGGGAAGTTCAAGAGCGTGGCCCTGGTTTCTGGTGAGGGCTTTAGTGCTGCTTCATAACATGGCAGAAAAGGTCAAAGGGGAAGCAGACCTGTGTGAAGAGGCAAAATCAAGGGGCATGCTGGCTGTATAACAACCCATTCAGAAGCATTCCTGAGAGAACTAATCCAATCTCATGAGAGTGAGAACTCACTCATTACCATGAAAAAGGCACCAAACCATTCATGAGAGATCTGCCCCAATGACCCAAACACCTCCTACTAGGTCTCCACCTCCCAATACTCCCACGTTGAGGGTGGGGTCAAATTTCAACAAGAGTTTTGATGAGGAGAAATTCAGATCTTAGCAATTTGTTTTGAAACCTTATATATATTTTTCCATTTTTTCCTTAATATCCAGATCCTACACGAATTTTTTCCATTTTTTAACATAGCAGGCAAAGGACATGACAGAAGTATCAAACTGATTGGGGTGATTAAGAGTCTGTCATTTGGGATAGAGCCTTGTATTAAGAGCCACAAGTACCTCTAGTGACTCTTGAAATGGGTAGCTAGAGAGAAGAAAGGGACAGGTACCAGCAGCTGTGAAATAAACTATTAGAAATCTGTTTCCAGAATAACACACATAGGACTGGGACTGGTTACCTGAAAATACGGGCTGTTGCCGTGTACATCCTTCATGCCCCGTTTCCCTTTTATTATATTATTGTCCCTTTGTTTTTCTTTCAAAGCTGCTATTTAATTCTCATTTTAACCAGATTCAATATATTAACGAACTCAGAAATAAGGGCCAAACAGTGATAAACCATATACTGTTGAGTAGAAGGTGATCCTGAGAGAGTGGTTTGTTATAAAGCCCAACGCGCCTTGGAGTTTGCCTCTTGGCACATGTCCACTTCCCCTTTGACCTTCTCTACCATGTTATGATGCAGCACTAAAGCCCTTGCCAGAAGCCAAGGCCATGATCTTGAACTTCCCAACCTGCAGAACTAAATGAACCTCTTTTCTTTATAAATTACTTAGTCTCAGGTATTCTCTTATAGCAACACAAAATGAACTAAGACACAAATGTAGTATAAGACATTTTCCCATCTTCTCTATGAGGAAATCCAAACCAATTTTTTTTGCTAACTTGAATGTATGTTTTAAGATAAACATTGATAAAATGTCTAGTTATAAATTAAATTTGTGAATTTATATATTGACTTTTTTTTTTTTTTTGACAGAGTCTCACTCTTTTTCTCCAGGCTGGAGTGCAGTGGCACAATCTCAGCTCACTGCCACCTCCCCCTCCCAGGTTCAAGTGATTCTCCTGCCTCAGCCTCCTGAGTAGCTGGGATTACAGGCATGCACTACTAAGCCCAGCTAGTTTCTGTATTTTTTAGTAGAGATGGAGTTTCACTATGTTGGCCAGGCTGGTCTCGAACTCCTGACCTCAAGTGATCTGCCCACTTCAGCCTCCCAAAGTGCTGGGATTACAGGTGTGAGCCATCACGCCTGGCCAATATTGACATTTAAAATCATATGTTATATGAACCATATTAATTTAGTAAAATTTTTCCATTCTCACATTTCATAAGAGTTTTATTCAAAATCTTCTCATGTATCTTTAGCATTATGAGAGCTACTTTTCAAGTTAACTAATAGATGGCCAAGCTCTTCACCTTCTCTTCCATCCAAGTTGTTTAAAAAAACATAATACTATTAGGGAAAATTTCATTTCAGGTCATGAATATTTATTTGCTCTGTAGGTTTATTTGTGTAGTATTTACAAGTAAATACTGTATAGATTTTTAAGTATCTTTAAAGATTTATTAAAAACAACTTTCAATACTAGCAACTGTGAGGTCATGCCCCAGGTGTAGTGACTATGTCTGTGTTCAATTTCTTTTTTTTTTTGTTTGAGACGGAGTCTTGCCCTGTCACCCAGGCTAGAGTGCAGTGGCATGATCTCGGCTCACTGCAACCTCCACCTCCCAGGTTCAAGTGATTCTCCTGCCTCAGCCTCCTGGGTAGCTGGGATTACAGGCACATGCCACCATGCCCAGCTAATTTTTGTATTTTTGGTAGAGACAGGGTTTCACCACGTTGGTCAGGCTGGTCTCGAATTCCTGACCTCGTGATCCGCCTGTCTCAGCCTCCGAAAGTGCTGGGATTACAGGCGTGAGCCACCACACCCGGCCCTATTTCTTTGTCTTAACTTTTTGTCTATTATATCAGATAGATGCTATAAATATCCAAAATTAGTATTGATTAAGGATATTTTAGGCTAACGTGTCTTGCAAACATCACTTCATTGTTCAAAATAGGGTACTCCATCTTTTCTGGAGTTCTTCATTCCCTTGATTGAGTTCACAAGTGTTCTTAAAACCTTTCAAGGCTTGAAAATGAAACTTCTTACTCTATGGTTTTGATGGTGAAGGTTCTTGAAGATTGAGTACTGAGCATGATGCCTGGTGCTTTGTAGATACTCAGTAAATGTTTATTGAAGGAATAAGGGGTGAAAGGTCTGTATAGATCTATAAAAGAAGTAGGAAATTCACCAGATATAGATTTTAGGGGATCTAGTGGACAATGATTTTATGTTTCCTGAGTAGAAAATTTTTTTAACCATATAAAACTGTTTGGGGAATATGAATCACAAGTGTATTATAACAAAAAATCTACATTTTTTTTTGTTTTTACTTCAGGCTAGTTTTGTCTGATGAGGAAGCAAGCTTTGAGAGTGAACAAGGTAAGATGGTAAATTTATTACTTTGAAATGGTCACATTTTAAATGTCAAAATAGTTTATCACAGCCTTTTTTTTTTTTTTTTTTTTGAGACAGTCTTGCTCTGTCCCCCAGGCTGGAGTGCAGTTGCGTGATCTTGGCTCACTGCAAGCTCTGCCTCC
Organism: Homo sapiens; assembly: GCF_000001405.40. NCBI lineage: Eukaryota > Metazoa > Chordata > Mammalia > Primates > Hominidae > Homo > Homo sapiens. The sequence goes on along the minus strand of NC_000002.12, from coordinate 202,811,587 downwards.
CAGGTTCATGCCATTCTCCTGCCTCAGCCTCCTGAGTAGCTGGGACTACAGGTGCCTGCCACCATGCCCAGCTAATTTTTTTTTGTATTTTTAGTAGAGACAGGGTTTCACTGTAGTAGCCAGGATGGTCTCAATCTCCTGACCTTGTGATCCGATCCGCCCACCTCGGCCTCTCAAACTGCTGGGAATACAGGTGTGAGCCACCGCGCCCAGCCTCCATCAACTTTTGTTTTGTCTGGGCAAGTCTGTTTCTCCTTCATTTTTTATCAGGCGAAATTCACCCCCGATATTTCACGTAGGTTCTTTTCTATTTTCCCCAAGTGTCGGCTGGTCTGAGAAATAAAGGGACAGAGTACAAAAGAGAGAAATTTTAAAGCTGGGCTTCTGGGGGAAACATCACATGTCAGCAGCTTCCGTGATGCCCCACAAGCCGCAAAACCAGCAAGTTTTTATTAGTGATTTTCAAAAGGGGAGGGAGTGTACAAATAGGGTGTGGGTCACAGAGATCACATACTTCACAAGGTAATAAGATATCACAAGGTAAATGGAGGCAGGGTGAGACCACAGGACAGGGGCGAAGTTAAAATTGCTAATGAAGTTTCGGGCAGGCATTGTCATTGATAACATCTTATCAGAGACACGGTTTGAGAGCAGACAACTGGTCTGACCAAAATTTATTAAGCGGGAATTTCCTCGTCCTAATAAGCCTGGGAGCGCTACAGGAGACCAGGGCTTATTTCATCCCACAGCTATGACCATAAAAGACAGCTGCCCCCAAAGCAGCCATTTTAGAGGCCACCCTCAAGGACACATTCTCTTTCTCAGGGATGTTCCTTGCTGAGAAAAAGAATCCAGCGATATTTCTCCTATTTGCTTTTGAAAGAAGAGAAATATGGCTCTGTTCTGCCTGCCTCACCAGCAGTCAGAGTTTAAGGTTATCTCTCTTGTTCCCTGGACATTGCTGTTATCCTGTTCTTTTTTCAAGGTATCCAGATTTCATATTGTTCAAACACACATGCTCTACAATTTGTGCAGTTAATGCAATCATCACAGGGTCCTGAGGCGACATACATCCTCCTCAGTTTACGAAGATGACGGGACTAAGAGATTAAAGTATAGACAGGCATAGGAAATCACAAGGGTATTGACTGGGGAAGTGATAAGTGTCCATGAAATCTTCACAATTTATGTTCAGAGACTGCAGTAAAGACAGGCATAAGAAATTATAAAAGTATTAATTTGGGGAACTAATAAATGTCCATGAAATCTTCTTCTGCCATGGCTTCAGCCGGTCCCTCTGTTCGGGGTCCCTGACTTCCCACAACAATTTTTGGAGGATATTTTCGCTGGATATACTATTCTTGGGTAAAAGTTTTTTTCCTTCAGCAGTTTAAATGTCATCCCACTTTCTCCTGGCCTATAAGGTTTCCACTGAAAAGTCTACTGCCAGACATTTTGGAGCTTCATTGTATGTGATTTGTTTCTTTTCTTTTGCTGCTTTTAGGATCTTTTCTTTATCGTTGACCTTTGGGAGTTTGATTACTAAATGCCTTGAGGTAGTCTTCTTTGGGTTAAATCTGCTTGGTATTCTATAACCTTCCTGTACTTGGATAGTGGTATCTTTCTCTAGGTTTGGGAAATTCTCTGTTATTACCCCCTTTGAATAAACTTTCTACCCCATCTCTTTCTCTACCTCCTCTTTAAAGCCAATAACTCTTATATTTGCCCTTCTGAGGCTATCTTCTAGATCCTGTAGGCATGCTTCATTGTTTTTTATTCTTTTTTCGTTTTTGTTTTTTGAGACAGAATTTCAATCTGTCACCCAGACTCGAGTGCAATGGCACAATCTTGGCACACTGCAACCTCTGCCTCCTGGGTTCAAATGATTCTCCTGCCTCAGGCGTCTGCCACCACGCCCAGCTAATTTTTTTTTTTTTGAGATGGAGTTTCACTCTTGTTGCCCAGGCTGGAGTGCAGTGGCACCATCTCGGCTCATGGCAACCTCCGCCTCCCAGGTTCAAACGATTCTCCCCTGCCTCAGCCTCCCGAATAACTGGAATTACAGGCATGCACTACCATGCCAGGTTAATTTTGTATTTTTAGTAGAGACAGGGTTTCTCCATGCTGCCCAGGCTAGTCTTGAACTCCTGACCTCAGGTGATCCACCCGCTTGGCCTCTCGAAGTACTGGGATTACAGGCGTGGGGTACTGCACCTGGCCTATTCTCTTTTCTTTTGTCTCCTCTGACTGCATTTTCAGATAACCGGTCTTCAAACTCACTGATTCTTTCTTCTGCTTGATCAATACTCCTGTTGACTCTGATGCGTTCTTCACTATATCAATTGAATTTTTCAACTCTGGAATTTCTGCTTGATTTTTAAAAGTTATTTTAACCTCTTTGTTAAGTTTACCTGATAGGATTCTGAATTCCTTCTCTGTGTTATCTTGAATTTCGCTGAGCTTCCTCAAAACAGCTATTTTGAATTCTCTCTCTGAAAGGTCACATATCTCTGTCACTTCAGGATTGGTCACTAGTACACTATTTAGTTTGTTTGGTGAGGTCATGCTTTCCTGTATGGTCTTGATGCTTGTGGATGTTTGTTAATGTCTGGGCATTGAAGAGTTACGTATTTATTATAGTCTTTGTAGTCTGGGCTTGTTTGTACCTGTCCTTCTTGGGAAAGTTTTCCAAGTATTCAAAGAACATTGAGTTGTTGTCATCTAAATCTTTGGTCATTGTAGCTGTATCTGCATTGGCAGGGGCACCCCAAGCCCAGTAATGCTGTGGCTCTTGCACAATTGTAGAGATACTGCCGTGGTGGTCTTGGGTAAGATCTGGGAGAATTCCCTGTATTACCCAGGCAGAGACTCTTGTTCTTTTCCCTTACTTCCCCCCAAACACATGGAGTTTCTCCAAAGCCAGCAAAATACTGGGTCTCAGCCTGGGCCTCCTGTTACCACTGCCTGGCTACTGCCAATATTCACTCAAGGCCCAAGGGCTCTACCATCAGCAGGAAACAAATCCAGCCTGGCTTGTGTCGTTCTCTTCAGGGTGGCAAGCTACTCCCCAGCCTAGAGCAGATCCCAGAATGCCATCTGGGAGCCAGGGCCTAGAGTCAGGAACCTTAGGAATCTACTTGGTTCTCGATTCTACACCAGCTGAGCTGGCACCCAAGCTGTAAGACAAAATCCTTCCCACTCTTCCCTCTTTTTTCCTCATGCGGAAGGAGTCTCTCCCTGCAGCAGGTACTGCCTGGCTATCGCTGATACTCACCCAAGGCCCAAAGGCTCTTCAGTCAGCTTGTGGTGAATGCTGCCATTTTTAGGACTCTCCCTTCAAGGTAGTGGGCTCCCCTTTAGCCCAGGGCAGGTCCAGAAATGCCATCCAGAAGCCAAGGGCTAGAACTGACTACCCCAGGTGACTTCTTGGTTCTCTACCCCACTGTGGCCAAGCTGGTGCCCAAGCTGCAATAAAAAGTTCCTTTACTCTTTCCTCTCCTTACCTCAGGCAGAGGAAGTCTCTCCCTGTGGGCACCATAGCTTAGAATGCACTGGGTCACACCTGAAGCCGGCACAGCCCTGGGTCTTACCCAAGTCCCATGGTGAGTACTGCCTGGGTGCTGCTGATGTTTATTCAGGGCCCAGGGTCTCTTAGTCATCAGATGATAAATCCTTCCAGGACTGGGTCCTTCCCTTTAGGGCAGTGCATTCCCTTCTGGCCCTGGGTATGTCTAAAAATGTGATCTGGGAGCTAGGGCTTGGAATGAGGGCCTTGGGACTCTACCTTGTCCCCTATCCTACTGTGGCTGAGCTGGTATCCAAGTTGCAAGACAAAGTCCCCTTTACTCTCCTTTCTCCTCTCCTCAAGCAGAAAGGAGTTTCTCCTGGAGCTGTAAGCTGCACTGCCTGGGATTGGAGGAGGGGTGATGTAAGCACTTCCTTGGCTGGCTGGCTGGCTGGTATCTCACTAGGTCACATGTACCCTAACTCCACTGGCTCCAAGCCCAGCACAACACCAGGGCTTGCCCAGGAATTGCAGTACTTGTGGCCTAGACTGCCTTTCAAGTTTATTTGGAACCCCAGAGTGCTTTAGCTTGCCATGGTGGGGCTTGCTGGAACTCAGATTCTGACCAGTGGGATGGGTGGTTCCCCTCTGGCTGGGGCTGGTCTAACTGCCCCCTCTGTGAGTACTGGCTGAATTCTGCCCCATGTTGCTTTCAGCTGTGGCAGGCAGCACTGAGTTCTAATGCAAAGTCCCACAATCACTGCACTCTCCCTCCCACAAGTACAGATTCTCTCTCCACACCATGTGGCCACTGCCAAGAGATGGTGGAATGGTGGTGTTGGCAATTCAAGACTGTCTTTCCTATCTTCTTCAGTGCCTCTTTCAGTGATACGTAGTTAAAACCAGGTACTGTGATCTCTCACCCGATGTTTGGTTGTTATGAAGGTTCTTTCTTGTATGGATAATTGTTCAATTTGTTGTTCCTGTGGGGTACAGGGGGGAAATGATGGCTGGAGAGTTCTATTAAGCCAGCTTGCCCTGCCTCCTCTCCCCAAAGATAGGTGCTTTTAAACGCAAAAGTCCAGTTTATAGGGTTGCATGATTAAGTTTTGAGTTTTCCCTCATACTGAAATTTGTGTTATCTTTAAAAAATAAATACATGTTATATATACAGTCGACATATATTTGAACCACTGTGGTAAGGAAGAGTACAGGCTTTGAAAACAGAAAAATCTGAGTTTGGATCCTGGCTTTTTAAAACATCATTTATGGCTCTCTCAGTTGTCTCATCTGAAATAGGAGTTATTTATGCCTATCTTACCAGGGACATTAGGGATAGAGGTAATATTGAGAAACTCCATAGCACATAGTAGGTGACCAATAAATAAAAGAAAAAATATTTTCTTTTTTTTACCTTTTCTTCTTTTTTTTTTTTTGAGACAGAGTCTCACTCCTGTCAGCCACGTCGGAGTGCAGTGGTGCAATCATGGCTCACTGCAGCCTTGACTTCCCAGGTTCAGGTGATCCTCCCACCTCAGCCTCCCGAGTAGCTGGGACTATAGGTGTGTGCTACCTCACCCAGCTATTTTTTGTATTTTTTTTGGAGACTGGGTTTCGCCATATTGCCCAGGCTGATCTCAAACTCCTGGGCTCAAAGCAATCCGCCTTCGGAAGGATTTGATAAATTCTTCCAGGACTGGGTCCTTCCCTTTAAGGGCAGCGCATTCCCTTCTGGCCCTGGGTATGTCTAAAAATGTGATCTGGGAGCTAGGGCTTGGAATGAGGGCCTTGGGACTCTACCTTGTCCCCTATCCTACTGTGGCTGAGCTGGTATCCAAGTTGCAAGACAAAGTCCCCTTTACTCTCCTTTCTCCCCTCCTCAAGCGGAAAGGAGTTTCCCCTGGAGCTGTAAGCTGCACTGCCTGGGATTGGAGGAGGGGTGATGTAAGCACTTCCTTGGCTGGCTGGCTGGCTGGAGCTTTCGGCTCAGCCTCCCGAAGTGCTGGGATTACAGGCGTGAGCCACAGTGCCTGGCCGAGGTATTTTCAAGTACACACATAAATAGATCATACGGATAAAAGAAACAATGTAAGAGACCGTTGTAATCATGAACTCGTATACCTAACCTAGCTTCAAAATGTGTTCAAAAGGTTAACTAATTACATTTGCGTATGATCCTATACCCCACAAATACAGAACTTTTTTTTAAGTCACAAAGGAAATATAACGAACATTGCCGTAGTCTCAACATCTATTCATGCTATTATTTTATCTTTTAAATTTTGCCATGTCAGTAGTTATCTCCCCTTTTAAATTTCAGATATTCATTTGTTCCTTCTCCCTTTTTTCTTGATTAATCTTGCCAATGGTTTATTATTATTATTCTTTTAGCAAACCAACTTTTGGCTTTGTTAATCCTCTCTATTGAATATTTTTGGTTTTATAAATTTTAGTTCCTATATTTATTATTTTCTTCTCTTTACTTTGATGTTTTTCTTTCTGGTTTGTTGTTGTTGTTGTTGTCTTGCTTTGTTGCCAAGGTTGGTCTTGAACTCCTGGCCTCAAGTGATCTCCTGCCTCAGCCTGCTCAAGTGCTGGGATTACAGATGTGAGCCACCATGCCCAGCCATCTTTCTTTCTTTCTTTCTTTAAGGCTATATTCCCTCAAAATTTTAATTTTCCTATATCTTACAAGTTTTCTTTTAAAACAGCTTTATCAAGATATACTTTATGTATTATGAAACTCACTCATTTCAAGTGTATAAGTCAGTGATTTTTAATTTATTACTGAGTGGCACTACCATTTCCATTAATCAATTTTAGAACATTTTCATCCCCTCAGTAAGCTCTCTTATGCCCATTTGCAATAATCCCTGTTCCCACCCCTAGCTAACCACTACTGTACTTTTTGTCTGTATGAATTTGTATTTTCTGGACATTTGTAAGTAGAATCATCTAATATGTGGTCTTGTCATGTCTAGCTTCTTTCACTTCATTTAATGCTTTTGAGGTTCATCCATGATGGGGCTTGTATCAGGATTTCCTTCCTTTTTATTAATGAATCCATTGTATGAAGGTCCATACATTTTGATATATAGTATTTTCATTATCATTCAATTTCAGTTATTTAAAAATTTTCATTCCATCTTCCATGACTCATGACCATGAGTGATTTGGAAGTGTGTTTCTGAAATTGCCAAATTATGGAAATAGAAAAATTCATCTTTTTGTTATTGATTTTAACCAAGTTGCATCACGGTCAGAGAATGTGTTCTTATGACACTAATTATTTGAATTATTGGAACTTTTTCTTTAGGGAATAACAAAGTAGCCAAGTTTTGTAAATGTTTCATGTTGCTTGAGAAGAATGTATACTCAAACTGTTGAATGCAGGAGCCGGTTATATCTGTTAAATCAAGCTTGTTATTTGTGTTGCTCTACGTCTTCTATATCTTTACTAATTTTTGTTTACGTGTTGAGAAATGTGTTTTAAAATCTTCCACTGTTAAATTGGATTTTCAACTTTGTCCTGTAGTCTTTTACTTGATGTATTTTGAGGATCTGGGGGTAGGGGGTGTTAGGAATGTTTGTTTCTTGGTGCCACAAAGAAACAGCATTTGAACATAAATTTAATTTTCTTAGTAAGACAATTTTTACTTTTTGTAGAAAGGGTGCTCATCGCAGATGGAACAATGGTGAGAGCACACCTGAACAAAGGGAGGAAGTAATTTTTATCCCTTACACAGCTTGTCCCTGCTACTGTGTCCTGTCTCCATTGGCTGGAGCCAGACCTCACAATCTAAACTGAACCCGATTGGCTAACGGTTTAAAATTTTTCTAAATAGGTAAAGGCAAGGGAGAATATAGGAAAAGAGGAAGTTGCTTATGCCAAATAGGGGAGGGGTCTTAGGCTGTGAGCTGGAATGTGCCTGTAAGCATGTCCAGCACAAATATCTTGGGTGAGGTGCAAGGATACAGAATGTACTACGTGCCTGTGAGCATGTCTAACAGTTACATTAGGGCTTAACAAAGAGTTATTAGCACAAAGCAAGGAGGCTTGAAGGAAGTTAGTCTTTAAAAGAAACTATTATTTTTAACACTTATGATTTATTTTTTTAATGAGAAGGAAAATTTGAAGAAGAAACTTTTTACTTTCTACAGGGGTATATACAAGTTTAGAATTTTTATATCTTTTTGGTGAATTAATTTTTTATTGTTATATAGTGACCCTTTCTGGCTTTAATAATACTTTTTGGGCCAGGCGTGGTGGCACATGCCTGTAATCCCGGCACTTTGGGAGGCTCAGGCAGGCGGATGGCCTGAGCCCAGGAGTTCGAGACCAGCCTGGGCAACATGGTGAAACCCCGTCTCTACAAAAAATTAGGCAGGTGTGGTGGCGTGCACCTGTAGTCCCAGCTACTCCAGAAACTGAGGAGGAACGATCAGTTGAGTGTGGGTAGGTAGAGGCTGCAGTGAGCCAAGATTGCTCCACTGCACTCCAGCATGGTCGACAGAGTGACAACCTGTCTCAATAATAATAATGATTTTTGGCTTAAAGTCTTCTTTATATTAGTAGAGCATAACTAGCTTTCTTTTATTAAATAATGTTTTCTTAGTAACCCTTTTCCATCCTTTTCCTTTCAATCTTCCCATGTTCTCTTTTTTTTTTTTTTTTTTTTTTTGAGATCGAGTCTTGCTCTGTCGCCCAGGCTGGAGTGCAGTGGTGCAAACTCAGCTCACTACGACCTCTGCCTCCTGGGTTCAAGAGATTCTCCTGCTTCGGCCTCCTGAGTAGCTGGGATTACAGGCACCCACCACCACACCCAGCTAATTTTTTAGTAGTGATGGGGTCTGGCCATGTTGGCCAGGCTGGTCTCGAACTCCTGACCTCAGGTGATCTGCCTGCTTTGGACTCCCAGAGTGCTGGGACTACAGGTGTGAGCCACCATGCCTAGCCCTCACCATGTCCTTATAACTGAGATACATCTCATAAACAAGGTTTAGTTGGATTTTTTTTTTAAAGCCCAGTATGTCAACTTCTCATTCTTTTAACTGGCGAGTTTAGCCCATTTGTTTATTGTCACTATATTTGGACCTGTATTTTCTGTTTTCCATTTGTTTTGTCCTTCCAATCCCATTATTTTGTCTCCTGTTTTGGTTCATTTTGAACTATTTGAGGTTTTTTTTCATTTGTTTTAAAAGTTTTCTTCATCCTCCCCAACCCCTGCCATTTACTGATTTGAAAGTTATACATTTTATTTCCATTTCTGATTTTTCTACTTTTCTACAAATTAGAACATCATTCTTGTTTTATTAAAAAAATTGAGATTTACCAATATTTTTCCTGTCTTACTATTTCTTTCTATATTTCAGATCTTCATTGTGAGTTCATTTTCCTTTCTCCTTGACTACCTCCTTTAGTTTAGATACTTTTTTTTTCTTTTTTTGAGACAGAGTCTTGCTCTAATTCAATTTCTGTATCTGGCCGTTTTTAGGATATGCTCTTTGTTTTTGGTATTCTGCTCTTTCAGTACAGTGTGTCTAAATGTGCAATTTTTATTTTTTAATTTTTGCTGGTATAAATTGTATTTCTTTTATTTGTGCCTTTTACTAGTTCTGGAAACTGCTCAACCATTATTTTTTTTAGTGTGATAAAATATGCATGACTCAACTATTATCTTTAAAAATAGTCTCTCTCCTCCATTTTCTCTATTTTCTGCTTCCAGAACTCTAATAAGCTTATGGTGAACCTTTTCATTAATTCCTCATATATTTTAACTTCTCTGTCATGTTTTCATCCCCCTTTCCCTCTACAGTACATTCTAGGTAAGTTCTTCAGATCTGTTTCTCACTAATTGTCTCCTCTTGCATCTAATCTACTGTTTAATGTATACATCGAGGATTCTTTCCCCAACAACTATACTTTTTATTTATAAAAGTTCTATTTGTTGTTTTATTAATTTGCCTAATTTTTATAGTCCCTTGTTCTTTCTCACTTTTTGACTCACATCCATATCCAAAAATACAAATATCTGAAGTCCTTGGGGGGTCTAAATCTATTATTTGTTGGTTTACCCCAGCATTCTTGTGGTAGCTTGTTTCTTTAGTGATTTGTGAATACCAGCCAATATTTGTTTGCTCTTAATCTGTGGGACTCCTAGAGGCCTAGATAATTTTTTGCAAAAGAAAATTCATACTGCTTCTTCCCAGAGTCAAGGAATACTCACAGCCTGGTGACCACTTTAACCCTCTTCCAGAGCCTATTTTAATGTAGAATTGTGGGCTCGGCTCAGTTTCCTTGCGTTTGCCAAGGGCCTTGTCTGGCCGTGTCAGCACAGGCATTGCCCACAGCACACCTGCCTTTCTTCTTCGCTTGCTGCTTCTCTTTCCTAGCTCTGGTTTCAGCTTACATTTTTGTTGTTGTTTACTTCTAACAAGTCCAGCAATGCATTAAACCTATATTTTATGTAGAGAAGCCAGGAGAACAGAGAAAAAAGTGTATTTTATAGATTTAGCAAGGATGGGACAAATTTTCTGAAGAATGTAAACATCCCAGACTTTGAGAAATTTTACTTTAAGAACTCTACTGAGGAAGTAATTAGAAATGCCCTCAAACATTTATGCTCTGAGGTATTCACTCAAATGGTGTTTCATATAATGGAATAAAAAACTAAGCCTTTGAGCTAGACCTTTCTCACTCATCTGCCTATCTTAATCCCAATTTCATGCATCTGTAGCATTAAAATAAAATGAAACCAAACTACATGAATCCATACCAAAAGCACTGTAAGGTAAAGCAGATCATTACTGAAAATGTCTGGGGAAGAGAGAGGACTGAGGTTACCCTTCATCTTATCCAGCAGCATTTCCTTAAAGATCCTTTAACACATCTCTCCATTCCCCAAACTCTATTTCTATAGCCTGAAACCTTCCTTGCTGTGACTCTGCCTCTGCATCACCAATACCTGTTCCCTTCCCCACAACCAGGATTATTCTTCTCACTTATTTCTCCAGCCACCTCTGAAATCTTTTCCATTTCTAGATTTTCTCCTCTATTTTTTTTCCTATATTCAACTAAAATCTTTACTGATAAAGTCCATTTGAAAATTTTTAAATCTTCTGTACATTTCTAACATTTTTATATTATGTATCTGAACTTAAAATCTAATTCATCCTTTAGCTTCCTTATCTTAAGGTTAAATCAGCCTGATTTACTTAAATCTTCCTTTTTAAATGTGTTTTCCTTTTAATTACTTTGGTTGTTTTTACCTTTTTTTACTTTTCCCATATTCTTTTATAGTATCCCAAACTGAGCATAGAATTTTAATAATAGTGTAATAGAGCTATTACTTTGTCCTTAGATGTATTACATCCTTTAAGCTCTCTATACAGCAACACTTTCCACCCTTGTATGTAGGAGAAATTTACATTTCATTTTTTAAAATGGCCCTCATAATAGTTGAAGATGTTAGAAAGTATAAAAATCATATACTTTTTTTGTCTCTATGTGTGTCTATACTGAGTAAACCAATGACATAGAGATGGAATCCAATGTATACAGACTGGAGTATTAGAAAACTGACTCTCAAAAACTGGCTCCCATTGTTGCAATAGGGCACAATTATTTTTGTCTTGATATATAGGCTCAAAACTTGGAAGTAATTTTTTAGTAGAGTTTTGCCTGTGGAGGTTTTGGTTTGTATATTTGACTTTTTAAATGTTTAAAACATTTAAAAACACACAAGACAGCGCTGTTTTGATCACAAAAGAGTATGCTATCTTTTGCCATATGTATGATCTTTCTTTTCCTGTGAGATCATTACTAGTCAAGCTCTAGTTTAAGTGAAAAATGTGGAGATGCTGCTTATTGCTATGGGCAGTTTTTAAAAGAATAAAGCAGCAGGCCAGGCGCGGTGGCTCACACTTGTAATCCCAGCACTTTGGGAGGCCAAGGCGGGCAGATCACCAAGTCAGGAGATGGAGACCATCCTGGCCAACATGGTGAAATCCCATCTCTACTAAAAATACAAAAAAAAACTTAGCTGACTGTGGCAGTGCGTACCTGTAATCCCTGCTACTCTGGAGGCTGAGGCAGGAGAATCGCTTAAACCTGGGAGGCGGAGAATGCAGTGAGCCGAGATCGTGCCACTGCACTCCAGCCTGGCAACAGAGTGACACTCCATCTAAAAAAAAAAAAAAAAAAAGTATAAAGCAGCCTTTGAATTAAAAGTAGACCATATCCTTAATAGCCCCATGTAGAACAATGAACCTGGACCCCTATCTCTCACCATATACAAAATCAACTCAAAATGGATCAAGGACTTAAATATGAGAGGCAAAGCTATTAAAATATGAGGGAAAAGCCTAAGGAAAATGCTCCTGGATGTTTTTCTAGGCAAAAAATTTACAACTAAGACCTCAAAAGCACAGAGAACAAAACCAAAAATAGATAAAAGGGACTTAATTAAACTAAAAAGCTTCTGCACAGCAAAATAAATTATCAACAGTGTAGCTACAATCTCTTCAATGGGATAAAATATTTGCAAACTGTTCTTCCAGCACGGGACTAATATCCAGAATATACGAGGAACTCAAATAATTCAACAAGAAAAATAAACATTAAAAAGTGGGCAAAGGACATGAATAGTAGACATTTCTCAAAAGAAGACATACCAATGGTCAATAGGTATATGAAACAGTGCTAAACATCACTAATCATCAGGGAAATGCAAATCAAATCCACAGTGAGATATCAGCTTACCCTAGTCAGAAAGGCTATTATTAAAAAGACAAACAATAACAGATGCTGGTGAGGATGCAGAGAAAAGAGGACTGTTATACACTGTTGGTGGGAATGTAAACTAGTATAGCCACTATGAAAAACAGTATAGAGATTGCTCATAAAATTAAAAATATAATTATTTGATCCAGTAATCCACTAGTGGTTATCTATCCAAAGAAAAATAAATTAATATATCAAAATGATACCTGCACTTGCACGATTATTGCATTAGTATTCATAATAGCAAGGATATAGAATCAACCCTAAGTGTCCATCAATGGATGAATGGATAAAGAAAAAGTAGTATATATACACAATGGAATACCATTCAGCCATAAAAAGAATGAAATCCTATTATTTGCAGCAACATGGATAGAACTGGAGGTCATTATCTTAAGTGAAATAAGCCAGGCACAAAAAGACAAATATCATACATTCTCACTTATATGTGGGAGCTAAAAATTTTGATCACATTCAGGTAGAGAGTAGAAAAATAGATAAAAGACTGGAAAGGGTGAGTGGTGGCGGCAGTGAGGAGGATTAAGAGGTAAGTTACAGGATACAAACAAACAGTGAAATAGAAGGAATGTATCAAGTTTGATAGCAGAGTACGGTTATTATACTTAACAAAAATATATTGTACTCAGATGACAAACACACTAAATACCCTGACTTGACCACTACTCATTATATACACATAGCGAAATTTCACATGTGCCCCACAAATATGTACAAATTATTAACAGTAAACCATATCCTTGTCCAGGTATGGTGGCTCACACCTGTTATCCTGGCACTTTGGGAGGCCAAGGTGGGAGGATTGCTTGAGCCCAGAAGTTCAAAACTTGCCTGGGTAACATAGTGAGACCCTGTTTCTACAAAAAATTTAAAAAAATTATTCAGGTATGGTGACACACACCTATAGTCCCAGCTACTTGGGATGAGTCCCAGCTACTGAGGTGGGAAGATCTCTTGAGCCTGGGAGTTGGAGGCTGTAGTGAGCTCTGATCACACCATTGCACTCCATCCTGGGTAACAGAGCATGACCCTTTCTCAAAAAAAAAGTAAAGCATATCCTTAATCACAATAGCCAAGATATGGAATCATTGTAAGTGTTCATCAACAGATGAACAGATAAATAAAATTATGGTATGTGTACACAATGGAATACTATTCAGCCTTCAAAAAGAAGGAAATCCTGTCATTTGTGACTAAATGAATGAACCCAGAGGACATTATGCAAAGTGAAATAAGCCACAGAAAGACAAATACCACATGATCTCACTTACATGTGGAATCTAAAAAGTTGAACTCATAGAAGTAGAGAGTAGAGTGGTAGGTAGTTGTGGGGAGGGAACTGGGGGGATGGCCAAAGGATACAAAATTTCAACTAGACCGGGAGGAGTAAGTTCAAAAGATCTATTGTAAAACGTGGTGACTGTATTTAATAACAATATATTCTTGAAAATTGTTAAGAGAGGCTGGGCATGGTGGATCATACCTGTAATCCCAGCAGTTTGGGAGGCCGAGGCAGGAGGATCACTTGAGGTCAGGAGTTCAAGATCAGCCTGGCCAACATGGCAAAACCCCATCTCTACTGAAAATATAAAAATTAGCCAGGTGTGGTGGCGCATGCCTGTAATCCCAGCTACTTGGGAGGCTGAGGCAGGAGAATCACTTGAACCCCAGAAGTGGAGATTCCAGTGAGCTGAGATTGTGCCACTGCACTCCAGCCTGGGCGACAGAGCAAGACTCTGTCTCAAAAACAACAACGACAACCAATTGTTAAGAGAGCAGTGTTCAATACAAATGTTAATTAGCTAAATTTAGCTATTTCGCAATGTATTACATATATCAAAACAACATGTTGTATGTGACAGATTATATACTTTTGTCAATTAAACAATAATAAAATTGTAGGCCATATTCATTCATTCCATGTAAAATGAACATCCACTGTGTCAGAGTGTCAAGGCATGGAGATCAGGCAGAACAAGTATAAAATGACCTAGAATGAGAACAGCTCCACCAAGGAAGGAACAGGCTTTGGAATGTGAAAACTTTTACATTTCAAGGGGACAGAGACTTAATAGAGTACCTGAATACCTCTGGTATTATGTTTCATTTATATACATATACACACACACACACACACACACACACACACAAATGTGATTTTTATATATAAGATTATTTAAATTTTTATGTTTCCCTTTTGTATGTTTTCGATTCTGATTTGGTCAATTGAACACTTGACCTAATGATAGACTATTACAGTAAATAAGCTTGCTGAATTTCTTCTTGTTCAACTTCTCTTTTATGTGCTTTTGATTTAGCAAACAAAGATCACAATGAAAAACATTCTCAAATGAGAGAATTTGGAGCACCTCAGTTTTCTAACTCTGAAAATGGTAAGAATCATTTCACTCTACATATGAATGATTCTTTAAAATTCTTCAATTTTTATTTAACATTTATTTCCTTAACATTAGAAACTGTCTGGGTCTCTACATAAGAATGCAACTATGTGCCTCTACTTTGTAGCACATCACAATGGAAATTAAATAATTATTTGTTTTATATGTTTGGGTCCTATCAGAACGTATCCGTATAACCAGGACAGCTAGGGCTGTGTCTGCCTTTCTGTCTCATGTATCTCAACCACCAGCAGTACAAGCCTCAGGAAATATTTGTTGAATGAATGAATACAATTGTTTGTATATCTAGTGTCATTAGATACTAGCAAAATAGTAAATGTCATTCAACATTAAATAAATTAAAATCACTATTTAAGAAACAAAAGTATGCCCCCAACGTTCTGGTTTCCTTATCTGTAAAATGAGGATCAAGACTAAATCAACTTTAAGGTACTTCCTAAGCATTAAATAACTACCTTGAATATCTTTCTCAAGCAATTAGGTTGTAAACATTTTCTCCTAGTTTGTCATTTGTCTTGTGACTTTGTTTCTTTAAATTTCTTTAAGTTAAAAAAATTTTTTTAAAGCTTTTAAATACAGTCCAATTGGTTAATCTTTTCTTTTATTGGATCTGGACTTTAGTCATAGTCAGGAAGCTTTTCCTAAACCCAGATTATAGAAGAATTCTCTTATGCTTTCTTCTGGTATTTATGTAGTATTATTTTTTACATTTAGGTCTTGAATTCATTTGAAGTTAATTTATGTGTAGAGTGTTAGCAATGGATCAAACGTTACCTTTTTTTTTTCCCCCAAAGGCTATCCTTTATATACTTTTTTTTTTTTTTAACAGTCTCGCTCTGTCATCCAGGCTGAAGAGCAGTGGCACGATTTTGGCTCACTGCAACTTTTGCCTCCTGGGTTCAAGCAATTCTTGTGCCTAAGCCTCCCAAATAGCCGGGATTACAGGCGTGCGCCACCATGCCCAGCTAATTTTTTGTATTTTTAGTAGAGATGGGGTTTCATCATGTGGCCAGGCTGGCCTCGAATTCCTGGCCTCAAGTGATCTGCCCACCTCAGCCTCCCAAAGTGCCAGGATTACAGACGTGAGCCACCGCGCCCAGCCCTTTATATAATTTTTTAAAATGCCATCTTTGTCCTAGTATTGAGATAACATCTTGTCATATACTATATTTCTTTTTCTACTTGGGTGTATTTCTAGACTTTGTTTATATTTCAAATGGTGTGTGCATGCACCAGTGCCACATAGTTGTTTTTTTTCTTTTTTTTTGAGATGGAGTTTCGCCCTCATTGCCCAGGCTGGAGTGCAATGGTGCAATCTTGGCTCACTGCAACCTCTGCCTCCCAGGTTCAAGCGATTCTCCTGCCTCAGCCTCCCAAGTAGCTGGGATTACAGGCATCCGCCACCATGCCTGGCTAATTTTGTATTTTTAGTAGAAGCAAAGTTTCTCGATGTTGTTCAGGCTGGTCTTGAATTCCTGACCTCAGGTGATCTGCCTGCCTCTGGATTATAGGCGTGTGCCACCACTCCCTGCCCACATAGTTTTAATTATAGAAACTTTCTTGTAGTTTTAGGGCCGGGCGCGGTGGCTCACGCCTGTAATCCCAGCACTTTGGGAGGCCAAGGTGGGCAGATCACCTGAGGTCGGGAGTTCGAGATCAGCCTGGCTAACATGGTGAAACCCTGTCTCTACTAAATATACAAAATTAACTGGGCATGGTGGCGCATGCCTGTAGTCCCAGCTACTCGGGAGGCTGAGGCAGGAGAATCAAAAAAAAAAAAAAAAAAAAAGAAAAGGAAACTTTCTTGTAGTTTTAGTATCTGGTAAGGCTAGAATCCCCCCTCCTTTTTTTTTTATTATTTTCTTAGCTATTTTTGCATGTTTACTTTTTCAATTTGAATATAAAATTGTGGGGCTTTATTAAAAAGCTCGATACTTTATTGTAATCACATTAAATGTGAAAACTGACAGGTTGATCATGTTGAGACATCCTCATGAAAAACAAGGGCCATCCTTCCATTTGTTAAAGTTTACTTGTATATCTTTCAGACTTTTTTTTTCATACAGGTTTTGAACACTTCCCGTTGTTTATTTCTATGTATTTTATCTTTCTGGTTGCTATTGTAAATGAGGTTTTCTTTTCCATTATATATTTTCATTGGTCATTTTGTATATATGAATGCTATTCACTTTCGCATGTTAGTTTTATATCCTGGTATATAGCTGAATTCTTTTATTATTTGAGTTATGTCATCTGAAAATAGAGATAATCTTGTTTTTTTCTTCTTACCAACTCATAGATTTCTCTTGTTTAATTACATTGGCTACTACCTTCAGAACAATGTTAACTAGTAGTGAACGTTTCCTGACTTCAGTGGAAATGCCTATAATATTTCTGAACTAAGATGCTGGCTTTGGACACAGATAATTTCATGATGTTAAGGAAGCATCCATCCATACTTACTTTCTTAAGAATTTTTATTAGGAATGGTTGTTGATTTTTTTTTTTTTTTTTTTTGAGATGGAGTCTCACTGTGTCGCGCAGGCAGGAGTGCAGTGGTGAGATCTTGGCTCACTGCAACCTCTGCCTCCTGGGTTCAAGCGATTCTCCTGCTTCAGCCTCCCAAGTAGCTGGGATTACAGGTGCATACCACCACACCTGGCTAATAGTTGTTGAATTTTGTTGGCAGCTTTTTCAGTATCTATGTCAGCAATTATTTGCTTTTTCTTCTTAAATATATTAATATGATGAACTATAATAATAGGTTTCCTGATACTATATCATGTTTGCATTCCAGTTGTAAGTCCAGCTTTGTCATTTTATACTACTCTGCTTGCTAATATTTTACTACTCTTTTTGCATTCTTTTTTTTTTTTTTGAGCTGGAGTTTAACTCGTTGCCCCGGCTGGAGCACAATGGCACATTCTTGGCTCACTGCAACTTCTGCCTCCCAGGTTCAAGCAATTCTCCTGCCTCAGCCTCCCAAGTAGCTGGGATTACAGGTGCACGCCACCATGCCTGGCTAATTTTGTATTTTTAGTAGAGATGGGGTTTCACCATGTTGGTCAGGCTGGTCTCAAACTCCTGACCTCAGGTGCTCCACCAGCCTCGGCCTCCCAAAGTGCTGGGATTACAGGCATGAGCCACCACACCTGGCTCTTTTTGCATTCTTCCTTTTTTTTTTTAGATGGAGTCTCTCTCTGTTACCCAGGCTGGAGTGCAGTGGTGTGATCTCTGCTCACTGGAACCTCCACCTCCCAGGTTCAAGCAGTTCTCCCTGGCTCAGCCTCCTGAGTAGCTGGGATTACATGCACCTGCCACCACACCTGGCTAATTTTTTTTTTTTTTTTTTTTTTTTTTTTTTTTTTAGTAGAGACGGGATATTGCCATGTTGGCCATGCTGGTCTTGAACTCCTGACCTCAGATGATCCGCCCGCCTCAGCTTCCCAAAGTGCTGGGATTTGCTAAGTGTGAGCCACTGTGCCCGGCCTCTTATTCATTTCTTAACCTATGAAAACATCTAGGTCTAATGCTTTCTTGTACATGTGTGTTTTTTGTCTCTCTCTATAGAAATCAGTCTGTTTAAGCTTTTAATCTGTACTGGGATTGATTTTAGTAAATTACATTTTTCTAAGAAGTTATTCATTTTGTGTAGACTTTTAAATTTATTTGCAATAGAGTTGTACAAAATTTCTTTTTATTTTTAACAGCTCTATTTAGGTATAATTTAAATACCATAAATTTCACCCATTCTAACAGTTCCTAATTTTTAGAAAATTTAGATTATGCAACCATTACCACAGTTGGATATTAGAATGTTTCCATTACCCCCCAAATTCTCTCATGCTTGTTTTAAATTAATCTCTGATTCACTCCAAGCCGTAGGTAATTAGTAATCTGTTTTTGTCTCTATAAATTTGCCTTTTCTGGACATTCCATATAAATGAAGCCATACAAAAGGTAGTCCTTTATTTCTGGCATCTTCCACTTAATGGTTTTTGGAGTCATCCATGTTGTTGTATATATCAGTAGTTTATTATTATTTTTTTTTAATTTTTTGAGGCCGAGTCTCACTCTGTCGCCCAGGCTGGAGTGCAGTGGCGCGATCTTGGCCCACTGCAACCTGCCTTCTGGGTTCAAGTGATTCTCCTGCCTCAGCCTCCCCAGTAGCTGGGACTACAGGCGTGTGTCACCATGCCCGGCTAATTTGTTCTATATTTTTAGTAGAGATGGGGTTTCACTGTGTTAGCCAGGATGGTCTCGATCTCCTGACCTTGTGATCTGCCCGCCTCAGCCTCACAAAGTGCTGGAATTACAGGTGTGAGCCACTGCACCCGGCCAGTTTATTACTTTTTATTAAGCAATAGTATTCCATTGTATGGATATACCATCTTATGTTTACTTATTTACCAGTTGATGGACATTTGGGTTGTTTATAATTTTTGGCTATTATACTACTACTACTACTGAACATTCATGTACTTCTCTTTGTGCAGGCATACATTGTCATTTTCCTTGGTTAGATTCCCAGGAGTGAAATTGCTAGGTTGTATGGTGAATTTAACTTCTTAAGGAACTGCCAAACTTTTTTCAAAATAATTGCACCATTTTATTTCCACCAGCAAAGTGTGAGGGTTCTAGTTTCTCCACATCTTTGCCAACATTTGGTATTGTCTATATTTTATTTTATTTTTTGAGATGGAGTCTCGCTCTGTCACCCAGGCTAGAGTGCAGTGGCAGGATCTCAGCTCACTGCCATCTCCACTTCCTGGGTTCAAGTGGTTCTCCTGCCTCAGCCTCCTGAGTAGCTGGGATTAGAGGCATGTGCCACTACACCCAGCTAATTTTTGTATTTTTAGTAGAGATGGAGTTTCACTATGTTGGCCAGGCTGGTCTCAAACTCCTGGCCTCAAGTGATCCACCTGCCTCAGCCTTCCAAAGTGCTGGGATTACAGACATGAGCCACCGTGCCTGGTATATTTTAAGTAACAGTTATTCTAGTGCTTTTGTTTTTTTGAGACAAGAGTTTTGCTCTTGTTGCCCAGGCTTGAGTGCAATGGCACAATCTCAGCTCACTGCAACCTCCACCTCCCAAGTTCAAGTGATTCTCCAACCTTGCCTCCTGAGTAGCTGGGATTACAGGCATGCGCCACCACGCCTGGCTAATTTTGTATTTTTAGTAGAGACAGGGTCTTGCCATGTTGGCCAGGCTGGTCTCAAACTCCTGACCTAAGGAGATCCACCTGCCTCAGCCTCCCAAAGTGTTGGGATTACAGGTGTGAGCCACAGTGCCTGGCTATTCTAGTGCTTTTAATTTGTAGCTTTGATTTGCATTTCTCCAGTGACTGATGGTGTTGAGACTCTTTTCATGTGCTATTGTCCATTCGTGTATCTTCCTTACTGACAAATCTATTCAACTCTATTGACCATTATTTAATTGGGTTGCTTATCTTATTAAGTTGTAAGAGTTTATATATTTTTTATAAAGCCCTTTATCAGATATATGACTTGTAAATATTTTGTCCCAGTCTTTTTATTTTCTCGATTTTGCCTTTGGAAGCACAAAATTCTTTGTAAGTCCAAGTTATCATTTTTGCTTCTTCCAGCTGATTGCTCTATTGATTTCAACAGTCCCTGGAGCATAAATTGTTCCACACAATAAACCAATCAAATCTGGACTCATTTAAAGAAACAGTTCTTAAGGCCACTGAAATTTGTGGTGACCCCAGCTGGCTTTTTCCCTGGTTCCTTCAGGCAAAGCAGCTGGCCTACAGTTTAGCCTCCATGTTGAGACTCATACACTATAAGACTTCTCCAGTTGCCTTTTACTAAAACCTCCACTGTTTTGAGAGCATCCTTAGGGTTGAATTTCTCTACACTCTGTTACAAATGAAGTCAGTGACTTTGGAAAGGGATTAGGAACCATCAGTTTTATGGTCGGCTTCTCCCTCACTCCCTGCAAGGAAAATCTCTGAGTCAGAGCTTGAGCTGGGAGTGGGGACAATGGCATACTTCTTTCTGAGTGTCATCCTTGCTCTAGGAGCTGAGGAGAGTGACGGTAGCCTTAGGTCTTCTTGGCTTGCCTCTTTCTTCATGAAACCACCACTTTACTAGCAGGGTCAAGTGATCAGGGGCCCTATATTCTTAGCACACTACACCAAACTCAGACTTCCCAACCCATGAGGGATCTGGGGAGGAGATGGGAGCCTCTATTATCTATTGACTGCACTCACCTAGGACTTAGCCTCAGCAACAGGTAACTGGGGACGGGATGTGAAATGCTGGCATCTTACTCCTCCTGGGAAGCTAGCCCTTGACTGACAGCTGGAGAGAGAAGGAGCCCTGTGTTCTGGCTGCACCAGACTGGAGTGGAATCTCCATCTTGCTAAGTTGGAAAGCGGGAAGATGGGACTGGTTCTCAGTTCAAATACTAAAAACTCTTGCTGTTTTTCCTAAATTATAGTAGATTTTCTTAAGTAAATATTTCTTCATTTGCTGCATATCCTTGGGACCATTTCCAGAGATTTTAAATGCTTATTTATTTTGAAAAATAACTTTCACCAATTATGCTGGGGTGCAGGTCCGTGATGCCTCTCCCTTTCATTTTTATTGATAAAAATGTTTAAGGGATGGGATTTTTCCTTTGTTCATGCCATTTAAGTATTCTATTGTCAAAAGGTAAAATTACAACAAATTTAAAGACCTCAATTGGCTTTTATTTGCAATTCTAGAATCAGGCAACACCCCATTCTGTAACATGGAATGAGTGTTCTGAGGAGGTTGGTTTTATAGACAGAAAAGGACCAGGGAAAGCAGAAACAGAAAACAAAAAGTGGATTGATCATTGCAGTTACTTTTCTTGTAAGGGTTAAAGCAGAGGGGACTTCCTTATCATGCCAGCTAGGACTGGCCTGCTTGGGGACTTGGCTATGATGTCTCTCTCCTGATTTCTTGAAAGGCCAGATAACTTAGTTTGGTTTGGTGATATGGAACTTTAGCATGAGTGACTCCATTTTGGTTTGGTCTGTTGGGTCTAGTACAAGAGCTCAGTCCAAACCAATGGTCTTCTATACATTTTACTTAACACCATGGATTATGATATAAAATATTTTCTTCATCATTATTTTTCCGAAAGTCCATTCCCTTTTCAACGTTGTTTGGTAGAAGGTTTTAAGATTTACAGGTGTAACAACCTTTTTGTTTTTATAGTTTCATTTTAGAATTGTCTTTTTATTGCATTATGATCAGAGCATGTTGTTTGTAATGTTCCTACTTTAAGAACACAATTTTTGTGTGTGTGTGCCTTAGTATAATCAACTTTTGTACATTTTCAATGTGTGGTTAAGAAGAATGTTTCTATTACCAGGGTTTGTGTTATCCAAAATAACTACATTATTGATTATGCTCTTTTGATCTTTTTTATCTGTTGTCCTCTTGGCCTGTTTTTTAGTCAGAGTGGTATATTAAAGTCTCGTATTATTAATTTGTTTCTATGTCTTTTGCATCTCCTTTGGTTTCTGACTTAGGTGGTAGCTTAATTATTTCATATATAGCATTCATAATGGTTATATCTTCATTGTTAAATGTGGCCATTTTGACCTAAATCCTGCCTAATTAGAAGTAACTTTCACATAAACTTCCAGTCACTTTAGTTGTTTGTTTAAAATTATGTTAATACAGTATGAAAACAATGAAACAAATTTGATTCATCCTATGGTCTTACTCTCATTTCCTAAAATCAAAAAAGCCTTTCTGTTTTTATTTACACTCAATAGTTGCAAAAGATCTACCTGTAGATTCATTGGAAGGAGAAGATTTTGAGAAGGAATTCTCATTTCTGAACAACCTCCTAAGTTCTGGTTCTTCAAGTACTAGTGAATTTACCCAAGAATGCCAGACTGCCTTTGGGAGCCCCAGTGCCAGTCTCACATCCCAGGAGCCTTCCATGGGGTCTGAGCCCCTCGCTCATTCTTCTCGATTCCTTCCTTCACAACTCTTTGACCTTGGCTTTCATGTGGCTGGAGCGTTCAACAGTAAGTGTCTATGAAACATTTGGACATATGTGCTTTACTTTATCTTTGTGAAGCAAAATGGTGTGCTTATTGATGCTAGAACCAACAAGCAGATTGATTTTAATGTCAGCACTACTAGATAAAATCTGCAGTCCACCAATCAACTGGAAAAATATTAGTCACCTCAGGAATCTGTCAACAAGACTGAAACAAGGGCTGTTTCCCTGCCCACCTTCACCAGACCCCATGTTTTCTTCACTGATTTTCCCAGGCATCTGGTTTAAAACACTTGACCTGCTAATTACTCCTACCTAGGGCAGTCAATACTGTTTCTTCCATCAAGCAAAACTTGCTGTGTTCAGAGTTGACAAGAGGAAAAAGAACAGCTCTGGAGGCTGGTTCCCTTTCTGGGCAAGGCAGCAGGAGAAGAGAGTCCACCATCCTGTGTCCAACCCTGCACCTTGGGGGTCACTTTGCTTCTCACATCCATATTGGTTACCAAATCCTGTCAGTTCTGTTTCTGAAACCTGTCTCAAATTTCCCACTCCTCTCTGCCTCAACACCAGAGCCATTTAGAGCCTCATTTGGTTTCCTAGGTTACTGCAAGAGTTCCTCACAGGTCTCCAACCCCCAATTCATTCTCTACACTTCTGTGGAATTCTCTCTTCAAGCAGCAGATTCTGATGTCAGCACCTGGCTTACATTTTATAAAATGAAACACCATGGTTTCCAGGGATAAAACCTGCCTATGTCGCATTTCCACCCATATCTCCTATCTCCTACTGAAGTGAAGGAAGAATACTTGCGGTTTTCTATAATCACACTGAGTGCTCCACAGCCCTCTGATGCATCTATCTGTGCTTGTGTTGCTTCTTCTGCTTCTGATGTTCAGTAATGGAGCTTGGACGTGGGCCTGAGTATTAGATCCCAATCCAGTGTTTTCTCCATGATTGTCAGTCCTTGAAGTCCTCCTCAGTACTGCCAAATGGAAATGGTTTCTCCCTCCTCCCGTGGTGCTTTGCTTTATCTATTTTCATGGTTCTAATCCTACTTTATCTTGCTTTATATTCCAGTCTCTCACATCCTAGATTTTAACCCCTGGACGGGGGGACCCCTCACGGCACTTCACAGTGTCTTAATGCATTGTACTTTGTATTAAATACTGAGGTACATGCTCTATCTACAAGCATCCCAAGGGCATGATATGTGGAGTGAGTCATCTTTGTACTTTCTATGACAGCAGCATGTTGTTAGCTCAATTAATAAACTAAATGTTAAATAATCACTCAGTAAGAATTGATTGAATAGAATAAAAGAAAGAATAGACAATATTATTTGATAAAGAGGCACTCTATCTGGGATAATTCAGATGTTTTTGCTACAGTAACATCTTTAAAAATATTTATTCTTGTGTGGCATACCAATGGCTCAGTAGCTATAAAGATTTACAAACTGATTTCATTCTCCACTATCAACTCCTCCCTCTTCCTCCATAACTTGCCACGTTTCTAGCAGCACTGAACTTTTAGTTTCTGGCAATGCAATTATCAACAATATTTTTTCACTACTCAAAATATGTGCTCTGATCCCTACCTGTAGGCAGACAGGATATTCCCATTTAATAGCTGAACAGTTGAAAACCACAGTATTTGAGTAACTTGCTCAAGGTCATCAGACAGTTTAAATAGCTAAGACGGGACCAAAATCTGCCCCTGCCTCTTTGTGCAGAACTCGACTTTACCAGTCTTTCCTTTATATTTACTTTTCTCTCTCCTGTGGTACAGACCAGGAAAGGGAGCTTCCCTGGGAATTAAAAGATCTGTGTTTGAGGAACCCTGTCTACATTGGGCCTCAGATCTTTTCTATACAAGGAAGGGATTAGGCAGGATAATCTAAATTCCTTTCTAGTGCTGTGCCTTAATCATAGCATAAATGGTTTTTCATGTTGTAGCAAACATTTCTCCACATTCCCATAGAGTATTCATAATGACATTTTAATTACAAAGTACTGTCATTTTATACAACATAATCTACCTGATTCCTTCCTTATTGTTTCTACTTGTTCATTATTACAGATAATGCTGCAAAAAAAAAAAAATCATGCATGTACTTCTTCCTTCAGCTAAATTATTTCCTTAAGAAAAATTGCTAGGAATGGGATCACTGAGTCCAAGGGTATGAGCATATTTATAGGTTTCAGCATTCCAATTATCAGGCCTGTTCCTTCCCTTCTTGACTCTTTAGAACTTCTTCCTATACCTTTTGCATTTCAATTATTATTATTATTTTTTTTTTGAGACGGAGTCTCGCTCTGTCGCCCAGGCCGGACTGCGGACTGCAGTGGCGCAATCTCGGCTCACTGCAAGCTCCGCTTCCCGGGTTCACGCCATTCTCCTGCCTCAGCCTCCCGAGTAGCTGGGACTACAGGCGCCCGCCACCGCGCCCGGCTAATTTTTTGTATTTTTTTTAGTAGAGACGGGGTTTCACCTTGTTAGCCAGGATGGTCTCGATCTCCTGACCTCATGATCCACCCGCCTCGGCCTCCCAAAGTGCTGGGATTACAGGCGTGAGCCACCGCGCCCGGCCTCAATTATTTTTTAAACATCCCACATATTTATTTCAAAACCACTTTGAAAAATGTAAGGAAGTCGGATCCAACTCTATCTGAAACTAAGATGATTAAAATATATGACTATAGATAAATTTTCAGTATTTTATACCTCTTATAGAATCTTACCCAGATACAAAGACTGGAGGACTTAGATATTTTTACCTTTTCTTGTTTTTCTGATGCTGCTTCCTATTTGATTAACAATGGACAATTTTTACTTCTTTTATCCCAGACTGGGTCTCCCAAGAGGAATCAGAACTTTGTCTTTCACACACTGATAACCAGCCAGTGCCTTCACAGAGTCCAAAGAAATTAACAAGATGTAAGTTATTTATTTATATATTCTTTATCATTGCTTTAAGAATCAGTTGAATTCAGATAAATTTAGAAAAGGATCACTTTATATTGTTTTCACCTCATTGTCCTGAAAAAGTTTAATAATGATTATTATTAAAATGAAAGCTATACTGCTTATCCCTCAATATGGAAAGCATTGAATAGAAATTGAGCTTGGGGCCAAGCATGGTGGCTCATGCCTGTAATCCTGGACTTTGGGAGGGCTAGGCAGGCGGACTGCCCAAGGTTAGGAGTTGGAGACCAGCCTGGGCAACATGGTGAAACCCCAACTCTACTAAAATACAACAACAAAAAAATTAGCCAAGCATGGTGGCGGGCACCTGTAGTCCCAGCTAATCGGGAGGCTGAGGCAGAATTGCTCTAACCCGGGAGGCAGAGGTTGCAGTGAGCCAAGATTGTGCCACTGCACTCACTCCAGCCTGGGCGACAGAGCAAGACTGTCTCCAAAAGAAAAGAAAGAAAGAAACTGTGAGCTTGACAAAGTGTACTACATTTTGTACTGTAATCTTTTATAGTTTGTGTTAAGGTTTGTTGGTAATGGATGTAAAATTAGGGATACAAGATGCTTTCTGATTACAGGATGCCTATTGACAAAGAATGCATTCAAGCACTTAAGTTGGTTACCATATTAACCTTTTTCTTTTCTTTTTTTTTTTTTTTTTAATTGAGACAGAGTCTCGCTGTCACCCAGGCTGGAGTGCAATGGTACAATCTCGGCTCACTGCAACCTCCGCCTCCTGGGTCCAAGCGATTCTCCTGCCTCAGCCTCCCAGATAGCTGGTACTATAGGCACATGCCACAATGCCCAGTTAATTTTTTGTATTTTTAGTAGAGACAGGGTTTCACTATGCTACCCAGGATGGTCTCGATCTCCTGACCTCATGATCCGCCCGCCTCAGGCTCCCAAACTGCTAGGATTACAGGCATGAGCCACCATGCCCAGCCCATATTAACCATTTTTAAGAGTACAGTTTGGTAATATTAAGCATGTTCATACTGCTGTGAAACAGATCTTCAGAACTTTTTTATCTTGTAAATCTGAAACTTTATGCCCGTTCAACAACCCCTTCTCCTAAGTCCCCGGTAACCACCATTCTGCTTTCTCTGAGTCTGATTACTTTAGATACCTCATACAACTGAAATAATGCAGTATTTGGCTTTTTTGTGACTGGCTTATTTCATTTTGCATAATGTCCTCAAGGTTCATCCTGTAGCAAGTGACTGGATTTCCTTCCTTTATAAGGCTGAATAATACTCTGTTTGACAGATACAACACAACTGGTTATCTGTTGATCCATGGATCACATTTTTTAAACAGCTTACTGAGATATAATTCATTCCCTTCACTGGTCAATACTCTGCTGTAAACAAGAGACCTCTCTTATCCTCAACTCATTTATTTATTATCAATATAGATTCATATGTTTTCTTTTGTTGTTGTTTTTTTGGAGACAGAGTCGCCCAGGCTGGAGTGCAATGGTGCCATGTTGGCTCACTGCAACCTCCGCCTCCCAGGTTCAAGTGATTCTCCTGCCTCAGCCTCCTAAGTAGCTGGGTCTACAGACATGTACCACCACGCCTGGCCAATTTTTGTGTAGAGATGGGGTTTCACCATGCTGGCCAGGCTGGTCTTGAACTCCTGACCTCAAGTGATCCACCTGCCTCGGCCTCCCAAAGTGCTGGGGTTACAGGTGTGGGTCACTGGACCTGGCCTGATTCCTATGTTTTCAGTGGTTTATAATCACCACTGAAATTATTGATTCTGGTGCTCACATTGTTCCTGTGTTGGCCAGTGGGAGCCCTTTCAGGCTGACTTCTGAATCCTTGTGATATCAGTATCTTTAAATTTTGAAATAATTTCAGACTTATAGAAAGACTACAGAAGTTAATAAAAAATACTACTATACATTCTTCACTTAGGTTTCCAAAATGTTACCATGTTTGCTTTACACTCATCCTCTTTCTTCCCCACCCCCCCATCATATACATATAAATTTCTTCTGAACTGAAATAAATAGTTTAAGTAGCAGACATGATGCCTCTCTGCCACTAAATATTCATTGTCTATTTCCTAAAAACAAGGACATTCTTTTACATAATTACAGTACAAGTCAAAATCAGGAAATTAACATTGCCATAGGACCATTATCTACTGTAGATCTTATTCAGAGTTTGTCAATTATCCCACTAATGTCTCAACTTCATTTTAGTTTTTCATAGTCTAGGATCCAATCCAGGATCACACATTGCATTTAGTAAAGTCTCTTTAGTCTTTTAATCTGGAACAGTTCCTCAATCTTTGTGTCTCATGACCTTGACATTTTTGCAGTGTACAGGTCATTTATTTTGAATATTCCTTGAATTTGGGTTTAGCTAATGTTTTTTCATAATTAGACCCAGGTTATGCATTTTGGCAGGACTACCAGTGCAGGAATGGTGTTGTGCCTTAGTAAATCCTATCAGGGGGTGCATGATGTCTATTTTGTTTCACTTCTGGTGATGTTAAGCCTGATCACTTGGTTATGGTGGTATCTGTCACGTTTCTCCATTACAAAGTGACTGCTGTATTTTTCCCTTTGTAATTCGTAAGTATCTTGTGGGAAGTGTTTTGAAATACTGCAAATGGTTTGTTTCTACTGAAGTTTTGCCCACTAATTTAGCATTCACTGATAATTCTTCCATGAAATATTTATTACTGTAGTTGTTGCCAAACGGTGATTTTCTATTTCCTCATTCCCTCTCTATTTACAAGTTAGTGTTCTACTGAATGGGAAAGCTTTCCCTTTTTCCCTACTTATTTACTTATTCATTGATATCAGTGTGGACTCCTGGAATCTATTTTATTCTTCCCAGTACTTTGAGGTCAGCCAGTAGGGGAAACCCTCAATTCCAAGCAAATCACAGATTTCACACTGGCAGGTTCAGAATACAGCCATCCCTCAGGGATTCAGAGTACTTATAGTTATACTTTTCTTTTTAAAAACCAGCTAAAACAAGTTGTGCTTAAGCATTTAAAACAGACACTATAAAGTAAATAAATTTCAGAAACGAACACAAAAAAGCAAAGGCACTATTTACCTCTAATTCTTGAGGCTGATTTTCGAGGAAAAATTTAGGGGGAAAAAAAAAACTTCTCACCAAGAAGGTACAACAAAACTAAACTTAAGAATTTAACAGTCTGGGTGCGGTGGCTCATGCCTCTAATCCCAGCACTTTGGGAGGCCAAGGTGGGCAGATCACGAGGTCAGGAGTTCAAGACCAGCCTGGCCAACATGGTGAAACCCCGTCTCTACTAAAAATACAAAAATTAGCTGAGCGTGATGGCACACGCCTGTAGTCCCAGCTACTTGGGAGGCTGAGGCAAGGAGAATCACTTGAACCTGGGAGGTAGAGGTTGCAGTGAGCTGAGATCATACCATTGCCCTCCAGCCTGGGCGACAGAGCAAGACTCCATCTCAAAAAAAAAAAACCAAAAACAAAACAAACAACAACAAAAAAATTAATAAAATTGATGTTTTGTTTTTGTTTTTGTTTTTTTGAGACAGAGTTGTGCTCTCTCACCAAGGCTGGAGTGCAGTGGCATGATCTTGGCTCACTGTAACCTCCGCCTCCCGGGTTCAAGCAATTCTCCTGTCTCAGCCTCCCGAGTAGCTGCGATTACAGGCACGCCAGGAAACCTGGCTAATTTTTGTATTTTTTGGTAGGGACGGGTTTTCACCATGTTGTCCAGGCTGGTCTCAAATTCCTGACCTCAAGTGATCCACCTGCCTTGGCCTCCTAAAGTGCTGGGATTACAGGCATGAACCACCATGTCCGGCCATAAAATTGAAAATTTTAACAACTTTAAAATTCGTTCATTAAGAGCCTCACTTCATTAGTCATTAAGGAAGTACAAATTAAAAGCAAAATGGAATTCAAGACCTACCTATTACAATGGCTAAAATGAAACAGAAAAGAAAATCCCTAATTGTGACAAGGATGTTAAATAACTAGAATCTCAAAAACTGCGTGTAGGAGTGTAAATTGGTAATACCACTTGGAAAACTGGCAGTTTCTACTAAAATTTAACATACATATGCCCTGTGACCAAGCAATTCCACTCCTAAGTACATACCTAACAGAAACGCATCTATCCATTGACTAAAATATATGCTAATGAGCGTCACTGTGATACTGTTAATAACACACCAGAATGGGATTTACCCTGGCATTCCCTGGGGTTGGGGGTGTGTGAATAGTGACTGGAAGGGTGTCAGGGTATCAGGCATGAGGGGAGCTTCAGAGGAGGAGTCTTTTTTTTTTTTTTTTTGAGACAGGGTCACACTCTGTCACCCAGGCTGGAGTGCAGTGGTGCAATCTTGGCTCACTGCAACCTCTGCCTCCCGGATTCAAGCAATTCTCATGCCTCAGCCTTCCAAGTAGCTGGGATTACAGGTGTGCGCCACCACGCCCTGCTAATTTTTTTTTTTTAAGTAGAGACAGGGGTTTCACCATGTTGGCCAGGCTCGTCTCGAACTCCTGACCTCAGGTGATCTGCACACCTCAGCCTCCCAAAGTGCTTGAATTACAGGCGTGAGCCACCATACCCAGCCATGTTCTACTTCTTGATTCTGATATTGTTGATGAATGTATTTACTTTATGAACATTATGTTTAATTTGGGCTTTTTCTCTCTATATAGAATTCATTTTCTGCTTGTTATCCTATAAGAATCTCTGGAGGCAGTAATAGTGTACACAAGGAGAGCCTCTATAAAAGATGTAACGGACAGACCTTTATTTCCCATTGTGACTAATGAATATAAAACCGTCTTACATTTGCATAATGCTGTACAATATTTACATACTTTTCAGGACTCTTCAACAGCTGCATGAAGGAGGTCAGGTATTATCTTAGTGACACCTATTCTTCTGGCATAATGACTAATAGTGCCCCTATTTAGTCTCATGTATCCTGATATCATGATGAATCATATGGTTACTACTTTACAGATGAGGAGACAAGAGACCCTGAGGTTAAATGACTTGCCCAGTATTACTCATTAGTAGGTGTTACACCCAGGACTCAAAGCCAGATTTTGTGTGGTTATCACTGATACTACTTCAGGGTACTCAGAAACAGAACTGGACACACAGAGTGAAGCCTTTCACTCTGCCCTGATCCTTGGGCTCTGGATCCCTATACCCCAAACCCCAGCCCTCTGGTCTGTGGTGTTACTGTGATGTGAAAGAGGATTGCCTTGGGACTGCCTTCTACCCTCCACACTGTGACTCTGGTTTCATGTCCAGTTCTTAGACTGTCCTCTGGGTCTCAACCCTGCCTTGTGGACTCCTTGGCTTTCAAGGGCCTAGACTTCTGAGATGACCCACTGTCTGTGCCACTGTGCATTCTTTATTAGTCCCAACCCTCAGCCCAAATATACACTCTTGAATATCTGCCACAGTGCAACTTGTAGAATCTTGAGAAATAAAATTTTCCAGTCTCCATAAGGAGATGTGAGGGATCTGATGAACAAGAAGTTGTACCTGAGATAAAATGCATACTGTAAAATGCGCACATCAAAAAGTTTTAAAGTGCACATGGAAAAGACATAACAACTGTAAACCAAAATCACAATGTTGGGTGTGCTAATGTGGTAGGATTAGGGGGAGTTTTTTCCCTTATGTCTAATATTTTTGTAATACCACTTTTATAATAAACATAAATCAACTTGAAGCAGTGTTTACAAATGTCATTTCTTACTTGATATGAACAAGTTTACTTTTAAACCTTATCTGAGAGTCTTCTATAAGTGATCTTAAATGTTCTATGGAGACCACAGTATTGCTTGCCTTTTCACTTTTAACTCAATTCCTTTCTCAGAGCAGCATACAATTATTTAAATATAGGCACCTCATCAAAGCACAAGTTATATGCATTTGCCTTTCAAAATTATCTTAAACCAGGAGCAGTGGTTCAGGCCTATAATCCTAGTGTTCTCGGAGGCTGAGGTGGGAGAATCACTTGAGCCCAGGAGTTCCAGACCAGCCTGGGCAACATAGGGAAACCCCAGTCTCTACCGAAAACAAAAAAAAAAAAAAAAAATCTTAAAGGGACTATAGTTGATAGATTATTGTCAGTTATCTTAATTTTTTCTTAATCCAAAAGAAGCACCTACTTCAAAATCATAAATATGGTACAAAAACATGATTTCAAAACTGAATCTCTTTAATGTATTTTTTTTCTTTTTTAATAGCCCCCAACAATGGCAACCAAGACATGTCAGCCTGGTTCAATCTGTTTGCAGACTTGGATCCACTTTCAAACCCAGATGCTATTGGACACTCAGATGATGAACTTCTTAATGCTTGACTGAAGTTATAATGTCACTTCAGTGGCCTTGAGACATCAATTTTGCAACGTATTTCCTTCGTGGAAAGGATTTAGATTGTAACCCGCACACAAAAGCACGGTGTTTGTGAATATAACACCTGTCAGCCAACTTTAGACAGATGGTAAAGACCACATTTGAATAAGTACACATCTTTCATATCTTGGATTTGCAGCTGTTGGTACTATGTGGAAAATATTAGAAACTTCTATGTGGAAAATATTAGAAACTACAGAGTTTGCGATATTTAGATACTGAAATTTATGTCAAAATAACGGCTAGGAATAATTCTGTCAATATGGAGTTGAGCTTATTTCTTTGGAAACCCTTTTAAGTTGCCTTGCTGGCTGTGAGAATTTTATATGTGGATAACAAAGATAGATAGATAGCATGTAAATTGGGTTGTGGTTTGGGGTCAGTTTTTAAATGAAATAGTAGCGAGGAGGATTTTCTGTTTTGGAAAACACCATTAGAACCAGACCAGCTTTGTTTTGGGTTAGAGAGAGTAAGATTTGAGAACTCAGTTTGCTTTAATGAAATCACAGAGAAACTTGGTACTTGTTTTTCTTCATTTGGAGGCTAAAATGTAATGTTTTTTCATTCATACAAAATAATGGACACTCCCTAATTCCATTATTAAATCTTGAAGGGGAAGTAGCAGGATAATTAATTTGCTAAGCCCATCCTCTGCAGAAACAGAAAAATCTATCTTCCCATCTCCTAAAACTCAGAATGCACAGTAATACTTAAGGCTTGTACAAGTGTCTTCAGACCCACTTTTTCATACACTTGCTATATAGTAGTATGCAGTATTTATATTATTCCTGAAAATAAAATGAGGGGAGAATATTCCCTAAGCAACTGGCAATAGTATTCCTGAAATACCTAGAAATTTCTATCTGAATGAGGGAGACACTTATGAACACCTTATCCTTACATATATTTGCATACTTATCTCATATTTTGTGACATAATTATTTAACCCAGAATACTTTCTGGCAGACATACAGAAAGCTCTGTGTGATCAATAAGGGAGTGTCTCATTTTTCTACTTCCCTCTTTCTGTGGGTGACATGATCTGAGGTTCTATTTGATTACTAAGCAAAATCTGTTACCCCTACAGGGTTTAGAACCTAAGTATTAGAGAGGAAGGCTATTTAATGGAAGTTAGTGTAAGCTGATAAAAACGTAGCTACCGTACACACACATCAATCACTCAATTTCCTGTCCTTTTAAATTGCCCACCCTTTAATTTTGAAGCAATTTCCCAAGTGTGTGTTTGTTTTATATTTGTCATCCAGTCCATTGCATTTCCATAAGAAGACATTTTGACTGGCTGGGTGCGGTGGCTCACGCTTGTAATCCCAGCACTTTGGGAGGCTGAGGCAGGCGGATCACGAGGTCAGGAGATGGAGACCATCCTGGCTAACATGGTGAAACCCCGTCTCTACTAAAAATACAAAAAATTAGCCAGGCGTGGTGGCACGTGCCTGTAGTCCCAGCTACTCCGGAGGCTGAGGCAGGAGAATGGCGTGAACCCGGGAGGCGGAGCTTGCAGTGAGCTGAGATGGCGCCACTGCACTCCAGCCTAGGCAACAGAGCAAGACTCCGTCTCAAAAAAAAAAAAAAAAAAAAAAGACATTTTAACTAAGTTATTCACAGTAGCTTCCATGTGCTCTTAGTTCTATTCTAAACAGGCTTATTTAGAAAAGGATTGCTTGTAATGTTTGTCATGGTACATAGAAAACATTGGACCAGAGTAGGTAAAATGCAGTCCATGTCCCATCCATAGCCATCTACAATAGTAACTGCCCACAGGCTCTCCAGAAAACTACTACAATGGCCAAGTACAGTATAGGCTGGAAAGACCTTATCTGAAGGTCAGAAACATTGACTCAGAAAAAAGGTATGAAGTCTTTCCATAAAATCTTTTCACAATATTACTCCTATTTCTTTTAGATTTTAATGAGCCATTACTTATCTCTTCAGAAGACTTAAGTCTTCCTTTATACTCAGTGAAATTTCCCAGAATGTAATACTGTCACTGTTCTGCCAAGTTCCAATCACCAAGATCATGATTACGAATCCCAATCTGAATTCTATACCCATGGTGACTCTGATGCTCTCAACTTTTGAGTGCCTCAAAAAATGCTAAAACTTTGGCTGGGCATGGTGGCTCACGCCTGTAATCCCAGCACTTTGGGAGGCCATGGCGGGTGGAACATTTGAGGGCATGAGTTCGAGACCAGCCTGGCCAACATGGTGAAACCCTGTCTCTACTAAAAATACAAAAATTAGCCAGGTGTGGAGGTACATGCCTGTAATCCCAGCTACTCAGGAGGCTGAGGCAGAAGAATTGCTTGAACCCAGGCGGCAGAGGTTGCAGTGAGTCGAGATTGCACCACTACACTCCAGCCTGGGCAACAGAGAGCGACTCTCTCAAAAAAAAAAAAAAAAAAAAAAAAAAAAGCTAACTTTATGTCTTGAGAGTTTGTACCATTTTTCTTTGTAGTGGTCACCTTGCTAATGCATTAGTTCTGAGATATTTATCTCCCTCACATGTGTGCAAGGAAGTCCCTGTTATCGAATACAGATACTTTAACAAGCAGACAAAGCAGAAACCCAAAGTCCATACTAGGAACACCCTAAATTTTCCAAAAGCAAAAGTTCTCCCGAAATGGAGACATACAAGGGACTTTTATTATTCTGTTACTAGTTTCTATAACATTTCTTCTTTCAACAGAGTATATGTTTCCCATTTAACCCAGAGCAACATTAACTTCCTTAGCAAGTCCAGTTCTAACTTCCAACAAGTCCAACCACTGTTTTTGAAGAGCATATCAGTAACTATATTAAGATGAAGGTAACCACATTCGTATTTTCTCAAGATTAGTTATTTGAAGCTCAGCAGTTTTTGTGGTCAGAAAGAAATTTTGCTCTATTAAACCAATACTGCTAATATAAAAAACCACCACACTGAAGAAACGAGGGAAAGGACGGGATAAGCACAGAACAGAGAATGACTGGTTGCTTTTTGTCTCAATCTAGATAATCCATTCAATAAGAAGTAAATTAATTATCCTTAACCAATGGTAGGCTGAGAACAACCCTCAAAATAGATATTTTTTATGTTAAATGGGGAGAAATATCTATACTTTATGTTATACTGGATAAAAATGTGTTTTAAGTCTAAAAAAAACCAGACGAGCTAAACTTTGCCTAGTGTGTCTACAACCATTTTTTAGGAGACGCAGGAATACCAGGGCATAATAAGATCAGATTGGTGTAATTTTGTATGTTTTTGAAATCCTTCATTAATTGTAGAACCTTGATATGATTAGAAACAAACTGTATTTCAACAAACAGGTTTCAGTATTTGCACACTGAAAAAGTGTTTTGTATTTTAACTATAAATATTTCACGTATCTGTATAGACCATCTAGAAATGTAGAGGTCTTACAGCATTAGAACGAAGGAAGTTTACATGTGCTCTATCTATTTTTCTGAGCCTCTTTTAATAAAGATTGCAAGAAGGCATAAAACAAGAGTTTGTTTCCTGAAGTTTTTAGTACAATTATTGTTTTCCTATTCAAAAACTTGGGTTTTACCTCAAGATCATAGTATTAGGAAAGTACATTGAGTTGATACGGACATGGGAGAACGAAAATAAAACCAGGGCAATTAATATCCTTGTAAGGCCAGGCGCGGTAGCTCACGCCTATATAACAGCACTTTGGGAGGCCAAGGCAGGCAGATCACTTGAAGTTGGGAGTTTGAGACCACCCTGGCCAACATGGTGAAACCCCATCTCTATGAAAAATATAAAAATTAGCTGGGCATGGTGGCAGATGCCTGTAATCCCAGCTACTTGGGAGGCTGAGGCAGGAGAATCGCTTGAACCCGGGAGGTGGAGGTTGCAGTGAGCTGAGATCAGGCCATGCACTCCAGCCTGGGTGACAGAGTGAGACTCCGTCTCAAAAGAAAATCCTTGTGAGATGAATTCGTTCTTATTTCATATACAAGGGGACTATGTAAGATATGGGAAATAATATAATGTACGTTATTTATGTAAATACTTTCAGTAACAAAAACTAACAAATATCAAAAATCTGAGCCTAGACACAAACAATTAAATATAAGCCATAGTATGTAACCTGACTTATTGAAGGCAGGAATAAAAAGAAGAGAGCCAGAATTGATTCAGTTATTTTTGTCTTCCATAGTGTTGGCAGGGCCCTGCATTTCTCTACCTTGAGCAATGAAGCAGTCCCAGAATTTTGGAATATAGAAATTAGGAAGGAAAAACGAACTTTAAAATATTAATTTAGTAGAACTGAAAGTAATGCATTTCATGCAACAGTAAAGTGCTTAAACATGGCAAAGAAAACTAAGGGACAAGATAAGAAAAATGGTTGGTAAAGATGGGTCACATCCAGAAGCCCAACATAAGCTATTTTTCCATCTTTTTCTGTACCATTTAAAAGACTACTAAAGAGTTCAAAACAAACTGTCCTTGGCATTTAAAGTCAAAACATGGTTCTTCACTCAGTGGTGTAAATTAACTACTCATTGGCCAAAGAGTAAATACAAAAAGGAGATGAAGTTCTGACTGGTGTTGTGGGTGAGATTTTGCAGTGTATGTTTTTACATTTGTAGTGTACGTTTTAAACTTCCGGTTTTCTTGCTGCCTCAACATCTCCACAAACAGGCTGTGAGCACCTGGCCCAGTGTGATATGGGTGGCCCCTGCCACAAGTTTCCCTTGCTACCTTGCCCATGACCTAGTAACATTTAAATGCACCAGTGAAATTCTCTTTTTCTTGTGTGCTTCTCCCTGACCCAAAGGCTCCTGCCCATGTCTTAGGCCTCTCCGCTCCCCACCTGCTTGGCTGAGCCCCCTCCCATGTGACCCCCTCTCAGCATGCAGTGACTGGTCTCTCTAGGACCTGTGAGTATATTACAACTTTTTTTCCTGTGTCTCTCCTGTGATATCTCTTGTGGCTAAACCTCACTGACCATAACCTAAAAAAACACATACAAAAAACATGAAAGAAAAAGTTGTTTCTTGAGCTGGCCTGGACGAACGGGGAGCCAGGGGCTCGACCCTGGCTGTTGGAGGCGCAGTGAGGCCTGGTCTCCGGCTGCCAGACCACGCTGAGCGGAGCGCGCGGCAGGCTCGCCTCAGCGCTGCGGGGAACGCGCGCGCCGCCGTCCGCGGTCGCCCGTAGGTGCCTGCACGCGTCGGGGTCACGGCCTTTGGCCGACAGGAGCGAGAAGACTCAGGAGCCGCCCCGCGCCTTCGATCCGGCGCTGCTGGAGTTCCTGGTGTGCCCGCTCTCCAAGAAGCCGCTCAGATATGAAGCATCAACAAATGAATTGATTAATGAAGAGTTGAGAATAGCTTATCCAATCATTGATGGGATTCCTAATATTATCATATTAGGCAGCTAGGATGACACATCAAAGAAGCAAGAAGTGGAGCAGCGCTAGTTCATAATTTAAAAAAATAAAACAGCCAACTCTTCTTAGTACCATATACCTTTTAAAACACAGTGGCAAGTAATAAGCGGAAGAGAAGAATCTTTCTGTCTCTTTCTACGTTGACTGTTCTTATTCCACTGGTTTATTTAGCAGGACTGTTCCACTCAGCCTCTGTAGAAGAAAACTTCCCACAGGGCTGCACTTGCACAGCTAGCCTTTGCTTTTACAGCCTGCTCTTGCCTATTACCATACCGGTGTATGTATTCTTCCACCTTTGGACCTGGATGGTTATTAAACTCTTCATGCATAACTGATGCAACTAGAGTCAATATGCTGTATATATTAATGATAGCTCTTGGGCATCTATCTCTGAAAGCTCAAATGGATGGAATTTAGTTTGTGGGAAAGAGGCTTTGCTTTGAGCATATCAGGCTTAGGACTGTGGACGGCTTAAGTTGCAGACGCTTCTTTTATTGTACTCTTGTTCTGCCCGTGTTTTTTGAAGGCTCTGACATAACTGCTTTATCAGAAGAAACATTTTGACAGTGTCTTGTTGGAGATAAACATCCCTAATTGACATGTGATGACTACTTCTTATTCCATTCATCTAAGAGTCATTGAAATTTTGTTTTCTTTGTTTGTTTAGCTTCAAGGTCTTTGGTAGTCACATGTTAGGGATGACTGAAATAATTCCAAAGGAGTGATGTTGGAATAGTCCCTCTAAGGGAAAGAAATGCATTTGAACGAATGTGATATAAAACCACATAATCAAATAGAAATTTCATGTACTTACAAAAATTTAGTTTGTAAAATTACCTTCATTTCTTTGACATTAAATGCTTATATTAGCAATAAAGATGTTGACACTTTCTCATAAAAAATTTAAAAAAATAAAAAGTTGTTTCTTTTTTCCCATTTTAAAGTAATATCTTCTGAAAGAAAAAAATCAGCCATAGCACTACCATCTAGGAATAACCACTACTAACATATTTTTGGTTATTTTTTTGTAGTGCCTTCAAGCACACATTTGAATTGTGATCCGGATGATTTTACTGTCCCCTCTCTCTTAAATGGGCATGCCAAGTCACAGAGATTTAAAAACCAATTATAGGCCGGGTGAGGTGGCTCAAGCCTGTAATCCCAGCACTTTGAGGGCCGAGGCAGGCAGATTGCCTGAGGTCGAGAGTTTGAGACCAGCCTGGCCAGCATGGTGCAACCCCGTCTCTACTAAAAATACAAAAATTAGTCGGGCCTGGTGGCAGGCGCCTGTAATCCCAGCTACTGGGGAGGCTGAGGCAGGAGAATCGCTTGCACCCAGGAGGTGAAGCTTGCAGTGAGCCGCGATTGCCCACTGCACTCCAGCCTGAGCAAAAAACCAACTATATAAGTCTTTCCCTCAAAAAAGCCAGGTGAATTAAAAACCCACCAGAAATGTGACTGAAGTTCGTTTTCGCCTCTCTAAAACATGTGCTCCCCAAATTAAAGAGTATTTCTTTTTATTTTCTGCAGCTATAGCAACATTAAAAACCAGAGAGTTTGAGAATGTGTCACTAACATCCTTGATCAGGAGCCGATAACTAACCAGCTCCTTTCTTTTGACCCTCTGAACTAAGCTGCCAGCAGCTGTAGCAATGAAGAGGATCACAAAGAACCAGGCCGTGTGGCCCAATGTCACATAATCTGCAATGACTCCAACATCTTTATTTTACCAGCGTCACTGGTGCAAGCAAAGTAGCAGTAAGACTACATGATTAACTCTGAATTCCAGAGTCAGACTTGGTTCAAAGCCAGT
Organism: Homo sapiens; assembly: GCF_000001405.40. Lineage (NCBI taxonomy): Eukaryota > Metazoa > Chordata > Mammalia > Primates > Hominidae > Homo > Homo sapiens. The sequence goes on along the minus strand of NC_000002.12, from coordinate 202,772,241 downwards.
CTCTGACGTTTCCCAGCTGTGTGACCATGGAAAAGTCAACCTAATTCCAATTTTGTTATCTGTATGATAGTAAAAATAGCAGTACCTGGCTTCAAAGGGTTATTATAAAGATTAGGGTAAAAGTAATATGTAAAGTGTCCGATATTTGGTAAGCTATCAAGAGGCATTATCAATTTTTATTACAATTTCAGTTTATCTTTGACGATTTTAAACTTTACAAGCTAAAATGAATTTTATGAGAACACTTCCCATGACCAAAAACCACTGGCTCCCCTATGGAATGAATAAACTTACGTGACAAAATATGAAGGCAGATAAATGTTTGCTTACAGTTTCATATTTTCTAAGTGATAGCACTATTGTCAGCATTTCCTTAATCACACAAATAAAACAGGTTCACAAAGGTGACTTCTTGGCCCAAGATCCCATAAACATTACGCATCAGAGCCAGAACTAGCACCCAAACTGTGGCCCTAAATCTAGGACTTTCTCTGTTTCTCCTCTCAATTATCCCAATGATCTAAAAAATAATTACTTAAGATATAGAATTGAGACAAATGGTTATACTCCTGGTTTTTAACTATCAAGGCCTCCAAGATAGTCTTCTATAAAACAATGATTCAGCAGGACTAATCCACACTAGTACATAAAATCAAAGTTAGAATATATGGAGATAAATTCTCAGTTTGAGGATGATGCAAAATGATGAAAGAGAATTCTGGTTTTTTTGGTTTGTTTTTATAAAACCTAGAAATTTTGGAGCTATGTAGTAAAGAGAAGTAGAAACAATGTCTTCAAGACTCCTGTCTCATTCCTACATTAAGATACCAGACAAACCTAAAAGTTGTAGCTACAGCAATATTCTTCATATCGTTTTAATACAAGCTTCAGTGAGAAATACTTTTTATACTACAAGCTAGGACATACGTATATATCTCTAACAAAAGTTTTACGCATGAAAACTACTCTCCTTATGTATGAATATACTTATGTTTTCTATTCTGCTTCATTTTTTAAAAAGTTGGTTGAACCCATTTAGTTCATTTCAAGACCCAAACAGTTGGGAAAACACTGATTCAAAGAGCTACAAAGGCTATTGGCATTATCATACTAAAACATGTTTTAAAGCACACCTAATCTTAGCAAAGGATAAAAAACCAGTGTCTGTTACACATTAGCAGGGTAGTGCTATGAAGAAGAGACTACAAGGACTGTATTTCACATATTTGCTCTCCTCAACCTCTTTAAAGGTGGGGGTGGGGGAATACTAAGAAAGAAAGGGAGAAAACTCTACGTGCCAATTTTAGAATTCTCTTTGCATTTGATACTATGTTAAATTATTGTGTAAATATATTAGCTATCCCCAAACTCTGGTTAACTTTTTTGCTCAGAAATAATATTTCAAAAATTTTAACAGGCTAGACACAATGGCTCACACCTATAATCCCAGCACTTTGGGAGGCAGAGGTGGGAGGATCACTTGAGGCCAGGAGTTCGAGACCAGCCTAAGCAGTGTGGCAAGACCTTGTTTCTACGAAAAAAAAAAAAAATTAAATAAATTCATATAAAAATTAGCCAGGCATGGTGGCACATACCTGTGGTCCCAGCCACTTGGGAGGCTGAGGCAGGAGGATCCCTTGAGTCCAGCACTTTGGGAGGCAGAGGTGGGAGGATCACTTGAGGCCAGGAGTTTGAGACCAGCCTAGGCAATGTGGCAAGACCTTGTCTCTATGAAAATAAATAAATAAAATAAATTTATAAAATAATTAGCCAGGCGTGGTAGCACATACCTGTGGTCCCAGCCACTTGGGAGGCTGAGGCAGAAGGATCCCTTCAGCCCAGGAGCTTGAGGCTGCAGTGAGCTGAGTGACTGTGCCACTGTACTCCACCCTGGGCAACACAGCAGAGACTCTGTCTCAAAAACAAAAAAAAATTAATTTGGTGACCAAATTACTGTGGTGACTTATGTCATTAAAATGTGTCCCTGCTTTCTAAGTTATTACAGTGTAGCCTTCTGACCAGCTCTGCTGTGTGGATACAGACAAAATCCCCAAAACTCAACAACTGTCCCCTGAAACCCAACGACTGTCTTGCATATATAAGCCACTGTCACAAAGGAAGAATATGGCTGAATTACCAAGAATTAAAACAAAAAAACTCCTCTCATGTACTTTATAATGAATGTAAGTGACTGCCCCAGCTAAGTTACCTCTAACAAAACTCTGAAGCAGTGAATTCCTCACGCGTGGGTATCTCTCTGTGCTGCTTATATTTTAATGTGTGCCTAGCACTTACCCCAAAGAGCAGGTACTTTCAGTTCTAGGGCAGGTGAGGGGTAGCAAGGAACTTGCTGCTGAACACAAACAAATTTTTCTATTAGTCTGAGAAAAACAATGTACCGCTTAAAAGCTAGATAAATAACCAGTCCAAAAAGAAATGTAACTTGAATTTGGACAATATTCATAAAAATTCACAGAAAAAAACTCAAGAAGAACAGACTTTATTTTTAACATAAAAGTTCTATTTTCTTGTGAGGCAGCAACAAGTGTTCAGGTACAGGGAATACATAAGTACAGCGTAACAATACCGATTACCATTGGAAATGCTGTTTTTTGAGAGAATTGTTAGAATAACAAAATGTTTTAAATTGCATTTTAAAAAGAGTTACACAGCTTCCACAGAGACAAAAAATGAAGAGTTAAAAAAATTCTATTCTTAAACAAGACTGTATAAACAAAATGCTGTTCAGGGCTGCTCTGCTCATCTTCAATTTGGTCAGAGTAGAACTTAAAGTGCAGAGTTAAGCATTCTTAGCTTTATTTTGCAAATTCAGCACTTCCACTCATCTGGTTTTGAGACATCAAAATTCCAAAGACTAAGGAATGAATCTTAAGTTTACAATAGTAAAGTAAATGCAGTAGTGGCAAATTTTCTTTTATTTTCCTTCACAAAAGAAAATCTTTATAACCCAGTCCTAGTCTTGGACATAGTGAAAGCTATAAATTCTGACTTTTTTTACACTTTCTTTCAGTGAAAGCCAACCACTGAAAGCAAAGAAAAAGGACTTTCATGTCGTCAAATATTCCACAGTTAGCAAGAGCACCTTCTAAAAGACTGATTTGGACTGTAGTCATAAGTATTAAGTATAAGAAATATAAAACAAATTGAATAATCTAGTTGAAAAATAATCTTGACATCCATGCTCACCACATGTAACCAAAGAGGCAAAACCGGTATTTTTAAAACACAGTTGCGTACAAAAGCCATGACAAGTAATAGACTCAGTCATGATCAGAAACAGTAAATTTATATTATTTTTATCATCACAAAGAAGAAATTGTTTAAAGATTTAAAAAAACCTAAGATTGACAAAGTGAATAACCAAATAGCTCCTTTCTCTGAAAGACACATGCTACCCATTTCTTTTAATGCAATGGAAATAAATTTTTATAAAATTAAAAAAATTTAAATTATATTCCCATTGAAGCTATTCTATTTACCTTCTGTACAGTTTTCTACAGAATAACAATAATTATGGAGTGTAACTTTAGAAACCAACATTATGCATTCTATTGAGAGTGTCACATTTCACTGGAAAGCTGGAGACCCATTTAAAAAAAAAATCAACCACCAGGGAACTAAGGGTTAAATAAAACAGCTGAATGAACCTATGGTTAATATTTTTTTCAAGACTGTGGTAAAGCTTACATGCTTAAAAATTAGCCCTTTGGCACTGGCAGTTAGAGTTGTTTTGTACCTTGTACCTTTTTTTCAAATCTCAAGCTCTATTTCTCCCAAACCCCAGGGATCTGTCTGGTTGCCATACAATTCATTTACCTGCAAATTCACATTCTCCTTACAACCAAACATTACACTAGAAGTTCTATGTATAAGACTGTAAATAATTCTGAAACTTGTTCTTCCATTCCAATTTTAAGTTACTTTAGATTAAGGACATATGAAACTCCACAGAAAGATATGAATTAGACAAATAGGCACAACAGAGCAAAAGGGAAAACCTCTACAGAGTGGCATTCTAGTTCTAAAATGCCATTGTGACTAGCAGGGATAGAGATGGAAGAGGAACGGAAGTGCAAGGCCAAGAACACAGATTTAACAGAATTCAAGTCATCCAAAAACCAAGAGTTCTTTTTAAATAACTTGTTTTTAACTTCCTCTACCCCCATTCTGATTTCAGTTTTACCTTTTCTTCTGAACTTCTGATACAGCAGATACTCAGTGGTGATACAGTCAAGTTATAATGCATAACAAAGAAGGCAAAATATCAAGGCTCTCAGTGAGAAAATGTAGACCCCAAATAACTGAGCTTTTCATGACTGAGAAGCCATAACGTACTAGTTCCAAATAAATTAGTTTTGGATTGAGAAAGTACCAAAGTTCATCAATCCCACCATCTAAAACCTGACGGATTTATTCAAATGTTGAATTTATCCAATTTACCTAAATGCATCTCGAATTTAAACTCAACAGGGATTATTTTAAATTGCTTAGATGTTTTAAAGGTACATGAGTATAAGAAGTCCTTTCCAAAGATTTATTGCTACCACTAGGTTTTCCTTGATAGAATATGTCTGGGTAAGCTGACATATTAACCTTCTAAACTGCATCCTCTTTATAAGGATTTAAAAACTTTTTTCTACCTTATAATATGTATAGGAACAGTAAATTATTGCATCATAAAGTAGTATATGAAGATATGAAAAGGATGCTTTTATTCAATACTGTTTGCTGAAACTCACTTTTAAAAAAAGAGCTGCTCCTGGATGGGCGTGGTGGCTCACACCTGTAATCCCAGCACTTTGGGAGGCCAAGACGAGCAGATCACCTGAGGCCAGGAGTTCAAGAACAGCCTGACCAACATGGTGAAACCCCATATATACTAAAAATACAAAATTAGCTGGGTGTGGTGGTGCATGCCTGTAATCCCAGCTACTTGGGAGGCTGAGGCAGGAGAACTGCTTGAACCTGGGAGACAGAGGTCGCAGTGAGCCGAGATTGCGCCATTGCACTCCAGCCTGGGCAACAAGAGTGAAACTCCGTCTCAAAAAAAAAAAAAAAAAAAAGCTGCTCCTTAATCTCACTACCACATACCCAGAAATCACATACTGATGTCATGTGATACTGGCAGTGATTTATATTAGGATGAGCCCTAATCCAAAACTGTATGGAGTTTTCAAAGGTGCTTATCGTTCATACTCAAGTTCTTCTTGTGTATTTTCCCCACTATGTGAAGCGTTAGGGGGGTAAATTAGCAAAATCTGTAGGCAACAAATCTCAGGGCCAACCACCACCACAAAGAAAAATGTCAGTCACAGGATTCTGCGGCTACAGTTTGGATCACTATCCACTGGATTACACTCCTGGCAAACTACTAGCCCAACCAAATCCACAAGACAACAACATCACAAGGGCAAAGGAGGAAATCCATGCACAGCCATTTCAGGATCTCTTTGGGGCTATGATACAGTGATGATTAAAGGTAGAATGACACCTGTGGTAAAGGAGGGAGAGCGTGTGATATATATATATATCACAGAAAACCAAAGGGGCTCCTTACTCTTAGCTAGCAATCAACGCTGGATAGCTTCCTTTTGGCTCACTGACTTTTAAATCAAGTTCCAATATGGGTGAGAACATATTAAAGCACTTGTCTTCAGACTACAACTTTTCTGACCACATGGTGAAATGTGTACAGGAGTAGTGAAGAAAACAGCAGTTATACAAATATTTCACCCAAAGCACAAACTTTTGACATCAAAAACATAAATCACATAATGTACGAATATTGCTTTTTAATCTCTTTTTATATATACTTGTTCAATGCATTTACCTATCAATCCTTGTTTGGGAGAAGAACATAGTCATGAGATTAAGATTGCTGGGAAAACGTCAACAATCCCTTTGGTCCCAAAGCTGAAAACAGCTGAGAAAAGCACACATCTAGAAAGGGAACAAGAAACAGAGGCCACCAAAGAATCTTTTGAATATCCTGTTTGCTACGTTTCAGAAAATGTAACATTGGTATATTATAAAATAGTCATTTTCATAGAAAAGATGGTTCTTGCAGCATCAGTCACATCTCCCTTTAGGAATCATGTTGGCAAGGATCAGGGGTGTGTGTGTGTGTGTGTGTGTGTGTGTGTGTGTGTGTGTGTGTGTTTTAAAGAAGTCTAATTCGAAAACAAAAACGTGATATTGTCTCTCCAAAGGTAAAGAATGAGACCTTTCTTGTTTCAATCAGTGCTTTGATAAAAAGCAGGCTAAGCACTGAGGGTTGGCGTTCACAAGTGGGGCAGAGCCGTCACGGGGGATCCTTTCTTCCAGAAGCCTCGCCGTCACATGTCACTGGAAAGCTGGAGCACATCACAGCCGACCAGAAGCGCACGATGCCATCAGAATCCAGTGATCTGAGGAGGTTCCCAATTTCCCAGAACAACAGCCACGTTGCACTGTGACCTATCCTTCAGCTTCCTCAATTGGTTCTGGTGGTGGGAGTAGAGAAGCTGATGGCATGACTGTACTTGTTCCTCGAGAGACTCGGTCTTGCTCTGTGTTTGTAGACAGGGAGGCCACAGCAATAGGCTGCAGCAGAGTGGTTGTCATGCCAGTGGTGACTGTCAGGCTGTGGCCAGAGCCCTTGAGTGTAAGATCCGGGGTAGGAAGGAGTGGCTTGAGGATGCTGACGAGGCAGAAAGCAGATCCACTTTTAGGAATGAAATTCACCTTGTTTTTGTCAGGACAATAAAAGGCTGGGATTTCATGAAGCTGTTTTGGCCTAGACATAGAACAGACAACCCAATGCTTTTAAGTCACTGAACTTAAAAAATAAAAAAAAAAAAAAGCTTGGAAACAAGCTCTTTTATTTTTTAAAAACAGTTAACTTACATCACAGAAAAGGAATATAAAACTCAAGCTCTGTCCCCCACCTTCAAACATAAAGGACCAAAGTGCTATCTGACATATGATTCAACATATGTATCTTAGAATGCAAGAAGCCCCCATCATCATTGCTGCTTTCAGTTCCCTTGACAGCCCCATTACCATGCAGGTGGCTCAGCCCGATGAGCACTGCATGTCAATGATGAGCTAAGACGGTCAAGGGAATAATGAATTTCCTATAGCAAAAGAAAATCTAGATGTTTAAAGACATGTATGCCTTTATGTATGGTATATTCCACTGCCATGATTTTTCCGAGGTCTATAGTATACTGGAAGGAGACAGCAAGGAAATTAAAGATATACAATGTCCGTCTTTTGCTAAGTTCCACCACTGCATGACTAAAACTATGGTAGGCCTGGCTTTTCTCTTCAAGTGCTTGTAAAAATCTCTTTGATGGAAACAATTCTTTGAGTTAACCCTGATAGTTTTCTGAGCAATATAATGTAAATGTGAAATCAAAATGAAAACTCCTTTGCTTTGAAAGCTTTTTATTAAAGCCAAATCCTTCCCTTTTCCTAGGTCCTCCTGAAAATTAACCCAAATTGTTGAAAAAGATATTGGTATTAATGGTATTTCATGAAAATTAAAAGTATAAAAAAACTACATTGTTAAAGCAACACAGAAATGCCACAGAACTAAGGTGGGAGAACCTAAATAAATCAAGACTTAGGTTGATTCTCATCTCTTCCAATGACAATAAAAATCTAAATCAGCCAGCCATGGTGGTTCACACCTGTAATTTCAGCACTTTGGGAGTCTGAGCGGGGAGGCTTACTTGAACCCAGGAGTTCCAGACCAGCCTGGGCAACATAGTGAGACCTCGTCTTTATAAAAACCTTAAAAAAAAAAATAATCTAGTCTGACGGCATGCACCTGTAGTCCCTGCTACCTGGGAGGCTGAGGTGGGAGGATAGCTTGGCCCTGGGAGGTGGAGGTTGTACTGAGCCATAATCGGGCCACTGCACTCCAGCCTGGACAGCAGAGCAAGACCCTGTCTCACACACACACAAAAAATCTAAATCAGTTCAATAAAAATGCAAGTGTTCACTAAATTCTGAGGATACAAAGTTGAAACAATCCACAAGGAGGAGGTGGACTAAATTTATAGTTCTTGTGGGGTGAGGAGTGATGGGGACAGAGCTGTGTTTCAACATAACTAGCTTCCTTTATAATCTTGTGTATATGATGCATTTAAAACATTATTCAGAGAAGGGATCCACAAGCTTTACCACACAGACTGCCAAAGCTGTCCACAGCACAGAAGAGGTTAAGACCGCCACAAGAGAATCTAACAGGCATGATTACAGAGGTTTATAAAAAGGTTTACAGGTAGCACAAGGGGGTGGATAACCTGTGGCCTGTAGGAAGAGGGAGGGTTTGGTAGTAACCCTCTGAGCTGGGTTTTGAAGAATGAGTAAACAGCGGATGGGGAGTGGACACCAAAAAGATGTGTGTTCCAAGTAGACAATGATTAGGTGGGCAGATTTTTATTAACAGTGAACACTATGGAGAGCTTTGGCAAATATAACAATTAAGAACAAAGAAAAATACATCATGTAGGTTATGTTCAACTTGGGCACTATTCTTTGTAGAATAGTTGAGTACTTTTAGTGCCACAAGTATATTTGGATATATTACTGATAAGAACAACATACACCCTTCTATTTTTATCATCTGAGAGCATGATTTTCAATACACTGAACTTGAGGAAGTTGAGGTTATGTTTCCATAATTAAATAATGCCTTAAATTTTCCTTTGAAGACAGAATTACCGAAGTTAACTTTCATTCTTGTAGAATGAAAAACTTCTTGTAGAAAATGAAAAGGCTAATTTTAACAGTTCCATCCAAATGAGGGCTAGATTTTTAATTATTTGTTTGAGGTTATCTTCTTAAAAATGACTTAAGAAGGCCAGGCGCAGTGGCTCACGCTTGTAATCCCAGCACTTTGGGAGGCCAAGGCGAGCGGATCATGAGGTCAGGAGATCGAGACCATCCTGGCTAACACGTTGAAACCCTGTCTCTACTAAAAGATACAAAAAATTAGCCAAGCATGGTGGCGGATGCCTGTAGTCCCAGCTATTTGGGAGGCTGAGGCAGGAGAATGGCGCGAACCCGGGAGGTGGAGCTTGCAGTGAGCCAAGATCACACCACTGCACTCCAGCCTGGGCGACAGAGTGAGACTCTGTCTCAAAAAAAAAAAAAAAAAAAGACTTAAGACTCGTGGCTGCTAATAGGTCTCTGGGATGAAACTTCACATTTCTGAAGTACAAACTTCCTGATTTAGATAAAGTTTTTGATCTGGAATTGTTTTTTTAATGACAGGAATCTAAAAACCATGTAACTTCCTTGCTGCTTTCATGAAAACAGACTTACGATATACCTCACACAAAATAATGTAAACAGTAATAACTTGTCTAACTGATCAGATCGAGAAACAGAACATTAACACCAATATAACATAAAGCACCAAAAAAACTCTCCTTGTGCCTTCTTCTTCCTGTCATTACCCCAGCCCACCAAGAAGAATCACTTTCCTAACCTCTGTGGCTTCTAAGAGTGCATTACCCAAGAAAAACATGACCCACCACAGGATATGTGACCTACACATATGCTAGGAGAAGCTGCAAATACTAACGTTACTTCAAAGCACTCTTCAACTTACAAACCATACATAGAAAGAAAAAAACTCACGCTGTTTTTAAAATTTTATTTTTTCTTAAGCAGTTATTCTAAAAGGATTGTGTCTCAAAGTAGATATAACTTAAAAATGCCTCTATATTGCAAAGAAGCCATAATGTGTAAGAATCTAAGGACTTCATTAGCTGGGATCAGGAAAGAGTATATTCAACTTCATTAAAAAGGACTTACTAAGTGCAGATGACATGGCTATGGTATGTGCTGTTATCAAAAAGATTATAGAGACGGAAGTACAAAATCTGGTTTTGTCCTTTTTGGGCCCAAATCCAACCACCTATTTTCTTTCAGGTAAACAGACACATTTCTAGAAATCAGAGATCACTCCTCACCCCATCCCGACCCCCCAGTTCAGGTCAGAGTTAGTACTTTAAAGCAAAAGTAAGACTTAGTGAGAAAAGTATTCTTAAAAGAATGGCTAAAGCTAAAATGTTACATTGGGACCAACAATCTACCCTTGCTTTCATTGTGGTGTGCACGGTGGTTATTGTTCTAATTTTGACATATCTGGGACAAAAAGACACTAATTTTTTTAAAAGACTTTGAGTAACTTATTTTATTGACAAAAGGTTAAAATTACTTCTTAGATATCCACACTTAGTTACGACTGCTAATTTGTCTTTGGAACGTGATTAAAATATTAATAGTGTTACACAGTCTTTCTACCAGTAAAACGTATAATAAACATTACATTAAAAAAAAAAAAGAATAGGTTTACCTTCTACTAACAGATCAATGTGCCATAAAACATGTAACATGACTAGGCACGGTGGCTCATGCCTGTAATCCCAGCACTTTGGGAGGCAGAGGTGGTAGATCCACCTGAGGTCAGGAGTTCGAGACTAGCCTGGCCAATATGGTAAAACCCCATTTCTACTAAAAATACAAAACTTAGCCAGGCATGGTTGTGGGTGTCTGTAATCCCAGCTACTTGGGAGGCTGAGACAGGAGAATTGCTTGAACCTGGGTGGCAGAGGTTGCAGTGAGCCAAGATCATGCCATTGCACTCCAGCCTGGGTGACAAGAGTGAAACTCCATCTCAAGAAAAAAAATAAAAACAAAAACAAAAACAAAAAACCCAACCATGTAATATGTTAGGGTTTATCTTATGTTTGATCTATCTACAGACACACACACACACCTCTCTGGTCTTTTCTTCTCTCCCTTTAAAGATAAATAATGTAGTAGTACATAGCTCAGACACTGAGTCCTCAGAAACTTTCCAAATGCAATAGTCTAAGGCAGGTACCACAGGACACCACCCAACAAATATTTAAAGTCATTTCTTAAAAACAATCAAAATGCTTTGGAGCCAATCAACCAAATCTCTACATTTAGCACTTAGGCAAATCCTAAGGGCCAATGAGTAAATCAAAGAGCTCAACTCAGGCCGGATGCAGTGGCTCATGCCTATAGTCCCAGCATTTTAGGAGGCCAAGGCAGGTGGATCACTTGAGCCCAGGAGTTCAAGACCAGCCTGGGCACATGCCAAAACCCCATCTCTACAAAAACTAGCTGGGTGTGGTGGCATGCCTGTGGTCTCAGCTAACTGGGAGGCTGAGGTGAGAGAATTGCCTGAGCCCGGGGAGGTCAAGGCTGCAGTGAACTGTTGACTCCAATACTGCACTCCAGCCTGGGTGACAGAGTGAGAACCTGTCTCAGCAGGGCTGGCAGTGGAGGGGGGCAGGCACAACTCCAAAAAAGTACATTTGGGCTAACAGATTTTAACCTAATAGAATGAGCCCATTTCTGCTTTCCAGTTCCAAAATAGTGGCAAAGAAACACATGGTTCCACTCCCTGCCACAGAAAACCAAAAACAAATACGTATTACTGAGATGATTACTAGCAATATCCTAGAATTCAAATATGAAGAGACAGTTCCTGGGGCCACAGAGAAGTGAAAAAACTGAGAATCAGACTTCCACATCTGTGACAACCCTACCCTTATTCTGCCCAGCACAATTCATGGCTTCTACACTAGAAAAACTGAGACTGGGTTAGACAACCAGCTTCCCCACAATCCTGGGTTCCCTGACAAGACACTGCCTTAACCCATGGGAAGCATGGTAAATACATGAAAGGAAAAATATCCCCAAGGAAAGGCGAAGACAAAGAGGGGAGGCAGAAATACCATCCCCAGCCCTGGAAACTCTGTTGTGGAATTCGGTGAAAGGAGATGCCACATCACAGTGGTTCAGCAGCACCACACAGGTCCCTTCGGCAGGAACTCCGACCTAGCCTTCCCACGCTGCTGAGACCTTTGGGACCTCCCCCGTTCAGGAGCAGCAGCCAAACCTATATACCCCTAAATTCAACATGTAAACATGACTGGATACATGTTCACAAATGACAGCCACAGAAGACATTCTGCAAACAACTAAAGAAATTTGAGTAACAAGTGGATATTAGCTGATATTAAGCATTACTGTCAACTTTCTAAGATAATCGTACTGTGGTTATATAGTAGTACTGTGGTTACTTTTAGCAAATACTGCAAAATGTTAGCTATTATCTAATCTGAGTTGTAGATATATGAGTGATCACTATACTATTCTTTCAGCTTACTTAAAAATGCTGATAATAGGCTGGGCACAGTGGCTCATGCCTGCAATCCCAGCACTTCAGGAGGCTGAGGCAGGAGGATTGCTTGTGCCCAGGAGTTTGGGACCAGCCTGGACAACACAGTGAGACCCTGTCTCTCCAAACTTTAAAATATTAGCCAGGCTAGGCCAGGCGCAGTGGCTCATGCCTGTAATCCCAGCACTTTGGTAGGCCGAGGCAGGTGGATCACGAAGTCAGGAGATTGAGACCATCCTGGCTAACGCGGTGAAACCCCATCCCTACTAAAAATACAAAAAATTAGCCGGGCGTGGTGGTAGGCGCCTGTAGTCCCTGCTACTCAGGAGGCTGAGGCAGGAGAATGGCATGAACCCAGGAGGCAGAGATTGCAGTGAGCTGAGATTGTGCCACTGCACTCCAGCCTGGGTGTCAGAGTGAAACTCTGTCTCAAAAAAAAAAAAAAAAAATTAGCCAGGCTAGTGGTGTGCATCTGTATTCCCAGCTACTTGGGAGGTTGAGGTGGGAAGATAACTTGAGCTAAGGAGGTAGAGGTTGCAGTGTGACCTGTGACTGCATCAGTGCAGTCCAGCCTAGATGACAGAGTGAGATCCTATCTCAAAAAAAAAAGCTCATAATAGTTTTTTTGTGGGGATGGTGGAAGGGATACTTACGAGCATTCCTCAAAGACTTTGACCCTTTCACAGCCCTCAGGAGGTTCCCTTTTGAACATATAACTGTTGTTAGGTTTTGGTGAGGTTGCATATTTGGGCAAAGGAGAATTGTTCCCATTCTCTGCAAGAAATGACACATTAGATTACTACATAAATGTATAGTCATACTATATTTAATTGTTCTTGGACTAGCCCACCATGAACTACTTGAGGGCAGGAACAGTGCTTTATTAATCAAGGAGATAATTAATGTTTGTTAAATAAATGCACACACAAATAAAATATTTATTTCACTTCCACTTACAATTACCATAGCCTAGGCCTGTATCACATAATCCTCAGTAGTGAACACTGATCTAGCTGGCTGCCTTATTTCTATTCTTTACAAAACAAATGCACTCAAACACTACTTCCATTTTTCCCAGTACAAATATCTGAAATGGTTCTTCATTGGTTGCTGATGACTAATTCTTGGCCTGTGCTTCAAAATTTCTCAGTTTGATTTCTCTGCTCCGCTGGTTACAATCTTTGCTCCAGGTAGTGAGAGCTACCGGATGCCAAACATTTTTTTTGCCTATGAATTTCCCCTTACCTAAAAGGAGTAAGTTCTGTTTATTTTCCAAAAGGTCCTTCAAAGTCTGGCTCTGACTCAAGTTTTTTGAAATCTTTCTAAATTAACCCTATCAGGAGGAACATTTCTTTACTCTGATATTCTTGTTTAGTGCTGATATCCTCAATTTATATTAACTTAAAAATTTTAATATGTTAAATATCTGTTCTAAATTTTCAGTCTGTACCAGCTAAGCTACAAACTCCTTGCTGGCAGCAGCACTACAGCCCAGTTTTCCTACAAAAGAAATTCACAGAGGCCAACCAGCTACTAAAATCAAATGGATCAGGACACAACATTTATTGAGTTTATTTATTTATAGACTTTCTACATGTTATTGACGTAGAAGTAGAAAGTATGGGAAATCAAGGGCCAGATTTTATCTGACCCGTGTTTTATCAGACCTAGAAGCTAGCAATAAAAGTCCAAAGAGTAACAGTTTACAACTTCCCACAGTTTAAAGTAACTTCTTCAGTGAATCGTCTGTCTTCTGCGCTTGTCACAGTTTTAATGTCTTAGGTGATGAGTAGTAGTAGCAGCCAGTCCTAACAGCAGGGCATTTTAGGACATTCAACACACTGTATGGAGGAGGTTCTAAATAAATGACTACTGAACTGAGCTTTAGAATTTATAAATAAATGTCATTATTATTGCTTTCAAGTACACAACGTAACCAGGATTAGGCTAAGAAAATACTGTCCTGACATAGATGCAAGGCTAATATTTGTTTTAAAAGGCAAGAATATTTGTAATTAACATTCAAACTGCTTCTATTTCCAAGTAACTTCTAAGGTATTTTAAGGTTATTTTTAAAAGTACCCTCCAACGTTTTACATCAGGCTTGCTTTAAACACTCATCCTGCATTGATATAAATCTGTTTAATCCTTGTTTAAAATGTCACAAGTACAGATCCTAAAAAACACTAACTTGAAGGCTTTGTATTGATTTAAAAAGCATTAAGGTAATAAAATCATGACTATCAGGTGACAGAGACCAAAGTGCTTTTCAGAGCAAGTGCTCATCTCATTTATTCCAAAAAGAATGTTTCTCACCAATAAGGAAGTTGTATTAACAAGTGCAAAAAAAGAGCTACAAACTAACAAAAGCTCATAAACTTGCCCAACTAGACCATCAACTGAGCATGACAGTCAAACCTGTTTACACTCCAAATTGAAAACCTAGGCTTTGAACACATTAACTGAGTAGCCTCGAGTGTGTGTGTTCTGCTAGAAAATGAATAGAATGAATGATACAAGAGGAGGTATTCCATTATCATCTAGTAGCACATTCCTCCAGCACTGTACCTTTATCTCTGGGATCAACAAGCAGGTCATCCGCTGAGCAAGGACTCTCCTCGCTACCTTCATTGGAAATGGTGAGGAACGATGTTGGGGACACGGACTGGGAACGGCTGCTGTTGTTGCTTCCCCTGTCTGCCCCACCAGGCGTCTGTGTGTCAATGCTGCGCGTGCTGCTACTTCTCTGTACAAGGGGGGGTGGAGCACGATGGCCATCTGGAATATCTTGCGGCTGTTACAAAATTGTAAAAACATAGGTATATTTATAATTAATTTCGAATCACCAGCAATGAACCCAATGTCAACCTTCCCATATAGTGCCAGAGACTCACAAATCAGAAATCCCTTCCTACTTATTAGGATTTCATGTTGCACGTTAGTGACATCCCTGTCTAATCTGACCCCCACACTGAGAGTCTTCGGTGAAGACTTTGTATTCCCAAGGCCAGGCATACAGCAGGTGGCCAATGCTTGCTGAATAAATGAATTGTACTGAATCACTTATCGTGTGCTAAGGGTTATTTTAAAAATTATAAATGAGGGCCATGAAATCTAGGTGTAACACTAGGTTCCACATTAGAGGAAAAAGGTTATTCATCATGTGAACCAGGAACACTGATGCCACGCCCTGAAAGGATTTTTTCAAGTCAACCTTCCTAAATGGGGGAAAGGTTAATCACAGAAGTGCTGTTGATGGGGAGAAAATCAAGTACACACACAGAGGAAAGCCTGTGTGGATCACTTAGCAAGGAAACCAACTCCCTGCACGTCTTTGATTCATTTACCTTTATTACATCAGGGAATCTGTACCCCATCAAGCAGGATGGAGGAGAGGGTGTGGGGAGCTGTATTTTCTCTAAGCTAAACCAACCTTTTATCTTAAGGGAGAGGATCTTAAGCATCAATACAATACTCAATTCCTCCTTCACTAAAGAATAGAGAGACGGTTAGATAAATAAATATACTCTGTGGCATGGTTTTTAAACCAAAACAGTTAATTTTTCTGTTTTACATAGCAACTATTCTCATGTGTATTCTAGTCAGTAAAGAGAATAGGCAGAATTTTTTTTTTTTTCGATCTCAGCTCACTGCAACCTTCACCTCCCGGGTTCAAGCGATTCTCCCTGCTTCCCAAGTAGCTGGGATTACAGGCACGCACCACCATGCCCAGCTTATTTTTGTATTCTTTTAGTAGAGACGGGGTTTCACCATGTTGGCCAGATGGGTCTTGAACTCCTGACCTCAGGTGATCCGCCCACCTTGGCCTCCCAAAGTGTTGGGATTACAGGTGTGAGCCACTGTGCACAGCCAGATAATTTCTAAATGTACTTTATGATGACATAGCCTAGCATGTCAACCAAAACCAAATAGTCACTGACATTCAAAAAAGGAGCAGACAGATTCATGCTTAGAAGGTATTCAATGTCATGTAAACTTCTGCCCCCCATAATTAGTAAGCTAAACTTTTGTTAACTGGAGTTACAGCAAATAAGAAGTATATCACCTAATGGTTTCTAAATACAGACAAACAAAAAATAGTTTCTGTTCAGTAATCCAAATTCAAGTCAGATCAGTTGCCTCTATGACATGCAACAAAATGAAAACTTTTCATTCACTCACCCAGGTCAAAGATTTTTCAAAAGAGATAAATTTTTGCTCTCTCAATGAGAAGGAAGAAACCCAAGTAAATATGGAAACCCAAACTGTGCATTTTTAATAATTATAAGAGTTCAAGAATGATTTTAAGATACAAGATCACTTACTATAAGTTGCTCTTCCTTTTCCCCAGTCTCTTTAATTATTATTTCAATCTCCTGATTCAATCCTTCCACGCTATTCCGGAACCGGGAGCCTGTTGATTTGGTGATGGGAATTACAGGAATAAGTGCACTCTTTGGAACAGGAGCCTTAAGAAAATGGGATGGAGAAGAGAGGCTTAACATTACCTTTTAATTTTCTAGGCTGAAGCGTAATTCCAACAGACATAAGTAACTCAAAAATAAATCAAAGTTTACAGGCCTCACAAAAAGTGTGAGTGACCAAACCTGCTCCTTAGCATGTATGAAATATAATTTAAAACCCAAATCCCACACAATGAAGGTAGGATTTTGAACATTTATTCACATCTGTGAACGACTGCAAAGGGAACAGGGATAAATAAATATAGTAAAAGAATGTCAACCTCAGAAATTCTTTTACGACTGTAACAGAGCTCAGATTTCAGAATATAACTTTAAACTCTCCTAGTGCCACAATGATACAGTTTGGATGTCTCACCCAAATCATGGGGGTGGATCTCTCATGAATGGTTTAGCACAGTCCCTCTTAGTACTGTGAGTTCTTACGAAATCTGGTTGTTTAAAGGTGTGTAGCGCCTCCCACTTCTCTCTCTTGCTCCTGCTTGGCCATGTGACCTGTGTCTTTCCCCCTTTGCCTTCCACCATGATTTAAGTTTCCTGAGGCCTCCCCGGACACCAAGTAAATGCCAGCGTCATGCTTCCTGTACAGCCTGCAGAACTGTTAGTCAATTAAGCCTCTTTTTTTTTTTTTTTTTTTGAGACGAATCTCACTCTGTCACCCAGGTTGGAGCACAGTGATGTGATCTCGGCTCACTGCAACCTCTACCTCCCATGTTCAAGCGACTCTTCTGCCTCAGCCTCCTGAGTAGCTGGGACTACAGGCACCCGCCACCACACCTGGCTAATTTTTTTGGTATTTTTAGTAGAGACGGGGTTTCACCATATTGGCCAGGCTGGTCTCAAACTCCTGACCTTGTGATCCGCCCATGTCAGCCTCCCAAAGTGCTGGGATTACAGGTGTGAGCCACCATGCACAGCCCCTGTTTTCTTTATAAATTACCCAGTCTCAGGTATTTACAGCAACATGAGAACAGATTAATCTATATAATTATTTATATTCTGGGGGGGGTTTATTATTGTTTTTGTTTCTTCTTAAAAAAAATAAGATACATGTGCAGAACATGCAGGTTTGTTACAAAGGTACACGTGTGCCATAGTGGTTTGCTGCACCTATTGACCAGTCCTCTAAGTTCCCTCTCTTCACCTCCCACCTCAAACAGGCCCTGGTGTGTGTTCCCCTCTATGTGCCCATGTGTTCTCATTGTTCAACTCCCACTTATGAGTGAGAACATGCGGTGTTCAGTTTTCTGTTCTTGTGTTAGTTTGCTAAGGATGATGGCTTCCAGCTTCATCCATGTCCTTGCAAAGGACATGATCTCATTCCTTTTTATGGCTGCATAGTATTCCATGAAGTATATGTACCACATTTTCTTTATCTGGTCTATCATTGATGGCATTTCAGTTGGTTCCATGTCTTTGCTATTGTAAACAGTGCTGCAATAAACACATATGTGCATGTGTCTTTATAGTAGAATGATTTATAACCCTTTGGGTATATATTCAGTAATGGGATTGCTGGGTCAAATGGTATTTCTGGTTCTAGATCCTTGAGGAATTGCCATACTGTCTTCCATAATCGTTGAACTAATTTACACTCCCACCAACAGTGTAAAAGCATTCCTATTTCTCCACAGCCTCACCAGCATCTATTGTTTTCTGACTTATTTTAATAATTGCCATTCTGACTGGCGTGAGATGGTATCACATTGTGGTTTTCATTTGCATTTCTCTGATGATCAGTGATGTTGAGTTTTTCATGTTTTTTTTTTTTTACATGTTTGTTGGCCGTGTAAATGTCTTCTTTTAAGAAGAGTCTGTTCATATCCTTTGTCCATTTTTTGATGGGGTTGCTTTTTTCTTGTAAATTTGTTTAAGTTCCTTGTAAATTCTGGATATTAAACCTCTGTCAGATGGGTAGATTGCAAAAGTTTTCTCCCATTCTGTAGGTTGCCTGTTCACTCTGATGATAGTTTCTTTTGCTGAGCAGAAGCTCTTTAGCTTAATTAGATCCCATTTGTCAATTTTGGCTTTTGTTGCAATTGCTTTTGGTGTTTTTGTCATGAAGTCTTTGCCCATGCCTGTGTCCTGAATGGTATTGCCTAGGTTTTCTTCTAGGGTTTTTATGCTTTTGGGTTTTACATTTAAGTCTTTAATCCATCTTAATTTTTGTATAAGGTATAAGGAAGAGGTCCAGTTTCAGTTTTCTGCATATGGCTAGCCAGTTTTCCTAGCACCATTTACTGAATAGGAGATCCTTTCCTCATTGCTTGTTTTTGTCAGGTTTGTCAAGGATCAGATGGTTGTAGATGTGTGGTGTTATTTCTAAGGTCTCTGTCCTGCTCCGTTGGTCTATATGTCTGCTTTGGTACCAGTACCATGCTGTTTTGGTTACTGTAGCCTTATAGTATAGTTTGAAGTCAGGTAGCATGATGCCTCCAGCTTTGTACTTTTTGCTTAGGATTGTCTTGGCTATATACAGGGTCTTCTTTGATTCCATATGAAATTTAAAATAGTTTTTCTAATTCTGTAAAGAATGTCAATGGTAGTTTGATGGGAATAGCATTGAATCTATAAATTACTTTGGGCAGTATGGCCATTTTCACAATATGACTTATTTATTTAACAGAACCACTTCCAAAATCTATGTAGAGATTTTTAAATTAAAAATGTTTTTATTGTCACAGTATTACTTTTGGAAAGAACTATCTGGTTACATAATTACAGGATATTACTTGTTTCCTGACAAGATATTCAAAATAAAATATGAAACAAGCATTAACAGAGGTATCCGCCAAAGCTAGTAACATCAGTGTGCCAGATAAACATCTTGCAGATTCTTCTGCTGTCTAGCAAAGAAATGTGATTAACCTATCCTTCATTTAGGAAAGTTTCTTTGGAAAACCTCTTTCAGGAAGAGGTGGGCAAGAAGACAAAGGTAACAGACAAAGACAAAGGAAGACAAAGGTAACACTGATTAGAAATGATTCTAATCAATGACCATCAGTTTTATTCCCTGATAATCTTGCTGTCTGATACAGAACTTAGTGTTAAATCTCTATTTCTCCTTTTATTCCTGCTCCCCTTCAGAACTGGAAAAAAAAAAAAAAAAGAAAAAGCATAATAAATACAACAAGAATCCTTGGCAAACACAAGAAATCTGTGATTAAAAAAGGCCAAGGGGAAGCTCCACGCAGAAGTGCTGAGAGAGGATGTCTCCACTGCTCAGTTAGTGTTGGGTCCTCATATGTAACACAGGACACAGAAACCTACCTCATGGCTTTAAAGATGAAATGACAGGAAACCTGGTATGGTGCCTGGCGTCTAAAGCATGAATGCTCAGAAAACAGTAGCTGCAATTTTTATTTTGTATTTTCCCTATTATGTATTTTATTCTTAAAATAATTATCTTTTCACATTTTTTTCAAGTGTCACTTATTTTCTTTCACATATAGTGTCTCCTAATTTTTCCCTTTTTATAAGTCCCTCTGTTCCCACATTCCCCACAGCCTCAAGCTTCTGTATTACTTATTCCCTTTACTTCCATCTCTTCTTTCTGATCCCTTTTCCATTCTCAGCATCCACTACCAAAGGAAAGAAAATTTTAAGTTTGGGTGTTCTATAAGTGTTTTATAGAGAAAATTTATATAATTTTTAAAAATTCAACTTATATTTTTGAGCCACTCTCCATAGCTCAGATCTTTGGTGCACAGATATACAATTGTCAAAACCTATTTTTTTTTTTTTTTTTTTTTTTGAGATGGAGTCTCGGTCTGTCTCCTAGGCTGGAGTGCAGTGGTGCAATCTCAGCTCACTGCAACCACAGCCTCCCGGGTTCAAGTGATTCTTGTGCCTCAGCCTCCCGAGTAGCTGGGATTACAGGCACCCGCGACAACGCCCAGCTAAATTTTTGTATATTTAGTAGAGATGATGAGGTTTCGCAACGTTGGCCTGGCTGGTCTCAAATTCCTGACCTCAGGTGATCCACCACCTGGACCTCCCAAAGTGCTGGGATTACAGGCGTGAGCCACTGTGTCCAGCCTCAAAACTATTTTTTTGAGGAAGATCTTAGCCATATCCATAGATCTATTCTCTTAGTCTAGTTCATTTGATGTGAACACTTGTCCTGGTTAGACCCTTTCAGCTTTCATAAGCGGTGACAACTCTATATACAGTTTAGTGGGTGGCTAAAGCACAATCAATGTCATAAATCAAGTACTGGTCAGACAATAAAACTTTAAGTCACTAACACTCCATAGGTATAAAAACTCAAATTTCTGATGTAACCTGCAGTAGTCAGCTGAGCTATAAACTTCAAGTAACACAGAGTGATCTGTAAAGAATGATGCAATTTTTAGGTGAATTGTAAAATAATTTTGCAAATTTGCAAACAGAAAATTATGGGACTAAAGCTTATCTATATGTCTTCAAGGGTTTAGCCCTTATATTTTTTGATTTTCCCTTTCCTCAAATATAAACATAAATTCTATGTTTATAGAATAAATTCTATAATTTCTCTCTAGAAACCTACACACCTAATTTCTCAACATTTTCTGTTCTACCTACTGGAACAAAAGTTTCATATACGCCAGATATTTCACAAAAGCAGGAAGTGAAAAGAACATTCTTCCTTTGCCCCTTCATGTTTATTCAACCAAAAGCCAATGCATGCGTATAAAACAGACACACACACAGATTTATATTTCACCCAGAAAAAAAGACTATTTCCCCAAAATATCAGAAGCAAGCTACACCTGGGAACAGAGGTGGTATTTTTTTCTTTTGGATTATTTTTCTACAATTAACCTGAGGAGAGAAACTATGTCTTATTAATCTCTTTAGTGCCACTGCCAAGCACAGAGCCTAGAACATATAAGATGCTTGTTCAACAAGGCTGGTATATGGATGTGTGTGTCCCCCCAAAATCATATGTTGAAGCCCTAACTGCCAATGTGGCTGTATTTGGACATGGGGCATCTAAGGCAGTAGTTGAGTTTTGTTTTGTTGTTGTTGTTTGAGACAGGGTCTCACCTTGTTGCCCAGGCTGGAGTGCAGTGGCATGATCTTGGCTCACTACAACCTCTGCCTCCTGGCCTCAGGCGATCCTCCCACCTCAGCCTCCCGAGTAGCTGGGATTACAGGCACATGCCACCATGCCTGGCTAATTTTTGTACTTTTTTGGTAGAGACAGGGTTTTACCATGTTGCCCAGGCTGGCCTCAAACTCCTGGGCTCAAGCAATCAGACAGCCTCAGCCTCTCAAAGTGCTGACATTACAAACATGAGCCACTGTGCCCACTCAGCAGTAAAGTTTAAATTAGGTCATATGGGGGAGGCAGCCCCGGTCCAAGAGGACACCAGAGAGTCACCTCCCATTCCCATGCACACGAAGAGCTCATATAAGCACACAGCAAGAAGGGAGCTGTCTGCAACCCAAGGGGAGAACCCTCAACCAAATACCAACCCTGCTGGCACCTTGATCTTGCACTTAAGAGTCTCCAGAACTGGAAGATAAATTTCTGTTGTGTAAAGTCACGTAGTCTATGCATAATATTTTGTTATGGCTGCCTGAAGAGACTAATACACTCACCTTTAATTTTTTTTATTTCTACAGTTTTCAATAGACTTAAGAACATACTTAAACATAAGCCAGAGATATAGTGATCCAGAGAACTTGAATATGTCCATAAAAAGTCTGCCCTGAGAAACTATTTTTAACTTCATTGTTTACTCTTTTTTTATTTAAATAATTTTAAAAATATAATTAGAGATAGGGTCTCACTATGTTGCCCGGGCTGGTCTCAAACTCCTGGCCTCAAGTGATCCTCCCAGCCTTGACCTCCCAAAGTACAGGGATTACAAGCATGAGTCACTGTGCCTGGACTGCCATTGTTTTCTTTATTGCAAAAGTAAAAAAAATATTCAGTGAAGAAAGAAAATTAAATACATGTCAATCACCAGAGATAACAACTATTAATAATTTTATAAAAACTCTTCTATCTAGTCCTTTTTCTTCTATATACATATACACTTTTAACCAGAAACAGATCGTACCTAGTGTTCTGAACCCAGTGGTTTTTTTTTTTTAACATTATACCAGACCTGTAACCTATCTCTATGCTTTAAAACGTTTAACCAAATCATTTTTATAGTTGCATAATTTTTTTATGAGGGCATTACTTAAGAAATCAATGCTCTATTAAACAAATAGTTTTCAATTTTTCACTATTACAGAACCATACTGTCATGCACATCCTCCTAGACAATTATTTGCACACATATGTAAATACTTCCTTAGAATAAATTCCTGGGGTGAGGAGCTATTTTCCTGGGGGGACATAAAGGATAGTAAAGATTTTTCAGGACTTTGATTCATAATGCCAAACCAAATAGTAAAATATTTTTACTCCTCACATTTTTATCTGCACTCTATGAATATATATGTTTCATGAAACTCTCTAAATTGGATTTATTTTTTCTAAACCTTTGCTAAGTTTCATAAACTACCAGTGCTCTCATTCCTTCAGTTTTTATATTGTAGAATACACAATGAAATACTCATCAGTTATGTATACACATGTACACGCACACACACAACCACATTTTTCTTTATTCATTCAACTGTTGATGGGCACTTAGGTTGATTCCATACAATGGCTACCGAGAGTGGCTACGATAAACATGTGAGCGCAGGGTATCCCTTTGATATGTTAATTTTTGTCTTTTTGATAACAGCCATTCTAACAGGGGTGAGGTGATATCTCATTATGGATTTGGATTTGATTTGCATTTCCCTGATGACTAGTAAAGATGAACTTTTTAAAATATATATTTGTTGGCCATTTAATCTATGTCTTTTTTTGAGAAATGTCTAGTCAGACATTTAATCTGTCTCTTCTAAGAAATGTCTAGTCAGATTGCCCATTTTTTAATGGGATTCTTTGTTGTTGTTGTTTTTTGCTATTGAGTTCCTTGAAGATTCTCGATGTTAGTTCCTTGTTGGATGAATAGTTTGCAAATATTTTCCTCCATTCAACAGGTTTTCTCTTCACTCTGTTGTTTCCTTTGCTGTACAGAAGCTTTTAAATTTAATATAGTCTCATTTGTATATATTTTTTTGTTACCTAGGCTTTTGTAGTCCTAGCCATAAAATCTTTGCCTAGACCAATGTGCTGAAACATTTCCCCTATGTTTTCTTCCAGGAGTTTTGTAGTTTTGGGTCTTACCTTTAAGGCTTTAATCCATTTTAGGTCGATTTTTATATGTGGTAAGAGATAATGGTCTACTTTCATCCTTCTGCATAAATCAGTTTTCCCAGCACTATTTATTGAAGATGTTCTTTCCTCCAGTGTATGTTCTTAGCACTTCTGTGAAAAATCAGCTGGCTGAAATGCATGAATTTATTTCTGGGTTCTTTATTCTGTTCCGTGGATCCATGCTGTTTGGATGACTATAGCTTTGTGTAATATATTTTGAAGTCAGGTAGTATGATGCCTCTAGCTTTGTTCTTTTTGCTTTGTATGGCTCTATTTGGGGACTTTTGTGGTTCCATTCAAATCTTAGGATTGTTTCTTCTATTTCTGTGAAGAATGTCATTGGTACTTTAACATAAACAATTAATATTTTAATTGCAATCAATCTATAGATTGCTTTGGATAGTATGGTCATTTTAACAACATGAATTCTTCCTATGAACATAGGATATCTTTCCATTTGTGTCCTCTTCAATTTCTTTCATTAGTGTTTGCAGTTTTTGTTGTAGATATCTTTCATTTCCTTGGTTAAATTTATTCTCAGGGTTTTTTATTGTTGTTCTTTTTTAGCTATTGTAACCTGAATTGCTTTCTTTATTTCTTTTTTAGCTAGTTCACTGTGAGTGTATAGAAACACTACTCATTTTTATATATTGACTTTGTATCCAGCGACTTTAGTAAATTCATTTATCAGTTTTGTGATTTTTTTTGTAGTCTTTTGGTTCTTATTTTATGTACAGATAAATTGGAATGGGTAGGTTTTTCCATATATAAGATCATGTCATTTGTAAAGAAAAATTTGACTTTCTGTCTTCCAGTTTGGATGCCTTTTTTTTCTTTCATCTGGTTGCTCTGGCTAGGACCCCCAGTACTATACTGAATAACTGGTGAAAATGGGCACCCTTGTCGTGTTTCAGTTCTTAGAGGAAAGGCTTTCTGCTTTTCCCCATTCAGTACAATTTAGCTGTGGGTTTGTCACCTATTGCTTTTATTATGTCAAGGTATTTTCCTTCTATGCCTAATTTGTTGAGAGTTTTTACCATGGATGAGTGCTGAATTTTATCACATGGTTTTTCTGTATCTATTACAATGATTGTTGGTTTTTGTCCTACATTCTGTTGATGTGATATATCACATTTATTGATTTGTCTATGTTGAACCATCTTTGCATCACTGGAATAAATCCCACTTAATCTTGCTATATTACCTTTTTGATGTGTTGTTAGATCTGGTTTGCCAGTATTTTGCTCAGGATTTTTGCATCTATGTTCAATAGGGATACTGGCCCATAGTGGGTTTTTGTGTTTTTTTTTGTTTTGTTTTTTTTTCCGGTGGTGGCTGTTGTGCCTGTGTCTGGTTTTGGTACAGGGTAATGCTGGCCTCATAAAATGAGTTAGGAGAAACTCCTTCCTCTATAATTGTTTGCAATAGTTTGAGAAGAACTGGTGCTAGTTCTATTTTATGTCTGTTAAAATTCAGCAGTAAAACCATTTAGTTCTGGGCTTTTCTTTGTTGGGACAATTTTTATTACTGATTCAATCTCATAACCAGTAACATGGTTTGTTCAGGTTTTCTACTATTTCCTGGTTCAATCTTGGTAGGCTGTATGTGTCAATGAAATTACCCATTTCCTCTAGGTTTTCCAATTTGTTAGTGTATAGTTGTTCACGCTTATCTTTAATAATCTTTCTTCTAATACTTTTCGGTTTGGTTTGTTCTTACTTTTCTAGTTCCTTGAGGTACACTCTTCAGATTGTTTATTTGAAATCTTTTTTTTTAATGGAGGCATTTATTGGTATATACTTTCCTCTTAGCAATTCTTATACTGTATCTCATAGGTTTTGGTATGTTGTACTTGCATTTTCATTTGCTTCAAGAAATTTTTTTTTATTTCCTTTATTTCTTCATTGACCAATGGTCATTGAGGAGCATGTTAACTTCCATGTATCTGCACAGTTTCCAAATTTCCTTCTTGTTACTGATTCCTAGTTCTAGTCTGTGATTCCTAGTTCTAGTCTGTGGTATGAGAAGATACTTGATAACTTCAATATTTAAAAATTTGTTGAGATATGTTTTGGGGCCTAACATATGGTCTATCCTGGAGAATGTTCCATGTGCTGATATGTGTATGTGTATTCTGTAGCTATTGGATGAAAAATTCTGTAAATGTCTATTAGTTCAATTTGACCTACAGTGCAGATTAAGTGCAATGTTTCTTTCTTGACTTTCTATATAGATGATCTGTTTGATGCTGAAAGTGAGGTCTTGAAGTCTCCAACTATTATTGCATTGGGGTCTATTTCTCTCTTTAAGCTCTAACACTGTTTGCATTATACACTTGGTGCTCTGGTGTAAGGTGCATATATATTTACAATTGTTATATCCTCTTGCTGAATTAATCCCTTTATCATTACATATAATAACCTTCTTTGTCTTTTTGGTTTTTGACTTGATGTCTATTTTGTGTTATACAAATACAGCGAATCCTGCATACTTTTGGTTTCCATTTGCGTGGAATAGCCTTTTCCATCCCTTCACTTTAAATCAATATGTGTTTTTACAGGGGAAGTGAGTTTCTTGCAGGCAGCATACTAATGGTTCTTATTTTATTACCCATTCAGCCAGTCTACATCTTCTAATTAAAGCCATTTACATTCAAGGTTGTTGTTGATAGGTAAGAACTTACTCCTGTCAGTCACTTTAATTGTTTTTTTGATTGTTTTGTATATCCTTTGTTCCTTTCTTCCTCTTTTATTGTTTACCTTTAGATGTGGTGGGCTTCTTGTAGTGATAATATTTGACTTTCTCTTTCTGATTTATGTCTGCTCAACCAGTGAATTTTACATGTCTGTGTGTTTTCATGATGGTAGATATCCTCCTTTCATTTCCAGATGTAGGACTTGCTTAAGTATTCCTTGTAGGGCTGACCTAGTGGTGATTAATTCCCTCAGTTCTTGCCTGTCTAGAAAAGACTTATTTTGCCTTTTTTTTTTTTTTGACACAGAGTCTCACTCTGTCACTCAAGATGGAGTGCAGTGACACAATCTCCACTCACTGCAACCTCTGCCTCCTGGGTTCAAGAGATTCTCATGCCTCAGCCACCTGAGTAGCTGGGACTACAGGAGTGCACCACCACGCCCAGTTAATTTTTGTATTTTTAGTAGAGACAGGGTTTTGTCATGTTGGCCAGGCTGGTCTCAAACTCCTGACCACAAGATCTGCCTGCCTCAGCCTCCCAAAGTGCTAGGATTACAGGCATGAAAGACCATGCCCAGCCTTTTTTTTTTTTTTTTTTTTTTTGAGACAGAGTCTCACTCTATCACCCAGGCTGGAGTGCAGTGGCGCAATCTTGGCTCATTGCAACCTCTGCCTCCCGGGTTCAAGTGATTCTCTTGTCTCAGACTCCCGAGTAGCTGGGATTACAGGAACCTGCCACCATGCCCAGCTAATTTTTTTTGTATTTTTAGTAGAGATGGGGTTTTGCCATGTTGGCCAGGCTGATCTCGAACTCCTGATCTCAGGTGATCTGCCCACCTTGTACTCCCAAAGTGCTGGGATTTACAAGCGTGAGCCACCATGCCCAGCCAACTTTCCTTTATTTTTGAAGGATATTATTCCTGGGTAAAATATTTTTGGCTAGCAGTCTTTTTTCTTTCAGCACTTTGAATATATCATCCCATTCTCTCCTGGCCTGTAAAGTTTTGGCTGAAAAACTTACTATTAGTCTGATGGTGCTATCATTGGGATGTTTGTTCCTCCAAACCTCATGTTGAAATCTGATGCACAATATTGAAGGTGGGGCGTAACGGGAAGTGTTTGGGACATGGAGGCAGATTTCTCATGAATAGATTAATACTTTTCTCTAGGGAAGAAGTGAATTCACTCCGTTAGTTCCTGCAATAGCTGGAGGTTAAAAAGAGTCTGGCACCATGCCTCTATCTCTCTTGCTTCCTCACTTGATATGTTATCTCTGCACACACTGGCTCCCCTTCACCTTCCGCCATGAGTGGATGCAGTCTGAGGTTCTGGACAGTCTACAGAACCACAAGCCAAATAAAACCCTTACCTTTATAAATAAACCAGCCTTGGGTATTCTTTTACAGAAACACAAACGAACTAAGACAGACGGGGATTCTCTTACATGTGACTTGACACTTCTCTCTTGTTTTTGGAATTCTGTCTTTGACTTTTGACAGTTTGACTATAATATGACTTGGAGAAGACCTTTTTGGGTTAAATCTATTTGGGGATCTTTGAACTTCCTGTATCTGTATATCCATATCTCTTGTAAGACTGAGGGAGTTTTCAGCTATTACTTCACTCAATAGGTTTTCGATGCCTTTGACCATCTCTTCTTCTGGAAGTCTCAAAACTCAAATACTTGGTTGCTTGTTGCTTCCTATATGTCACAGAGGCTTTGTCATCCCTTTTTATTCTTTTTTGACTGGATTGTTTCAAAAGACCTGTCTTCAAGTTGAGAAATTCTTTCTTTTGCTTGATCTAGTCTATTGCTAAAGCTCTCAACTGAATTTTTATTTCATTCTTTGATTTCTTCAGCTCCATGATTTGTTTGGTTCTTTTTAATCTATCTATCTCTTTTATTCAATTACTCATTCAAATAAATTATTTTCCTGATTCTTTGTATTGTTTGTGTTCTTTTGTATGTCATTGAGTTTCTTTGATATCACTGTTTTGAACTGTTTTTCAGGAATTTCACCAATCTCCTTTTCTTTGGGATCTGTTACTGAAGAATTATTGGGCTCCTCTGGAGATGCCATGGTTCCTTGCTTTTCTACTTTTCTTGTATCCTTATATTAATACTTGTACATTTAGTATAACAGTCACTTCCTCCAATTTTTTGAATTGGCTTTCATAGGGAAAGCCTTTTTCCTATAGATTTATCTGTTGCGTTGCTTGGGTAGCTTTGTCTTTGATTCTGGGTGGGTGCAGTAGTGTAGTCTCTATATGATTTCTTTGGCCATAATCAGCAACAGTGGTGTCTCTGAGTTTCTCAGCAGCTTAAGCTGGAGTTGTCAGTGAAGGCTGTGGTAAGGCTTTGCAGGGTACAGGAATACTAGCCAGGCTAGTCCTCAGGCATCAGCAGTGGTGGCAGTGGGCCTGGTGTGCTGGTCCTTAGACCCCTGGGTGGCACAGACAAGCACCAGTATTGGTGGGTCTGGGTAAGCTAGTCCTTGGGTTTCCATGTGGCATGCTCAGGTGCCAGTGGTGAGCTGGGCAGGTGGGTCCTCAGGACTCTGGGCATTGTGTGTGGTGTTGGCAGTGCAGTAGCAGTGGTGGACTGAGTAGGTCAGTCTCCAGGCCCCGAGGTGGTTTGTGTGACTCAGTGGCAGCAGCAGGCTGCATGGGCCAATCCTCAGACTCCCAAGAGGTGCTTGTGGGGGCTGGTGGCAGGCAAGGGCCATCCTTATGCCACTGGAGGGTGCATGCATGCACTGGTAGCATCATTTCCCTCAATTTTTGAGAGTTCTTTATACGAGGGTTATTAGCCCTTTGTGTCTGTGGTATATGTTGTGAATATTTTCTGTTTTTTCAGTTTTTATACTTGGTTTATAATGTTTTCTGCCATACAAAAATGTTTATATAATTAAACTTATCAACCTTTTGTTGATTATGAATTTTGAGTCATAGAAATCTTTTTTTTCTGCTGAGATTACAGAAGAATTCACTAATGTCTTCTAATACTTACATGGTTTTGTTGTTTACATTTAGATCCTTAATCCATTTAGAGGTTGTTTTTGTATATGGTGTGGTCTCATTCTTTTTATAAATGGCTACGACTTGTCCCAGTGCTAGTAATTCAAAAGTTCATCTCTGACCAGTGATTTGAGATGCCTTTACCATACAGTAAATTTCTGTATGTACTTGAGTCAATTTTTGGGCTTTCTAGTCATTCCTCTGATCAGTTTGTCAATTCATGTACCAGTAGCACATTGCTTTACTTGTAAAGGCTTTATAGTATGTTTTGACATCTGGTAACGCTAGCTGCCCTCATAGTTTTTCCTTTTCACAGCTTTGCTGGTTATACTCACATATTTACTTTTCCCTATGAGCTTTACGTAGCAAGTTCTATTAGTAGCAACTTTTCTAATGCTGTAAAAAAGCTTACTGATATTTTTATTGGGATTGTGTTAAATTTATAAATTAAATTAGAAAGTATTATATTAACTCATCCTATCCAAGAGTAACACATTTTACATTTGTACAGGTCTGCTTTGTATCTTTCAAAAGTGTTCTTAATTTTCCCCATGTAGATTGTGTAGTACTTATTAATTTCATTCTTAAGTATTTAGTTGTTTTTGCTGCTACTGTAAATTGGAATTTATTTTCCATTATGTCTTCTAGCTGGTTGCTGTTTGTATATATAAATGGTATTGATTTTAGCTTGTTAATGCTATGGACTGCAGTCATACAAAAATTTTCACTGGCCAGGCGCGGTGGCTCAAGCCTGTAATCCCAGGTTGGGAGGCCAAGGCAGGTGGATCACGAGGTCAGGAGATCGAGACCATCCTGGCTAACACGGTGAAACCCCGTCTCTACTAAAAATACAAAAAATCAGTCAGGCGAGGTGGCGGGCGCCTGTAGTCCCAGCTACTTGGGAGGCTGAGGCAGGAGAATGGCATCAACCCAGGAGGCGGAGCTTGCAGTAAGCCGAGATCGCGCCACTGCACTCCAGCATGGGCAACAGAGCAAGACTCCGTCTCAAAAAAAAAAAATTTTTTTTCATTGGTTTTATTGATTCTCGGAGGTTTTCCAACTAGATATACTATCATATTATCTGAAAGGGAGTTTTATTTCTTCATCACCAATTCTTTTTTTTTTTTTTTTTTTTTTTTTTTTTTGAGACAGAGTCTTGCTCTGTCACCAGGCTAGAGTGCAGTGGCATGATCTGGCTCACTGCAACCTCCACCTCCCGGGTTCAGTGATTCCCCTGCCTCAGACTCCTGAGTAGCTGGGACTACAGGTACACACCACCACTCCTGGCTAATCCTTTGTATTTTAGTAGAGATGGCGTTTCACCATGTTGACCAGGATGGTCTTGATCTCCTGACCTCGTGATCCGCCTGCCTTAGCCTCCCAAAGTGCTGGGATTAAGGCATGAGCCACCGCGCCTGGCGTTCATCACCAATTCTAATGGCTCTAACTGACTTCTCTTTTCTAACTGTATTAGTTAATACCACTAGTACAATGTAAACAGAAGTAGGGATGGTAAGAATCCTTGCCTTGTTCCTCATCCTAGTGGAAGTATCTCTCATGTTTCCCCATTAAATAGCATGGGATCTTAAGGTAAACAGAAGTGTGTGTATGTGTGTGATCATATTAAGAAAGTTTTCCTTATTTTAATGTTCTTGAGTATTTCTACATACATGGACATTTCCCAAGGGCTTTTTTTTTGTATCAATGTAGATATTCATATGATTCTTTTTGTAACTAGAGAAATTTTAAAGCAGGTACAGTCAAATGACCTCCATAGCCATTAAATTATCTACCTTCAAGCAATATGACTTCCATGTACAACTTCCCCAATATGAACAAGCTATGAAATTCACTGCAAGGTAAAAGAATGTCATATATGGCTCAATAGCTACAGACCATCTAAAGGTTAGAGAATATGTACCAAAACCAATTATTTTAGATTTAGAATAGCTGAACTTCCACACTATTTTCCTGTAATAATTAGGCAGCAGCTGGTTAAGATGCAAAAATGGCTTAATATACTAAATTTTGCTCCATAAACTATAAAATAAGCACAAATACACTATATACAGTAATAATGCAAAGCAACCACTATATTCTAGAATTCAATAACTATATATTAAAAAGTGCCATATTAGATCTTTTATTACTGAAGTGTTAGTCATGATAAAAATTAAATACTTTTTTTTTTTTTTTTTTTTTGAGGCAGAGTCTCGTTCTGTTGCCCAGCCTGAAGTGCTGTAGTGTGATCTTGGTTCACTGCAACCTCCGACTCACAGGTTCAAGTGATTCTCATGCCTCACCCTCCCGAGTAGCTGGGATTAAAGGTGTTTGCCACCACACTCGGCTAATTTGGGGATTTTTTTTTTTTTTTTTTTTTTTTTTTTGGGGGATGAAGTCTCGCTCTGTCCTCCAGGCTGGAGTGCAGTGATGCAATCTTGGCTCACTGCAAGCTCCACCTCCTGGGTGCACGCCATTCTCCTGCCTCAGCCTCCGAAGTAGCTGGGACTACAGGCGCCCGCCACCACGCCTGGCTAATTTTTTATATTTTTAGTAGAGACAGGGTTTCACCATGTTAGCCAGGATGGTCTCAAACTCCTGACCTCAAGTGATCCACCCACCTCAGCCTCCCAAAGTGCTGAGATTACAGGTGTGAGCCACCATGCCCAACCTAAATACTTAATTTTAAATTTGCTGTCTTTTAATCTGAAAAACAATTTGGACATGACACATTTTTCATTGTTCATCTCAATGGTATATATTAATGAAAAATGGAAAAATAAGAACAATTAACAATAGAGAGGCCAGATACAGTGGTTCACACCTGTAATTCCAGGACTTTGGGAGGCTGAGTCCGAGGGAGGACTGCTTAAGGACCAGACTTCGAGACCAGGCTGGGCAACACAGGGAGACCCAGTCTCTATAAAAAATTTTAAATATCAGCCGGGCATGGTGGCACACGCCTGTGGTCCCAGCTTCTTAGGAGGCTGAAGTGGGAGGATCACTTGAGCCCAGGAGGTTGAGGCTGCAGTGACATGGTCACTCCATTCTAGCCTGGGTGACAGAGTGAAACCCTAGGAAGGAAGGGAGGGATCGAGGGAGGGAGGGAGGGGAGGGGAGGGGAGGGAAGGACAGACAGACAGACAGGAAGACAGACAGAAAGACAGACGGAAAGGGAAGGAAAAGGGAAAAGGAAAAGGAAAGGAAGAAAGCAGGCATAGAAAAGCATAGAATATCCATAATATGATATACCACAGGACCATTAAAAATGATGCTTTGGACAACCTCAACAATGTTAACAAAATATTAACATTCAAAGTTAGGGACAAAGAAAACAACAGAACATATGGGGATTTTTGTTGTTGTTGTTTTGAGACAAGAGTCTCACTCTGTCATCCAGGCTGGAGTGCAGCAGCATGATCTCAGCTCACTGCAACCTCCACCTCCTGGGTTCAAGCAATTCTCCTGCCTCAGCTTCCTGAGTAGCTGGGATTACAGGTATGTGCTAACATGCCTGGCTAATTTTTGTATTGTTAATACAGACAAGGTTTTACCATACTGGCTAGGCTGGTCTCAAACTCCTGACCTCAAGTGTCCCACCCACCTCAGCCTACCGAAGTGCTGGGATTACAGGCGTGAGCCACCACACCTGGCCGACATAAGGTTTTATAAAAAGACTGAAGCTCCATTTTGTTTTATAGAGTAAGTAGCACTTATTAAGCACTTAATATGTGCTAGGCATTGCTCTAAGCAGTTTATATACATTATTTTATTTACTTTTACAAAAGCTCTCTCTATAAAAATAGGCAGTTACTACCCCCATTTTACATTGAAAAAATGAGACTCTGAGAAGCTAATAATCTAGGGTCACAGAATCAGGACTAAACTTACATCCTACCAAATTTAAAATGCCCCCAAATATTGAAAAGTTATCCCTATACAGTGAGAGTATGTGATTCTTAATTTTTATCTTTTGAAATTTTCAATTCTTCTAAAAGTAGTTTCCTATCCTTTGATAATCAGAAATTTTCTAAAATGAGTACTTCACTAATCTTAGATAATTCAGAAATATATTTATTTAAGATAGTCTGAACTGATGTCTTCTTTTTTTATAAATTCTCCATTTCCCTTAAAGATGTCCTCACTTCCACAAACTTGAGTTGACAGAAAAATGAAGTCTTGTGATCTTCTGTGATAATTATAAGTAGGTTGTTCTGATTCAAGACTGAAAGTTGTTTCTTTAAAGACTACCTTAGATATGACACCAAAAGTAATCCCCATAAAAGAAAATAATAATATACTGCCAACAAAATTTTTTTATGTTTGCTCTGTGAAAGACAGTAAGAGAACAAAAGACAAGTTGAGACTGGGAAAAAGTATCTGTAACTTACCCAACAAAGGACTTTTATCCAGAATGTCTAATAAGCTCTCAAAACTAATAACAACAACCAACCACATTTGAAAATAGGCAAATGATTTGAATAGACACTTCACCAAACAGGATACACAGATGGCAAATAACCATATGAAAAGATGTTCATTAGGGTAATGCAAATTAAAATCAAGATGAGATGTCCTTCAACAAGAATTTAATATCAATAGCTACATTGTGGGAAATCCATGTAATGGAATACTATTTAGCAACTAAAAGGAATAAACTGGCCGGGCACAGTGGTTCATGCCTGTAATCCCAGCACTTTGGGAGGTCGAGGTGGTCAGATCACCTGAGGTCAAGCGTTCAAGACCAGCCTGGCCAACATAGTGAAACCCTGTCTCTACGAAAAATACAAAAATTAGCTGGGCGTGGTGGTGTGTGCCTGTAGTACCAGCCACTCGGGAGGCTGAGGCGGGAAAATCGCTTGAACCCAAGAGGCAGAGGCTGCTGTGAGCCAAGATCACGCCACTGCACTCCAGTCTAGACTACAGAGCGAGACTCTGTCTCAAAAAAAAAAAAGTTAAACTATTGATACACACAACTACTTAGAGGAAATGCAAGGGCACTATCGTTGAGTGAAAGAAGACAGTCTCAAACGATTACATACTGTATGATTCCATTTATATGTCATTCCCAAAAAGAGAGGGTTAGAGTGATGGAGAACAGAGCAGTGCTTACAAGAGATTAGGGATGGGGGAAGCATGTATACAAAGGAAAAGAATGAGGGAATGTTTTATCTTGACTATAGTGGTGGTGGTATAATCTACATATATGTTAAAATTAATAAATTGTACAATCAAAAATGTCCATTTTATTATACAATAATTGAAAAAAATAGAGGAAAAAGATGACAGGGTCATATCTTTACCTGCCTAATATTGTCTCTTTAGGTCCTTTCCTAGAGACAGTTACATGCTGAAGTAAATAATAAAATGTGGGAAGAATTTTTTTTTTTTAATTCAGTCCACGTATGACTTAGGTATACCTTAAAAGTTAGGTGTACCTGTTATAGATGAAGTCAACTGACTAGCCCAGTCAGCTTCCTGTCTTTTAGAGTTGCTGTTTTTGACTCCTTTCATTTTAATGCTAAAAGCCAACAACTTCCCTCACTTCCCACAAGTCCCATCAGCAGCCTAGCATTGGCTCATCTGTGGTACACTGGTGATAAGCAGTAGCTGAGTAGGGGAAAGAGATATAGCATTAATTTTTTTTTTTATGAAAATGTGCTTTGATAGGCAAGTAGGATGGAGAAAGGTCTATACAGGAATTCAACAGAGTTTCATGAGAGAAAAATGAGCCAGAAACCCTAATACAACCAAAGGGAGGTGAAAACTGATGATTGGCTGATTGCTGATTGATGGACTAAAGCAGGGTCTCCCTCTGTTGTCCAGGCTAGAGTGCGGTAGGGGCAATAACGGCTCACTGCAGCCTTGACTTCCCTGGCTCAGGTGATTCTCCCACCTCAACCTCCTGTGTAGCTGGGACTACAGGTATGTGCCACCACACCTGGCTAATTTTTTGTATATTTTGATGAGACAGGGTTTCACCAGGTTGCCCAGGCTGGTCTCGAACTCCTGGGCTCAAGTGATCCATCTACGTCGAACTCCCAAAGTGCTGGGATTATAGGCTTAAGCCACTGCCCTGCGCCCAGCCAAAAACTTGTTTAGAATGGTAAAAAAATTAGTAAGCACCTGAAAAAAAGCTTTCCAATCTTAAGGGCCTTTGACTCCAGACCACCATGTGGCCTTCATTCTTAATATCCTGTCACTGTTACTTCATTTCTGTCCTCCAGCAATCACTGTCCTCTCATCTGGTACCTACCTTTACAGCTCTTCCAAGCTGCAGTTATATTCTGTAATAAAGGTCACAGCAAAAGTACCTATTCTCTCAATTTTGAAACGGCAAAAAACTTTTAAAAATTAAATAACATTCATGCTCTGTTTTGGACTGACATCCCAAGATTTTAGTGTAGGGCAGTAATTTTCATTTTCAAATTACAATGCACCTTCCATTCCTCAGAGAAAAGTAAGTTTCTTTTTCTACCTCACTGTCTCTTGGCTCTCAAACCCTCCTAGGCTAGTAAGCGTCTTCAGCCCAGATGAAGAAATAAGAAAATCCTATGGAAGGGCTTTCTTGCTTGAGGCTATAGTAACAGCCACAAAACACCCACACACTTTTAAAATTCTTACCTCGGGGGTAGGGATAGCATTAGGAGATATATCTAATGTTAAATGATGAGTTAATGGGTGCAGCACACCAACATGACACATGTATATATATGTAACAAACCTGCACGTTGTGCACATGTACCCTAAAACTTAAAGTATAATAAAAAAAACATAACTACTGTAAAAAATAATAAAAAAATAAAATTCTTACCTCAAAATTAGTTTATGTGACTGTGAAGATGCTGGCATCTCCCACTCTTGTTACTAACATCAGACTCTAACACTCAATCAAATAATTCTGAAATGTGTTGGCTATATTTTCTAATGAGACAATTTCATTTAAACATCTGACGGTTTTGTCATTTGGGGAAACCTTTGAAATGTGAAAGACTCTAGCTCTAAGAAACCTGGCAGTATTTATTCTTCCTAATGAATAATCTCCCCTGAATTTCCAGGGGAAAAAAACATGCAGAAAAGTATGTGAGAATTCTTTTCTAACTGTAAGCCCAAGAAAAACTATCTTTTGTTAACTAGTAGCTGTAGACTACACCACTATCCTAACAGCAATACTGTCCCTTCAATGTTAAGAGATTAATTTCCTAGTAAAAATCATCTTCTGCATATCGTGAAATACAAACAAAATACTGTAATAACTTGTAAAAAGTCTCAGAAAAACACACAAAGAATCCCCCAAATACTCAAGCTTCCTAATCAAATAATATAAAAACCTATCTTGGGAAAAGAATAAATACTGAAAAAGCTTTAAGTCCACACACACACAAAATGGACCCAACTAAATAACCTTAACTAGGAAAATGTTCTACAGAATCTAAGACAGCAAAAATGAAGCATTTGTAATACTCACAATGTTCCATGTTAAATACAAAAAGGCAGTGTAATCTAACATATAATATGCTCTCAATGAGGAATGCAAAGAATAAAACACTTAAAAGAAAAAAAATGTCAGCAATAGGGGAGAAAGATACAGAAATACAGCTCTCTTTTGGAAATTTTCCTATTTCATTAAAAAAATTCTTTAGAGATAATTTTTCTATTCGACTTTTCTTAGCTTCTAAAATTTCTATAATGAGCTTGTGAGTACTTTTGTAATAATAAAAGCTTTAAAAAGTTTAACAAGAAATTGGCAAGGAAACCAAGTCTGTTTACATCTTTTACATTTAGGTGCTCCCTCAAATGGCCTAAGATACTGAGAAATTACTATGTACTTAGAATTGCATAAAGAGTTTTATAACATTTTATCCCATTTAAGCCTCTGGACAACACAACGAACAGGTAATATTACTATGCAGAGAAACTGAGGAACTTCACACCTCTAGCAGGCAGCAGGACTCAACACTTCAAGCCAAACAGTCTGACCTCAGAGTGCACTGTTAAATAACCTCCCTGTTTACTTTTTTGGTTCTTTTTAAGCATCTAATTTAATTTACTATTTCTAGACAACTGTATTTGTATTTTATATATTTGTGTTTTTCATGTTGGTTGACATTTCTTTAAAAGCTTTACTAGAATATAATGTATAATACCATACAATTCACTCATTTAAATTGTACAACTATGGGTTTTTTGTTGTTGCTGTTTTTAAGAGACAGGGTCTCATTATGTTGCCCAGGCTGGTCTTGAACTCCTGGGCTCAAGTAATCCCCCCACCTCAGCCTCCCTAGTAGCTGGGACTACAACGGGTACCACCACACCCAGCTAACTTTGGTTTTTTAATGGTATTGAACAGAGTTGTGTGACCATCACTGCAATCTATTTTCAAATCATACCAAAAGCAGCCCCTCATTAGCAGTCGTTCATCATTTCTCCCCAACTTTCCCAGCCCTACTCAACCACCAGTCTGCTGTGGGAAGTCAGGGAACCCGAACAGAGGGACTGGCTGGAGCCGCAGCAGAGGAACATAAATTGTGAAGATTTCATGGACATTTATCGGTTCCCAAAATTAATACTTTTATAATTTCTTATGCCTGTCTTTACTGCAATCCCTGAACATAAATTGTGAAGATTTCATGGACATTTATCAGTTCCCAAATAATACTCTTATAATTTCTTATGCCTGTTTTTACTTTAATCTCTTAATCCTGTTATCTTTGTAAGCTGAGAATGTACATCACCTCAGGAACACTATTGTACAAATTGATTGTACAACATGTGTGTTTGAACAATATGAAATCTGATTGTAAAACATGGGTGAACAATATGAAATCAGTGCACCTTGAAAACGAACAGAATAACAGCGATTTTAGGGAACAAGGGAAGACAACCAAAGTTCTGACTGCCTGCAGGGTCGGGCAGAATAGAGCCATATTTTTCTTCTTACAGAGAGCCTATAAATGGACGTGCAAGTAGGAGAGATATCACTGAATTCTTTTCCCAGCAAGGAATATTAATAATTAATACCCTGGGGAAGGAATACATTCCTGGGGGGAGGTCTATAAACAGCCGCTCTGGGAGTGTCTGTCTTATGCGGTTGAGATGAGGACTGAAATATGCCCTGGTCTCCTGTAGTACCCTCAGGCTTATTAGGGTGGGGAAAAGATCCCGTCCTGGTAAATTTGAGGTCAGACCAGTTCTCTGCTCTTGAACCCTGTTTTCTGTTGTTTAAGACGTTTATCAAGACAATATGTGCACAGCTGAACACAGAAGCTCATCAGTAATTCTAAGTTTGCCCTTTGCCTTGTGATCTTTGCTTTGCCCTTTGCCTTGTGATCTTTATTGCCCTTTATAGCATGTGATCTTTGTGACCTACTCCCTGTTCATACACCCCCTCCCCTTTTAAAGTCCTTAATGAAAACCTGCTGGTTTTGCGGCTCAGGCGGACATTACAGACCTACCAATATGTGATGTCACCCCCAGCAGCCCAGCTGTAAAATTCCTCTCTTTGTACTCTTTCTCTTTATTTCTCAGACTAGCCGACACTTAGGGAAAATAGAACCTACGTTGAAATATTGGGGGCGGTTCCCCCGATACCAGTCTATTCTCTATCTCTATGGGTTTGCCTATTTTGGGTATTTCCTAAGAATGGAATCGTATGTTATGTGCCCTTTTGTGTCTTTTTTTTTTTTTTACTAGCATGTTTTCTTTTATTTATTTATTTATTTATTTATTTATTTACTTATTGAGATGGAGTCTCACTCTGTCGCCCAGGCTGCAGTGCAGTGGTGCGATCTCAGCTCAGCACAACCTCTGCCGCCCAGGTTCAGGTGATTCTCCTGCCGCAGCCTCCCGAGTAGCTGGGACTACAGGCACGTGCCGCCATGCCCAGCTAATTTTTTGGTATTTTTAGTAGAGATGGGGTTTCACTATGTTGGCCAGGGTGGTTTCAAATTCCTCACCTCAAGTGATCCACCCAACTTGGCCTCCCAAAGTGCTGGTATTTCGGGCATAAGCCGCCGTGCCTGGCCAGCATAATGTTTTCAAGGTTCAGGCATGTTGTCGCATGTACTGGTACTCCATTCTTTTTTATGATCAAATAAAATTCCATCATATGGATATACCACATTTTATTTACCCTTTTATCAGCTGATAGACATTGGGTTTTTTCTACATTTTGGCTATTATGAATAATGCTGCCATTAACATACATGTACAAGTTTTTATGTGGACATATATTTTCAATTCTCTTGGGTATATACCTAGGAGAGGAAGTGCCGGGCCATTTGGCAATTCCACGTTTAATCTTTTGAGGAACTGCCACATTATTCTCCAAAGCAACTGTTTACATTCCTACCATTAATATATCAAAGTTCCAGCCAGGCGCGGTGGCTCACGCCTGTAATCCCGGCACTTTGGAAAGCTGAGGCAGGTGGATCACCTGAGGCCAGGAGTTCAAGACCAGCCTGGCCAACAAGGTGAAACCCCATCTCTACTATAAATACAAAAAAAAAAAAAAAAGAAAAATAAATAGGCTGGGTGCAGTGGCTCATGCCTGTAATCCCAGTACTTTGGGAGGCCGAGGCGGGCAGATCACCTGAGGTCAGGAGTTTGCAGCCAACCCAGCCAACATGGTAAAACCCCGTCTCTACTGAAAATATAAAATTAGCTGGGTGTGGTAGCACACGCCTGTAATCCCAGCTATTCAGGAGGCTGAGGCAGGAGAATCACTTGAACCTGGTAGGCGGAGATTGCAATGAGCCAAGATCATGCCATTGCACTCTAGCCTGGGCATAAAGAGTGAAACTCCGTCGCAAACAAACAAACAAAAAAAAGTAGGCTGGGTGCAGTGGCTCACGTCTGTAATCCTAGCACTTGGGAAGACCGAGGCAGGAGGCTCACGAGGTCAGGAGTACGAGACCAGCCTGGCCAACACAGTAAAACCCTGTATTTACTAAAAACTCAAAAAATTAGCCGGGCATGGTGGTAGGTGCCTGTAATCCCAGCTACTCAGGAAGCTGAGGCAGGAGAATCGCTTGAACCCGGGAGGCGGAGGTTACAATGATCCAAGGTCGCGCCACTGCACTCCAGTCCAGGCGACAGTGAGAGACTCCATCCCAAAATAAATAAATAAAATAAAATAAAAATAAATAAAAGTTTATATATTTTTTAATTGAGAAGGAGCTTCTCTCTCTCTCCATATATATATATATATATATATATATATATATATATTCCAATTTCTCCACATCCTCCCCTGACACTTATTATCTGTCTTTTAAATTACAGCATTCTAATGCATATGAACTGGTATTTCACTGGAGTTTTGAATTGCATTTCCCCATTGACAAATTATATTGAGCATCTTCTTCATGTGCTTATTGGCTATTTGTACATCTTCCTTGGAGAACTCTCTGTTCAGATCCTGTGCCCATTTTTAAATGTTTTTGTTAAATTACTGAGTTGCAAGAGTTGTTTACGTAGTTTAGACACAAATGCCTTATCAGATATATGATTTGTGAGTTACTGAGTTGCAAGAGTTCTTTATGTAATTTAGACACAAATGCCTTATCAGATATATGATTTGTGGGTTATCCTATTCTGTGGGTTATCTTTTCACATTCTTGATGATGCCCTTAGAATCACAAGTTTTTAATTTTGATAAAGTACAATTTATCTACTTCTTTTCTTGCTTTTGCTTTTAGTGTCATTTCTAAGAAGCCATTGCCTAACGCAATGTCACAAATGTTATGACTACATTTTCTTCTAAGAGCTGTTAGGTTTAGCTCTTACATTTAGGTCCTTGACGATTTTGAGTTACTTTTATATATGGTGCTGAGGTAGATAGATAAACTTCTAAAATCCTATTTCATTTTTTATTTTTTCATTGTTTGTTTGTTTATTTAGAGAACTCTATCTCCCCCAACTGGAGTGCAGTGGTGCAATCTCAGCTCACTGCAACCTCCGCCTCCCAGATTCAAGCTATTCTCGTGCCTCAGCCTCCCGAGTAGCTTGGATTATAGGCACGCGGCACCACGCCTAGCTTATTTTTGTGTTTTTAGTAGAGAGGGGGTTTTGCCATGTTGCCCAGGCTGGTCTTGAACTCCTGGGCTAAAGCAACCCACCCGCCTCGGCCTCCCAAAATGCTGGGATTACAGGCGTGAACCACCACGGCCGGCCTTAAATCATATTTTAAAAGTTAAAATTGACATCATCCTTAACTTTCATCTCTATTTTTCTCAAATATTGTCAACCATCAGCTAGCACAGAGTTTAAAAACCTCAGACTCTGAGGTTACAATGCCTAGGTTAGAATTCTGGCTGTCTCGTGTGACCTTAAACAATATACCTGACCTCTCTGGGCCTTGATGTTCTTGTCTATAAAATGGAGAGACTAACAAACCCCACCTTAAAGATGAGGATTGAATGCCAATAATGTATCCAAATGCTTACCATAGTAAACCCTTTTAATAGAATTCAACTATTAATTCTTACCTTCTAAATATCACTCAAGTTCATCCTCAGCAGTTTAAAAGTTTCTACCCTACTAGAGGCCATCATTTCTTACTTGGATCACTAAATCCTATTCTTAAATTATTTCCCTACTTCTAATCTTGTCTCTTCCCAATTCGTTCTATATCTGACCCCATAATGACCATTATGAAATAGTCACATATCCATATCCTGCATTTTAAAAAATAGCCTAGGTTGAAGTCTAAATGTCTTAATAAGTGAACATGGAGACTTTCAGGTTTG
This sequence comes from Homo sapiens, assembly GCF_000001405.40. Lineage (NCBI taxonomy): Eukaryota > Metazoa > Chordata > Mammalia > Primates > Hominidae > Homo > Homo sapiens. Next base: position 202,729,812 of record NC_000002.12, on the reverse strand, counting down.
GCTGCTATTTACCTCTCTATCCTGCCTAATCTCTTACCACTACTCCTATCTGGGGACATGACTTTTTCCACCTTATACTTATCTTTCAAGGATCAGCTAGACACCATTTTCTCTGAGACGTCTTTCTAGATGACTCCATCCTTTTCCAAATAAACACATCTTCTGTTGCATTCTGAATTCTCCCTATCAACACATTCATTATACAGTGTTATAATTAACTGTTTACTCATATCTCTTTAATATGAGAACTGGTAAGGACAGACAATATTTCTTTTATCACCACATCCCCTAATGAGTACTACGGTCACAGGCCAAAATGATTAATAAATATTGTATGGGCTGATGAATGGCCTCAGAAGTACACATGTATCGTGTGGCACTTTTCTCCACTAGATAGAGAACCCACCAAAACAATAACTTAATAGAAATTATTTTCATGTTTACAGCCTAAGAGTTTCTTTTTAAATTTTTTTTTTTTTGAGATGGAGTCTCACTCTGTCACCCAGGCTGGAGTGCAGTGGCACGATCTCTGCTCACTGCAACCTCCGCCTCCTGGGCTCAAGCCATTCTCCTGCCTCAGCCTCTCAAGTAGCTGGGGTTACAGGCACCCGCCAGCCTCGCTAATTTTTGTATTTTTAGTAGAGATGTGGTTTCGCCATGTTGGCCAGGCTAGTCTCGAACTCCTGACCTCAGGTGATCCACCCACCTTAGCCTTCCAAAATGCTGGGATTACAGGCGTGAGCCACCGTGCCCGGCCAGCGTGAGTTTCAATTAAACATGAGTACTACTGTCATTACTATCATGATGCACATGTGCCTGACTTGCGGTTGGCTGATAACACTAAATAAAATGGGAGAAACAGTTAAGACGCTTGATGTGTCAAGTGTACAAAACTCAAACTAGATGAACTATTTTTCAAGTTTCTCTATTTTCTTGTCCTTACCCTCTCTGCAAGGAAATGTTTTTAAATTAAATATAAATTTCAAGTAAATTCCAATAATCTTTATTAAGTAAATTCAACTTGCAAGAAGAAAAAAATGAAAATTTGAATAACCACTTTAAAATTGTTGGTTTTAACACAAGTTTAAAAAATAATCACTTCAGAAACTTCTGAAGTCCTAAAACTAGCCACTTAATTCAATAAAATTCCATCCTAATCCCTATTCTACTTGGAGTAAAAATATGGACTGGGAGTAAAAAGTGGCCTTATTTTTTAGAAACACATACCATTTATTTATGAATGAATGAGAGGAAGGGGAAGGTTGGCAAATTCATCTGTAAAATCATCTGGGTCTTCAGCCTCTTGAGAGTGAGACTGGGTTTTTAATTAACATTCCAAATTCAAAAGTTATTAGTCTTTACAAATTTTTCATTTCTTATTTTGTCAATTTAAAATTTCTATTTCTCCAGAAATAAATCTAGTTTGTACAGAATATACACGAATACTAATGTATAACCATGTTTTTAATTAAAATATCAAATATAGAAAAAAGTTACTGGAAATTATAATCGAACTATAAATTTGGCTGGACATAGTGGCTCATGCCTGTAATTCCAACACTTTGAGAGGCTAAGGTGGGAGAATCACTCAAAGCCAGGAGTTAGTGACCAGCTTGGGCAACACAGACCCCATCTCTACAAAAATAAAAATAAAAAATAAAAAATATTAGCCAGGCATGGTGGTGCACATATGTAGTCTCATCTACTCAGCAGGCTGAGGTGGGAGGATCACATAAACCCAGGAAGTCGAGGCTATAGTGAATCTGTGATCACCCTGCTGCACTCCAGCCTGGGTGACAGAGCAAGACCCTGTCTCAAAACAAACAAAAAACAATCTCTATAAACCTGTGAAATCAAATCTGACCCGAGTATTAATATTTTGGGGCAAAATCAGTTTGAAAAAGTCTATACCTTTACCCATACTTTCCATTGCAAACAATCTATACATTTAACAAACATCAGACACTACCAAACTATAAAAGGGGTTGGCCTGCCTTATCTGTAAAGGGCCAAACAGTAAGTATTTTAGGCTTCGTGAACCAGACAGTCTCTGTTTCAACTACTCAATTTCAGAAGACTGGTTCCAGGACAGGACCCCCCTCCAAATACCAAAATCCACAGATACTCAAGTCCCTTATATAAAATGGCATGGTAAGTGCATTATGATTTAGGAACATCCTCCTGTATATTTTAAATAATCTCCAGATTACTTATAATACCTAATACAATGTAAATACTATGTAAATAGTTGTCATACTGTATTTTTATTTGTACTTTTAATTATATTTTAAAATATATTTATATTTATACATATTCTATTCTATTTTTCCAAAAATATGTTTGATCCATGGTTGGTTGAATCCATAAATGCAAAACCTGAAGATATAGAGAGTCAAATGTATATTTTTGTGGCACAAAAAGGAGCAATAGACAATACATAAAAAATGAGAGTGACTGTTTTCTAATAAAACCTTATTTACAGAAACACATGGTGGGACATTCTTGGCTCCCGGGCCACAGTTTGCCAACTCCAGTATTATAAAACAACCTGAGAGTCACAGAACTAAGTCTTCTAGTTTCCCTCTACCTTCCAGGCCCTGCTGCCTTACTGTTAACATGGAAAATTCAATCCAGCCTTCCTCATTCCCAAAGCTTCAATTCTGGAACTTGAAAGATCCTGAAAAGACCTGAAATGAACTTGCTTTCTCCTTGCCAAGAGATCTCATCCAATTTCAATTCAGTAAAAAAAAGTGTTCTTTGGATGGATGAGCCATCAAGAGCAGTTCATGGGTTCTACTAAAAAATCAAAGCAGATAAAGGTTTGTCTCTATCAAAAGACTTCTATGAGACAGCTATTTTTTTTTTTACATTTTTTTAAATTATACTTTAAATTCTAGGGTACATGTGCACAACATGCAGGTTTGTTACATACATACCCATGTGCCGTTTTGGTTTGCTGTACCCATTAACTCATCATTTACATTAGGTATTTCTTCTAATGCTATCCCTCTCCCATCGCCCCAGCCCACAACAGGCCCTGGTGTGTGATGTTCCCCGCCCGAGACAGGTATTATTATTCCCATCTTCACATGAGGAAACTGAGACTTAGAAAAGATAAGTTATTCAGCCAGGGCCTGTTCCATACCCAATGCTTAATTCTCTGTGTCATTCTGCCTCCAAAATATTGAACTGATAAAGCCAAAAATATGGTAAACCAAAATAGATAAGTAGCTATGTCTCCTAGAAGTCGTATCTTAGGTCACTAAAGGAAAATATCATTTTGTCAACTTAATATTCTGTTTTCTTATAAAGACTGTGATTCAGTATTTAAATCACTGTTTCAAATATGTTTTTGAGCATTTTTGTCCTAAACAATTACCAATGAAATAACAAATCACCAGAAAAACAACAAATTCCTTTTCTGGATTTTGTGGTATTGGTACTCTTACCTGACACTGGTTAATAGCTGCATGGTTGCCATGAAATGGAGACTGTCTTTCTTTATCTCGATGATGCCGACTGCTGTGTTTACTTCTCTGCAACTGCTGGCGTAATTTTGCAATCTGAGAAAGCAAAAATAGCAAGTACACCAGAGTGTTTTCTACATGAAACAAAAACACATCCTTGCTTAATAAGAACCAGTAAAACTTACCCTTAATAAGTCCTTTGAATTTTTGAACCATATCACAAAGTCTCATTTTTTGTTCATAATTTTATACACATCTACACATGCATGTATGTGTATATGTTCCAACATTGTTCTCAGCCTTCGAGCTTCCCAAGTACTACACAAATAGTTTTCAGCACTTAGAATAAATTACATTACAGTTTTCACGAAGAATTAAAAAAATAACAATCATTCTCATTGCCTTTACCATAAGTTAATTTTTATTTCAATTTAGATTTATTGAACACCTAGCTTTCAACAGTTCCAAAAATTACACAGTATTTAAAAATCAACTCAAGTCATGAAATATATTCACAGATATCATCTTTAAATAACGAATGCAATTCCAATGAATATCTTATTTATTCTTTGACCGAGTTTTTGCATTTCTACATTATGTGTGAAATGAAAATGTCACTAATTAGCAGCACAGAAAATGGTAATCATAGCATGGAGCCATAACCATCATGGTTATAGTGAGTACTGCATTTCAGAAACACCACCATATATAGAAAAATAATAAATGTGGCCAGGTGCGGTGGCTCATGCCTGTAATCCCAGCACTTTGGGAGGCCAAGGCAGGCAGACTGCTTGAGGTCAGGAGTTAGAGACCAGCCTGGACAACATGATGAAACCCCATCTCTACTGAAAATACAAAAATTAGCTGGCCATGATGGCATACACCTGCAGTCCCAGGTACTTGGGAGGCTGAGGCACGAGAATTGCTTGAGCCTGGGAGGCAGAGCCTGCAGTGAGCCAAGATCGCACCACTGCACTCCAGCCTGGGCAACAGAGCGAGACTCCGTCTCACACACACACATGCACACCCCAAAAAAAAAAAAAAAAGAATAAATGTGAATTTGTTGTATTGTTACAATTTTTAAATCTGATGTTAATAGACAGGTATGAATTCTCCTAAAAAAAGACAAACATACATAATCAGGTAAGTGATATATAAATATCCCTATTGAAATCTTTATTAAATCAACACAATAATTGTTTTTGTTATTTCAGAAGCCAAAAAGAAAAAAGAAATCAATGGAAAACGACAAATCCTTGCTGCCCATAATATCAAGGAAATAGCCAACAAAAGGATCATATTTCCACACCCACTATCTTAGAACCATTTTTCTGACCTCCTTAAGTTGATCTGTACTGCCCCAAGATGCTGAGCGCTTGTGAGACCCTTTCTTCTTTTCAGAGTATTCTTCAGCCCATGCACTCTCTGTCTGTAATGAAAAAAGAGGGGAGGTGTATTTAACAAAAATCATTTCACAACAATGTCTACCATATTTTTCTATTATAAAACATATTTCCATTACAAAAAAATTAGACATTAAAAATAATTAACACAAATTACTCAAAATTCTCCTGGCACCAGTTACTTAACTGGTATTAATTACAATTAATATTTTGGCATACTTCATTTTTATTGCTAATAAAAAATTAGTATTTTTACATAATTATAATTATACTACAAATAAAGCATTTATGGAACAAAGTTAACTATATATAATAACTAGAGTTACCATAGTTAACTAACATATAATAGCTAATAATGTCAGTTATTATTAGCACGCACCAGGCACACTAATAATAGCTAACATTCTTGTGCTCTTATGTGCTAGGCACTGTGCTTTCATATGCTTTATCTGACTTAACACATGTAAGTTGCCTAAGGTGTTACAAGCGGCAAAGCCAAGAAATAAACCTGAGACTCCAGAGCTTGTAATATTAACTTCTATATTATGTCTAGTCTTGCCATAAGTATCTTCAGAGAACAGCTTCAAAAATGTTAAACCTGGCTGGGCGCGGTGGCTCACGCCTGTAATCCCAGCACTTTGGGAGGCCAAGGCGGACAGGCCACGAGGTCAGGAGTTCGAGAACAGCCTGACCAGCATGGTGAAACCTTGTCTCTACTAAAAATACAAAAATTAGCGTGTGCTTGTAATCCCAGCTACTCAGGAGGCTGAGGCAGGAGAATCGCTTGAACCCGGGAGGTGGAGATTGCAGTGAGCCGAGATCGTGCCACCGTACTCCAGCCTGGATGACAGAGGGAGGCTCCGTCTCAAAAAAAAAAAAAAAAAAAAAAAAGTTAAACCTTAAGTAGTTATACCAAACCCAGAATTTAAAAAGTGTATTGGGAAAGAAAATACAAATGAGTTCCTAGCACATGAAACTATGCTCAACCTCACTGATAAGAAGGGAAATGAAAGTTAAAGCTTCAACAAGATTGAGCAATTTGCTAATATAAACTCTCCTATATTGTTAGTGGGAGCATACAGCCTTTATGGGGGGATATTCAGCACCTGCTGTCAAAGTTATAAATGCGCAAACTGACACAGCAACCCCTTATTTAACAATTTATCCTGCACAGATACCAAATGCACATCTTTATGTACAAAATGACTTGCCTATTATTCCCTGTAGCACTGTTCTTACAAGTAAGACTGAAACAATGTAAGTAAGTTAGATTTATTTAGGTTTGGCTAAATAAATTATGGTATACCTTTATAACAGAGTACTGTGCAGCTATAAAAATGAATAAGGAAATTCACAATATACAGACATGAAATAATCTCCATGATATACTGTTAAGTGAAAAACCTCAAGGCTCAGTACCGTGTGTATAGCAACTGCCTTTATATGGGACTGCTAAAAAGAATGCATGTGTGTGTAAATTATATCTGGAAGAAAATAGATGGTAACAAAGAAAATTGGTACCAGTGGCTGTCTCTGGGGAAAAAGACCCTTAGTGTATACCCTTCTGTACCTTCTGAATTTTGTACATGAAATAATAAAAAATACCAAAAAATACTGTGCAGTTTGAATATCTTTTGCACTATTAACGTACCAATTACTAATTATAAAATGGTCTAGTTTCAAATGGGGAAGGAAAAGTTTTCAAAAATGAAGACACTGTGATTCTAATTAGTCATGTCCCAGGTCTGGATCTTCTCCTTATAGCCAAAAGGACTCCATTCTGACAAGGATCCTTAAATACACTGAATCAAAAGGAAGGGCTACAATTTGGTCAACTTCCCACCACTCTATGCCCTATTTCACCCTAAACTCCAGTTTCACTTTGAGGTTACCAACTGATGTCACACATCCCAGAGGTGACCCCTACTGTACTTATAATTTCTCATATTAGGATCCACAGGCTCTTTAAGTCCATTGTTAAAATACCTGTCACAAAGATCAACATGTAAATAGGACCATATAGCATAAAGTATCAAAATCAAAAACCAAAATCAAAATAATAAACTTAATACTATAAAATTTAAAACCTTAACAAATGAATTTTTTTTTTTTAATTTTTAAGTTCAAGGGTACATGTACTGGTTACATAGGTAAACAGGTAAACTCGTGTCATGGGGGTTTGTTGTACAGATTATTTCGTCACCCAGGTACTAAGCCTAGTACTCATTAGCTATTTTCCCTGATCCTCTCCCTCCTCCCACCCTCCACCCTCTAGAAGGCCCCAGAATCTGCTCTTCCCCTCTATGTGTCCATGTGTTCTCATTATTTAGCTCCCATTTATAAGTGAGAACATGCAGTATTTGGTTTTCTGTTCCTGTGTTAGTTTGCTAAGGATAATGGCCTCTAGCTCCATCCATGTTCCTGCAAAGGACATGATCTTGTTTATTTTTATGGCTGCACAGTAGTCCATGGTGTATATGCACCACATTTTCCTTATCCAGGCTACTGTTGATGGGCATTTAGGTTGATTCCATGTCGTTGCTATTGTGAATAAGCAGCATAGTATGCGTGGTTCAGAATCACATATGTTGGTGTTAAACAAACATGTTTAAGTTTCAGATCAGTTAAATAACATTTTTTGGGCCAGGCGTGGTGGCTCATGCCTGTAATCCCAGGAGGCCGAGGCGGGTGGATCACGAAGTCAGAAGTTTGAGACCAGCCTGGCCAACATAGTGAAACCCCGTCTCTACAAAAAGTACAAAAAATTAGCCGGGCGTGGTGGCAGGCACGTGTAATCCCAGCTGCTTGGGAGGCTGAGGCAGGAGAATCGCTTGAACTTGGGAGGTGGAGGTTGCAGTGAGCTGAGATCTCGCCACTGCACTCTAGCCCGGGCGACAGTGAGAGGCTCCATCTCCAAAAAAAAAAAAAAAAAAAATTGTATCTTTACAAGATGCTTCTCTTATATGAATTTTTAAATTCCTCATTTATAAGAATAATGTCAGGCCAGGCACAGCGGCTCATGCTTATGCATGGCTAATCCCAGTGCTTTGAGAGGCCAAGGCTACAGGATCACTTGAGCCCAGGAATTCAAGACCAGCCTGGGGAACACAGGGAGACCTCATCTCTAAAAAAATGTAAAAAATTAGCTGGGCCTCATGACTCACGACTGTAGTCCTAGCTACTTGAAAGGCTGAGGTGGGAGGATTGCTTGAGCCTGGGAGGTTGAGGCTGCACTGAGCTGTGCTTGCTCCACTGCACTCCAGCCTGGATGTCAGAGCGAGACCCTGTCTCAAAAAAAAAGGAATAATGTCATCTACATACTAAAATTATAAGGTAATTAAAGGAGTTAGTATATGTAAAGGGTTTAATTTTTAAGCACGGTGCCAAGAACAAAACATTCACTCAGTAAATGTTTATTATTATTTTCATTCCATTAGGCCAAGTAGTCGTAACTTATTTTGTTATCTCTATGGTCATAAAGATATATGAAAGAATGCAAATATTTTTTGATGAAAAAAATGACCATAATAATTTCATGTAAAACAGAGGATAGAAACAGAATAAGTTTTATGAAAATAGTTTTTTGCAAATTCTAATCAAATGTAAATGATAACCCCTCTTTCATACATTTTATATTACTATTTATATGAAAACTTCAGGCTAAAATCATGATGAAGAGATGCTTTATAAATACAATTCCAAATTCAAAAATTGTTTAAATTTTTATCCTTGCATTTCAAATGTTAGTTCAATATTTAATTCAGAGCTTATAGAGGTTCTCAAATATAGTTAGAAAAAAAAAGTTGGTTTATACCTCTCCTCATGGAAGAGGGGAGGAACCCTTAGAGATAAGAGGGAATCCCTCTATTTAGGAAAACTCCTTAATATAGTAAGTGAAATACAAGGTTGCAGAAAAATGTATAGAATATGATATTTTGTGTGTAACCAAAAAAAATCAGTTTTTCTTGTTCATTTGTGTTTGTGTATGTGGTTGTGTGCTTGGGCACATGCAACCTCCAAGAAAACAACTGAAGTAGGCAAGGATCATCAATGGAAGTGAAAACTACTAGGTAAAAGCTACTAAAGAACAGGATATTTGTGCGGTGCCAAAACTCGCAAATTACTTGCTAATTACAAAACCAAACAGTTTATTTTCTTTCCAAAGTGAATAATTCATTTAAAAACTTAATGTAATTAAGGAAAAAAGTGCGAGAATGACCTGTTCTAAATTAAGAAAGACTTAAGAGAAGCCAAGTGCAATGTATGAATGTGGAACTGGGTCCTTTTGGGTCCAAGTGTAATGTATAAATGTTGAATTGGGTCATTAAAAAAAAAAAAGACATATTGGGGAAATTTTAACATAAACTGGTTATTATGTGATATTATGGAATTGTTAATTTTTTTAGGTGACCTAATGCTGTTGTAGCTATATAGAAAATATTCTTAGGAGATACATATCAAAATATGTAGGGATAAAAATGTCATATCTCCAACATACTTTCAAAAATTGCAGCGCACACACACACACACACACACACACACGACAGGTAAAGCAAATATGACTAATGTTTAAAACTCTTGAATCACAGCTGTAGTATTCTGATTTTTTTTTTGTATATTTAACATTTCCATAATAAAAAGGAGAAAAATCTTAGGTCATTTCCACTGATATTTTATGAACTCCATTTAGGACAATTCCATAAAGAAATACCTCCATTAGAAAGTATTAGACCAACAAATCAATACAGAAGAATGACAGAGCTACAAAGTCATCACTTTGGAACTATTATAGTAATAACTGACTTAAGTAATAATCATCAACAAATGCTAAAACCAATGAATGTTTCTTGGAGAACAGAATATTTACAATCTCAAATATTTCTCCACAAATTACTATTAGTTACAAAGGGTTCTGATGGATCAAACTTAACATCACTGACTTCATGTACCTCTTGATCCACAGGCACAGAAAGGAACATACATCACATACAGTATTCCTAACAAAAATGTAACAAATTGAATCTTATCATAAAGGAATATATAAACCCAAGTTGACAACATTCAAAAAAATACTGGTCTACACTCTTAAAAAACATTAATGTCATGAAAGACTCAAAAACTCAGGCTGAGGAACTTCTCTAGATTAAAGGATATTGAAGAGAAATGACATGTAAATGCCATGTGTGCTCCCTGACTGGATCCTAGCTTACAGGGGAAATTGCTACAGAGAACAAATTCTGAACAACTGAAAAATTTGGAATATAAACCATATATTAAATAACAGTATTATATCAATCTTACATCTCCTGAATTTGATAAGTTTATTGGTATTTTTAAAAGTCCCTGTTCATATACATGCTGAAATAGTTAAGAAGAGTTAGAATGTCTGCAACTTACTAACGATTAGCAAATTATAACATAATTGTACATACAGACACAAAAATAAAGCAAAATGTGGCAAATGTTACTTGGTAAATATAGGTGAAAGGTTTACTGGTACTTAATATCCTTGCAACTTTTCTGTAAACTTAAGATTTTTCTCAAAATAAAAAGTTTTTAAAAATCAGGATTAATTCAAAGAAAAGCAAAGGTATATAAAAGATTCCCATAGATTTATTAAGAACAAATTAAAGATGATGAGAGTAACACTATTAATTACTAAGACAAATAAAAATAAGCATAAAGAACAACAGACAGCTTTGGTCACTTCAGTGATAAGATATTCAGGGCAGGAAAAAATACCTAGCAAAAACATCAGTTTTACTTATATGCCTAATGTAAAAGACAATTGCTTTCTTTGTTCAACTAAGAAGCTGTGCTTTGATTGTAGGACACTTAGGTATTAATAAAAAGTAAAATTGAGTTTTAATTAAATGTTTTCATTTTGTTCAGTCTTGTCTTATGTACTAGAAGGCTTATATTAAAGTATCTAATAATGTGTCAGACACTAGATTAACGATTGGAGGTCAAGAGGAAATACAGCTCTTATTCTCGAAGAGCTTCTTCTAGGAGAGAAGGAATAGATAGCTAATTATGATATATGTGATGATAGAAGTCCCCTAAGGCATCTAATCCAGAATTTGAAGGACAGGGGAGGTCGGTAGGCACAGTTTTATGGAATGAGGAGATACTACCAGAGTATGAGTCATCCAGTCAAATGGTGGGAAAAGCATTCCAAACAAACTAGATCGCTGGGCAGCATCAGTGAGTGGAGCACATAGGGCCAGGTTCATTACTGAGACCTGGAGTACATCTTCAAAATTATTTTTAATGAGGTTAAAAAATGTATTAGTTACTCCTTGACAAATATAGATGCAAAGATCCTCAATAAAATACTAGCAAACCCAACCAACAACAAAATTTTTAAAAAATCATATACCACAACGAAGTGGCATTTATCCCTAGGATGCACAGACGATTCAATAAACAAAAAAATCAACTGATATAATATGCCACATTAACAAAATAAAGAACAGCATTATATGATCATTTCAATAGATGCAGAAAAAACTCACAAAATTCACTCTTTCATGATAAAAACAAACCAGGAATAACAGAAAGTATCTCAACATAATAAAATAAAATTCATAAAGGAGAAGCCCACAGCTAACACCATATTCAATGAAGAAAAACTGAAAGCACCTTAGGTACCAGCTTGGCCACAGTGGCAGAGAGCACCAAGCAGACTGTTGGGGTTCTCGATTCCAGGCCTTGGCTCTAGATGGCATTTCTGGACCTGCCCTGGGCCAGAGGGGAAACCACTGCCCTGAAGGGTGAGTTCCACGCCAGGCAGCATTAACCACAAGCTGACTGAAGAGCTTTTGGGCCTTAAGGGAACACTGGCAGTGGCCTGGCAGTACTACCTGTGGGTCTGTGGTAGTGGTGGCTACAAGGTGAGGCTCCTCTGCCTATGGAAAAGGGAGGAAAGAGTGGGAAGGACTGCATCTTGTGGTCTGAGTGCCAGCTCACCAGGCAGACTTCTAAGGTTTTTGACTCTAGTCCCTGGCTCCCTACAACACCTCTGGACCTGCCCAGGGCCTGGGGAAACTTACCACCAGGAAGGAAAGGACACAAACCTAGCTGATTTTGCCACCTACTAACTGCAGAGCCCAGGGCCTTGAGCAATCAAAAGCATTAGCCAGATAGTGGTTACAGCAGGCCTTGGGTGAAAAGCTGTGCTGGCTTCAGGTCTGACCCAGTGCAATCACATTGATAGTAGTCACAGGGGTGCTTGTGTCATCCCTCCCCCAGCTCCAGGGGGCTCAGAACAGAGAAGGACACTCTGTTTGGGAGAAAGAAACAGAACCGAACAAGGGTCTCTGCCTTGTAATCCAGATAATTCTTCTGGATCTTCATCAACATTGTCAAGGCAGTATATCTACAACTCTGCAAGAATATCACAACATTACTGAGCTTGGGGTGCACCCTAATAAAGACACAGCTTAGATTACAACACCTATGATTTGTTTTTTTGAGACAGGATCTCACTGTCACCCAGGATGGAGTACAGTGACACCATCTCAGCTCACTGTAGCCTCACCTTCCTGGGCTTGAGTGATCCTCCCACCTCAGCCTCCAAGTAGCTGAGACTATAGGCATATGCCACCACACCTGGCTTGTTTTGTATTTCTTTTTGTAGAGATGGGATTTCACCATGTTACCCAGGCTGGTCGCAAACTCCTGAGCTGAAGCAATCTGCCCTTCTCAACCTTCCAAAGTGCTGGAGAGTTAAAGGTGTCAGCCACTGCACCCAGCCAACACCCAGTCTTTGCAAATATCTGAAAAGCTTTCCCAAGAAGGACAGGTACAAACAAGCCTGGACTACAAAGACCTACAATAAATACCTAACTCTTCAATGCCCAGACACAGATTAGCATCCATAAGCATTAAGACCATTCACAAAAGCATGACCTCACCAAATGAACCGGAGACCAATGCTAGAGAAACAGATATGTGACCTTTAAGATAGAAAATTCAAAATAACTGTTTTGAGGAAGCTCAAAGAAATTCCAGATAACACAGAGAAGGAATTCAGAATTCTATCAGACAAATTTAACAAAGAGATTGAAATAATTAAAAAGAAGCAGAAATTCTGGAGTTGAAAAATGCAACTGACATACTTAAGAATGCATTAGAGTCTTTTAGTAGTAGAACTGCTCAAGCAGAGGAAAGAATTAGTGAGCTTGAAGACAGTTTATTTGAAAACACAGACTCAGAAGAGACAAAAGAAAAAAAAGAAAACGAAAACAATAAAGCATGCCTACCGGATCTAGAAAATAGCCTCAGAAGGGCAAACTGAATAGTTATAGGCCTTACAAGGGAGGTAAAGAAAGAGATGGGGTAGAAAGTTTATTCAAACGGGGCCTTGTAGTAACCTCAAATCAAAAAACATACAACAACAGATACACTAAAAATAAAAAGCAAGAAAATAAATCATACCACCAGAGAAAATCACCTTCACTAAAAGGAAGACAGGAAGGAAGGAAAGAAGGAAGACCACAAAACAACCAGAAAACAAATAACAAAATGGCAGGAGTAAGTCTTCACTCATCAATAACAACATTGAATGAAAATGGACTAAACTCTCCAAACAAAACACACAGTGGCTACATGAATAAAAACAACACACCCAATGATCTGCTGCCTACAAGAAACACATTTCATTTATGAAAAACTATATACGCTGAAAAAAAAAGGGATGGAAAAAGATGTTGTTTGCAAATGGAAACCAAAAAAGAGCAGGAGTAGCTATATTTAGACAACACAGATTTGAAGACAAAAACTGTAAGAAGAGACAAAGAAGGTCACTACATAATGATAAAGGTGTCGATTCAACAAAAAGATATCCTCTCCCTCTCCCTCTCCCCTTTCCACGGTCTCCCTCTGATGCCGAGCCAAAGCTGGACTGTACTGCTGCCATCTCGGCTCACTGCAACCTCCCTGCCTGATTCTCCTGCCTCAGCCTGCCGAGTGCCTGCGATTGCAGGCACGCGCCACCACGCCTGACTGGTTTTCGTATTTTTTTGGTGGAGACGGGGTTTTGCTGTGTTGGCCGGGCTGGTCTCCATCTCCTAACCGCAAGTGATCCGCCAGCCTCGGCCTCCCGAGGTGCCGGGATTGCAGACGGAGTCTCATTCACTCAGTGCTCAATGGTGCCCAGGCTGGAGTGCGGTGGCCTGATCTCGGCTTGCTACAACCTCCACCTCCCAGCCGCCTGCCTTGGCCTCCCAAAGTGCCGAGATTGCAGCCTCTGCCCGGCCGCCATGCCATCTGGGAAGTGAGGAGCGTCTCTGCCTGGCCGCCCATCATCTGGGATGTGAGGAGCCCCTCTGCCTGGCTGCCCAGTCTGGGAAGTGAGGAGCGCCTCTTCCCGGCCACCATCACATCTAGGAAGTGAGGAGCGTCTCTGCCCGGCCGCCCATCGTCTGAGATGTGGGGAGCGCCTCTGCCCCGCCACCCTGTCTGGGACGTGAGGAGCGCCTCTGCCCGGCCGCAACCCCGTCTGGGAGGTGAGGAGCGTCTCTGCCCGGCCGCCCCGTCTGAGAAGTGAGGAGCCCCTCCGCCTGGCAGCCACCCCGTCTGGGAAGTGAGGAGCGTCTCCGCCCGGCAGCCACCCCGTCCGGGAGGGAGGTGGGGGTCAGCCCCCGCCAGGCCAGCCGCCCCGTCCCGGAGGGAGGTGGGGGGTCAGCCCCCGCCCGGCCAGCCGCCCCGTCCGGGAGGGAGGTGTGGGGTCAGCCCCCGCCCGGCCAGCCGACCCGTCCGGGAGGGAGGTGGGGGGTCAGCCCCTGCCCGGCCAGCCGCCCCGTCCGGGAGGTGGGGGGCGCCTCTGCCCGGCTGCCCCTTCTGGGAAGTGAGGAGCCCCTCTGCCCCGCCACCACCCCGTCTGGGAGGTGTACCCAACAGCTCATTGAGAACGGGCCATGATGACAATGGCAGTTTTGTGGAATAGAAAAGGGGGAAAGGTGGGGAAAAGACTGAGAAATCGGATGGTTGCTGTGTCTGTGTAGAAAGAAGTAGACATGGGAGACTTTTCATTTTGTTCTGTACTAAGAAAAATTCTTCTGCCTTGGGATCCTGTTGATCTATGACCTTACCCCCAACCCTGTGCTCTCTGAAACATGTGCTGTGTCCACTCAGGGTTAAATGGATTAAGGGCGGTGCAAGATGTGCTTTGTTAAACAGATGCTTGAAGGCAGCATGCTAGTTAAAGAGTCATCACCACTCCCTAATCTCAAGTACCCAGGGACACAAACACTGCGGAAGGCCGCAGGGTCCTCTGCCTAGGAAAACCAGAGACCTTTGTTCACTTGTTTATCTGCTGACCTTCCCTCCACTATTGTCCTATGACCCTGCCAAATCCCCCTCTGCGAGAAACACCCAAGAATGATCAATAAAAAAAAAAAAAAAAAGAAAAAAAAAAGATATAACAACTGTAAATATATATGCACCCAACACTGGAGCACACAAATATATAAAGCAAATATTATTAGATCTAAATAGAGATGGACCCCAATACAATAACAGCTGGAGACTTCACCACCCCACTTTCAGTACTGAACAGTTCATTTATACATAAAATCAACAACAAAAAAATCAGACTCAATCTATACTATAAATCAAATGGACCTAATAGATATTTGCAGAACATTTCAACCAACAGCTGTAGAATACACATTCTTTCCTCAGCACATGGATCATTCTCAAGGACAGACTATGTTAGGTCACAAAAAAAAGTCTTAACACATTCTGAAAAATCTGAAATAATATCAAGCATCTTCACTGACCACAGTGGAATAAAACTAGATATCAATAATGAGGAATTTTGGAAACTATAAAAAAAAATGAAAATTAAACAATATGCTCCTGAATGACCAATGGGTCAATGAAGAAATTAAGAAGGAAATTTAAAAATTTCTTACAACAAATGATAATGGAGGGCCAGGCGCAGTGGCTCACACCTGTAATCCTAGCACTTGGGGAGGCCAAGGCAGGTGGATCACCTGAAGTTGAGAGTTTGAGACCAACCTGGCCAACATGGTGAAACCTCATCTCTACTAAAAATACAAAAATTAGTTGGGCATGGTGGCATGTGCCTGAAATCCCAGCTACTTGGGAGGCTGAGGCAAGAGAATTGTTTGAACCCAGGAGGTGGAGGTTGCAGTGAGCCAAGATCACACCACTGCACTCCAACCTGAGCAACAGAGCGAAACTCCTTCTCAAAAAAAATAATGGAAACACAACATACCAAAATCTATGGGATACAGTGAAAGTAGCACTAAGAGGGAATTTTACAGCTAAAAGTGCCTACATCAAAAAACAAGAAAAACTTGAAATAAACAACCTAATAATGCATCTTAAAGAACCAGAAAGGAGCAAACCAAACACAAAATTAACAGAAAAAATAATAGAGATCAGAACAGAAATAAATGAATTTGACATGAAGACAACAATACAAAAGATCAACAAAACAAAAAGGTGGGTTTTGAAAAGATAAAATTGACAAATCTTTAGCCAGACTAAGAGAAAAAGAGAGATCTAAATAAATAAAATCAGAGAGGGAAAAGTAGATATTACAACTGATACCACAGAAATTCAAAGGATCATTATTGGCTACTATGAGCAACTATATGCCAATACGTTGTAAAATCTAGAATAAATGGATAAATTCCTAGACACACACAACCTAACAATATTTAACTATGAATAAATCCAAAACCTGAACAGACCAATAACAAGTAACAAAATCAAAACCATAATAAAAAGCACCCCGGCAAAGAAAATCCCAGGACCCAATGGCTTCAGTGCTGAATTCCACCAAACATTTAAAGAAGAACTAACACCAATCCTACTAAAACTATTCTGAAAAACAGAGGAGGGAATATTTCCAAACTCATTCTACGAGGCCAGTATTACCCTGTTACCAAAACCAAACACTTCAAAGAAAGAAAACTATAGGCCAATATCACTGATGAATATTGATGCAAAATTTAACAAAATACTAGCAAACTGAATTCAACAACACATTAAAAAGATCATTTATTATGACCAAATGGAATTTATCCCAGGGATGCAAGGATGGTTCAACAAATGCAAATCAGTGTGATATATCACATTAACAGAATGAAGACAAAAACTATATGATCATTTTGATGCTGAAAATGCATTTGATAACATCCAACATCTCTTCATGATAAAAACCTTCAAAAAACTGGGTACAGAAGGAACATATCTCCACATAATACAAGTCATTTATGGCAGACCCATAGCTAGTGTCATATTGAATAGGGAAAAATGGAAACCCTTTCCTGTAAGATAGGGAATATGACAAGGATGCCCACTTTCACCACTGTTACTCATTATAGTACTGGAAGAGCTAGACAGAGCAACTGGACAAGAGAATGAAATAATAGGCACCCAAACTGTAATGGAAGAAGTCAAATTATCCTTGTTTGCAGATAATATGATCTTATATTTGGAAACACCTAAAGCCTCCACACGCACAAAAAAAAAAAAAAAAAAAAAAGAGAGCTGATAAATTCAGCAAGGTTGCAGGATACAAAATCAACATACAAAAATCAGTGATATTTCTATATGCCAACAGCAAATAATCTGAAAAAGAAATCAGCAAAGTAATTCCATTTACAATAGCTACAAATAAAATAAAACACCTAGGAATTAACCAAAGAAGTGAAAGATCTCTTCATTGAAAACTGTAAAACACTGAGTGAAGAAATTAAAGACACACAAAAAAAGAAAGAAATCCCATGTTCATGGATTAAAAGAATAGATATTGTTAAAATGTTCATACTAGCCAAAGCAATCTACAGATTTAATGCAATCTCTACCAAAATACCATAACATTCTTCACAGAAATGGAAAAAAAAATCCTAAAATTTATAAGGATCCACAAAAGACCCAGAATAGCCCAAGTTATCCTGAGCAAAAAGAACAAAACTGGAAGAATCACATTACTGACTTCAAATTATACTACAGAATGACAGTAACCAAAATGGCATGGTATTGGCATACAAACAGACACATAGAGGTCAGTGGAATAGAAGAGAGAATCCAGAGATAAATCCATACATCTACAGTGAACTCAGTTTTGACAAAGATGCCAAGAACATACATGGGGAAAGGACAGTCTGTTCAATAAACGGTGCTGGGGAAACTGGTTATTCTTATGCAGAAGAATGAAACTAGACCCTATCTCTCACCTTATACAAAAATGAAATCAAAATGGATTAAAGATTTAAATCTGAGACCTCAAACTATGAAACTACTACAAGAAAACATTGGGAAAACTCTCCATGATGTTTGTCTGGGCAAAGATTTCTTGAGTAATAACCCACAAGCAAAGGCAACCAAAGTGAAATGGACAAATAGGGTCATATCAAGTTAAAAGCTTCTGCACAGTAATGGAAACAATCAACAGAGTGAAAAAGACAACCCAAAGAATGGGAGAAAATATTTGCAAATTATCCATCCAACAAGGGATTAATGGCCAAAATATAAAAGGAGCTCAATAGGCAAAACTCTAATAATCCAATTTAAAATGGGCAAAATATCTCAATAGATATTTCTCAAAAGACATACAAATGACAAACAGGTATATGTAAAAGTGCTCAATCACTGTTCATCAGAAAAACACAAATCAAAACTACAATGAGATGCCATCTCACCCCAGTTAAAATGGTTTTTATCCAAAAGCCGGGCAATAACAAATACTGGCAAGGATGTGGAGAAAAAGGAACCCTCATACACTGTTGGCAGGAATGTAAATTAGTACTACCACTAAGGAGAACAGTTTGGAGGTTCCTCAAAAAAACAAAAAATAGAGGAACCATATGATCCAGCAATCCTACTCCTAGGCATATACCTGAAAGAAAGAAAATCAGTATATTGAAAAGGTATCTGCACTCCCATGTTTAGTGCAAAACTGTTCCCAATAGCCAAGATTTGGAAGCAACCTAAGTGTCCATCAACAGACAAATGAATAAAGAAAATGTGGTACATACACACAATGGAGTACTATTCAGCCATAACAAAAAAAAAGAGATCCTGTCATTTGCAACAGCATGAATGGAGGACATTATGTTAAGTGAAATCAGCCAGTCAGAGAAAGACAAACTTTGCAGGTTCTCATTTGTGGGAGCTCAAAATTAAAACAACTGAACTCATGGAGACAGAGAGTAGAAGGATGGTTATCAGAGGCTGAGAAGGTTAGCAGCAGGCAAGAAGGGAAGGGGGATGGTTAATGGGTACAAAAAATATAGTTAGATAGAATAAGATCTAGTATTTGATAGCACAACAGGGTGACTCCAGTAAACAGTAATTTATTATACATTTAAAAATAAGTAAAATAATATCACTGGAATGTCTGTAATACAAAGAAATTATAAATGCTTGAGGTGATAGATATCTCATTTACTCTGATGTGATTATTATGCATTATAATCAAATATATTGCATCAAATATCAGAATATCTCAGCTACCCCATAAATATATACACCTATGTGTATAAGAAAAAAATTAAGAAAATTAGGAAAGCAATCTCATTTACAACAGCACCAAAAAATAACATAAGAATAATCATAACTAAGGAAGTGAAAGACTTATATACAGAAAACTAAAAAACATTGATTAAAGAAATTAAAGACGACATAAACAAACAGGCATTTCATGTTCATGGACTGGAAGACTTTTAATACTGTTAAAACACCCACACTACCCAAAGTCATCTACAAATTCAATGCAATCCCTATCAAAATCCCAGTGGCATTTTTATGGAAATAGGTAATAATTCTAAAACTCGTGTGAAACTACAAAAGACCACGAATAGCCAAATAAATTTTGAGAAAGAACAAAGCTAGAGGCATCATACTTCTCGATTTCAAAACATATTACAAAGTTACAGTAATAAAAATAATATAGTACTGGCATAAAGATAAGACATACATCAATGGGACAGTATAGACAGCCCATAAATAAATCCACACATTAACACTCAACCAATCTTCAATGAGGGTGCCAATGGGGGAAGGACAGTCTCTTCAACAAATGGTGCTGGGGAAACTGAATATCCTCATGCAAAAGAAAGAAGCTAGACTCTTACCCCATACAAAAATCAACTTAAAATTGATTCAAGATTTAAATATAAGACACAAACTATAAAACTCCTAGAAATAAACATAGGGGACAAGCTTCATGATATTGGTCTTGACAATGATTTCATGGCTATGACATCAAAAGCACAGACCAAAAAAAGCAAAAACTAAAAAGCTTATGCACAACACAGAAAACAATCAACAGAGTAAAAAGCAACCTAAGAAATAAGAAAATATTTGCAAACTATATATTTGATAAGAGGCTAATCTCCAAAATACGTAAGAAACACATACAACTCAATGGCAATAAAACTAATAATTAAAAAATGGGCTGGCCAGGCGTGGTGGCTCACGCCTGTAATCCCAGTACTTTGGGAGGCAGAGGGGGGCAGATCGCCTGAGGTCAGGAGTTCAAGACCAGGCTGACCAATATGATGAAACCCCATCTCTAATAAAATACAAAAATTAGCTGGGCGTGATGGCGGGTGCCTGTAATCCCAGCTATTTGGGAGGCTGAGACATGAGAATCGCTTGAACCCGGGAGGCAGAGGTTGCAGTGAATTGAGATCACTCCATTGTACTCCAGCCTGGGCAACAAGTGCGAAACCCTGTCTGGAAAAAAAAAAAAAGGTCTAAGGACTTGGGGAAAAAAAAAAGTGGGCTAAGGACTTGAATAGACATTTCTCCAAAGAAGATGCACAAATGACCAAGAGGTATGTAAGAAAATGTTCAACATTAGTCATTGGGGAAAGATAAATCAGAACTACAATGAAGTATCATCTCGCGCCTGTCAGGATGACTATTACCAAAAAGCCAAGTGTTGGTAAGGATGTAGAGAAAGTGGAACGCCTGTACACTGTTGTTGGGAATACTAAACAGTAGAGCTTCTATGGAAAACAGTATGAAGGTCACTCAAAAAATTAAAAATTGGCTGGGCCTAGTGGCTCACACCAATAATCTCAGTGACGCAGGAGAGGCTGAGGTGGGAGGATCGCTTGAGGCCAAAAGTTCATGATCAGCCTGGGCAACAAAGTGACACTCCATCTCTAAAATTTTTTTTAAATTATTCAGGTGTGGTGGCACATGCCTAGAGTCCAGCTATTTGGGAGGCTGAGGCAGGAGGATCACTTGAGCTCAGAAGTTCGAGGCTGCAGTGAGCTAAGATCACGCCACTGTATTTCAGCCTGCGCAACAGAACAAGACCCAGTCTCTAAAAACAAAACAAATAATTAAAAATGGAAAAACCACATGCTCTAGCAATTCCAAAAGAACTGAAATCAGTATTTCAAAGAGGTATCTGCACTCACATGTTCACTGCGGCGCTATTCACAATAGCAGAGGTGTAGAAATATCCATTGGCAGATGAATGGATAAAGAAACTATGGTATATACATACAATGGAATATTATTCAAGCATTCAGTCTTAAAAAAAAAGAAATTCTGCAGTATATGATAATATGGATGAACTGTGAGGACATCCTACTAAATGAAATAAGTCAGCCACAAAAAGACAAATACTGCATGATTCAACTTATATGAGAAATCTAAAATAGTCAAATCATAGAATCAGAAATGGAATGGTGATTGCTAGGGACTGGGGGGATGGAGAGAGTTACCAACCAATGGAAATAAAGTTTCAGTTAAGCAAAATGAGTAAGTTCTAGAGATCTGCTGTATAATTATCATACCTATTATATTTATACTGTATTGTACGCGTAAAATTTTGTTGAGAGTAGATCTCTTCTGACAATAAAATAAAAAATTAGGCTGGGCGTGGTGGCTTATGCCTGTAATCCCAGCACTTTGGGAGGCCAAGGCGAGTGGATCACCTGAGGTCAGGAGTTCGAGACCAGCCTGGCCAACATGGTGAAACCCCCATCTCTACCAAAAATACAAAAAATGAGCTGGGCATGCTGGCACACTCCTGTAATCTCAGCTACTCGGGAGGCTGAGGCAGGAGATTGCTTGAACCTGGGAGGCGGAGGCTGCAGTGAGCCAAGATTGCACTGCTGCACTCCAGCCTGGGCAACAGAGCAAGACTCTGTCTCAAAAAAAAAAAAAATTAAGTTACACAATCATGAAACTATTTGTTTTATTGATTGATTGATGGACTGACTGAATGACTTTTGAGACAGAGTCTCACTCTGTCACCCAGGCTGGAGTACAGTAGCACGATCTCAGCTCACTGTGACCTCCACCTCCCAGGTTCAAGTGATTCTCGTGCCTCAGCCTCCCGAGTAGCTGGGATTGCAAGTGCACACGCCACCACACCTGGCCAATTTTTTGTATTTTTGGTAGAGACGGGGTTTCACCATGTTGGCCAGGCTGGTCTTGAACTCCTGAGCTCAAGTGATCTACCCACCGTGGCCTCCCAAAGTGCTGGGATTACAGGCATAAGCCACCATGCCTGGCCATGAAACTATTTGTTTTAAAGGATTCCAAAATATAACCCTTCATCTGCTAGATGTGCCCAGCCTATTTAATGGGCCAGGCCCAGTGGACCACACCTGTAATCCCAACACTTTGGGAGGCTGAGGGAGGAGGATGGCTTGAGTCCAGGAGTTCAAGACCAGCCTGGGCAACATAGTAAGGCCCGCATCTCTACAAAAAAAAAAAAAATTAAAAATTAGCCAGGTGTGGTGGCATGCACCTGTAGTCTTAGCTACCTGGGAGGCCAAGGAGGGAGGATTGCTTAATCATGATAGGTCAAGGCTGCAGTGAGCCACAATCATGGCACTGCACTCCAGCTGGTGACAAGCAAAACCCTAAAAAAATAAAAATAAAAACAACAACAACAAAAAACAATGTATGGTGTCACTGGCCTAGAGAAATTTGATCTAACATGTGAAATAAGAAAGGACAGGAACACAACTCCAAGTAGTAAAGATTTCGAAATTAAAATTCTCAGACTCCTAGGCTTACCCTAAGGAAGGCAAAGCTACTGACAGGCAACAACAGAACTTACACTGAAGTCACTGAATTTAGGCCCCCAAAAAAAGATTTTAACATTTCTTTTACTCCTAATGTTACACTTTCTACTCACTCCTGTTACATTCTAATTTCAACCAGTAGACCAAGGTTTTATTCAAAACAGCTGTTACTCAAAAAGTAATTTTACTTCTTCATTTTCATAACATTAAAATATACTTTTTAGTAATGCTTAGATCTACCAAATATGTAAAATAGTGATATTTTTACTCTAAATTACAGACTATTCTTTCAATTCAAAGAAAACAACCTGTAAACAAGTTTGTAGATTTATAAACAGCTGTCTTCAGTAATTCAACAAATACCTCTAGTTTAACAAATATTCAACTTTTATTGTTTTAATCACAGGACATCTTACAAAGTTTCTGAATTCAGATCTTTTCCATAAACTGGAAAACTCAGAACTTTTCCATAAATAGCAAATGCCAACCTATAAATTGTAAAAATAAAATACTTTCATAAAATACTCTGAAGCCAAGGTCCTTTTAGAAAAAACAAACACTTTCATAAAATATTAATCAAAATCAACCTTTGAGGGTTTTTAAAAAAATAGCCTCAGAAACACAGAGGGTCCAAGAAAAAATAATGTAAGACTTTTAAAAGCAAAAGATGACTGGTTTATGCCGTAAAGAAACCAAACCAAAGAAACAGGAAAGAGAAAGACATGTGGGGGCATGCGACTGTAGTCCCAACTACTCAGGAGGCTGAGGCAGGAGGATCCCTTGAGCCAAGGAGTTTGAGGCTATAGTGCACGGTGATTATGCCTGTGAATAGCCACTACACTCTAGCCTGGGAAACACAGTGAGACCTTGTCTCTAAAAAAATGTTAAAAATAAGAAGGAAATAGGAAAGAAAACCAGACATCAATCACGTGGGTCACAAAAAGTTAAATACTCAGATAAATCACCTATAAGGTAAATAAGCCTAGGTTAAGAAAGTTGGAAAGAAAATACCTTCTGAGTCAAAGGAATCCCAAATAATGCAAGCACACATACACACTACAGTTTCTCTCCCTAAATTGGTATAGTCAGCAAATATAAAAGGCACTCTGAAAATCAGGTAGTTTAAACCAAATTAATAGATTTGCCACATAGGTAGCTAATGCTGGAAATATAAATTAGTCTAACGTTTTTGGAAGGCAAACTCGCAAAGGATCAGACAAGAATCTTTAAAAGAACACGGAGGCAGTGTGGGGGCAGAGGTTGGTGACATTGTAGCTCTGTACAAACTCTAAAGCAGAAATGGCAAATCAGTCTTATAGGCAATTAGGCCCACTGACATGCTGGAGCACTAAGCTAAAAGGCTCTCAGGCTATTTGAACATACACAGAATAAAGAATGGCTGCCAAACAGACAGGAAAAAAAGAGAATACCTTTGTGTCAAGTAATTATGATGACAAATAATCATGTACAGTAAAACCTTAATCATTCACTCATTCTCATGACCAAAGCAAATGATGAGGTGGGGTATGCAACAGGAGAGATTAACATCTTTCAAAACTTGTTCCATGTTCTTAACTTTTTTTGTTTTTTTTTTCTTTGAGATGAAGTTTCACTCTTGTTGCCCAGACTGGAGTGCAATGGTACTATCTTGACTCACTGCAACCTCCACCTCCCAGGTACAAACGATTCTCCTGCCTCAGCTTCCCGAGTAGCTGGGATTACAGGCATGCGCCACCACACTCGGCTAATTTTGTATTTTTAGTAGAGATGGGGTTTCTCCATGTTGGTCAGGCTGGTCTCAAACTCCCAACCTCAGGTGATCCACCTGCCTCGGCCTCCCAAAGTGCTGGGATTACAGGTGTCAGCCACTGCGCCCGGCCCTCTTAACTTTTTAAATGCTGCATTTCTCTTTCTCTGTATTTTCCAGAATCCTTCTCCCATTTCCAATCTTCCCCTAGGAGGTGGAAAGGCCTGAGAGTAATACATAATTATTTCAAAATCAGGCCAGGCGCACTGGCTCACACCTGCAATACACCAGCACTTTGGGAGGCTGAGGCAGGCGGATTACCTGAGGTCAGGTGTTCGAGACTAGCCTGGCCAATATGGTGAAGCCTCATCTCTACTAAAAATACTATATATATATATATTAGCCGGGCATGGTGGTGGGCACCTATAATCCCAACTACTCAGGAGGCTGAGGCAAGAGAATTGCTTGAACTTGGGAGGCAGAGGCTGCAGTGAGCTGAGATTGTGCCACTGCACTCTAGCCTGGGCAAGATTGTCTCAAAAAGAAAATCAAGAAACCAGGGCTTAGAGTAGTGACATGATAAAATTTGCCAAAAGTCTACATCAGCTTTCTGAAAGCACCCACTTACAACCTAAGATAAAGTATTTCCAACATACTCTTTGCTGCAGCAGTGTCTAGACAGGCAAATAACTGCTAAAAGTGCCCCAGGTCCCTTGCTAAAGGCAGAAATCACTTATCAGTCTCAGCAATCTTTATCCTGCATCTTCTCAACAGGATGCTCCAGGAAGGCAATAGCAATAGATCAAATTCCTTAGGGGATAAAACCTACATTCCATCCTTGTTCAAATCTGACAATAAAGGTAATCACTTTAATTTTTAATTTAACAGAGAACATTTATTGAATGCTTACTAGGTGCCAGATACTGTTCCGAGAGTTTTATATGTTTTCTTTATTTAATCTTCAAAGTAACCTCAAAAAATTGGTACTATAGTTCTCCCATTTTACAAAAAGGAAACAGAGGCACAGAGATGTTAAGACAGTGTCTGAACTCTAAAGGAGATATGCAAATGGCCAGTAAGCACATGAAAAGATACTCAGCACCATTAGTTATATGGGGAAACAAATCCTAACAATTACATACCACAACATACCTACTAGGACGACTATAATTTTTCAAACAAGTGTTAGTAAATATATAGAGAAACTGGAATTATATACCTTCATACATGGGGATAGAAAATGATACAGCTGCTGTGAAAAAGTTTGGCAGTTCCTCTAAAAACTAAACATCGAATTATCATATGACCCAGCAATTCCACTCTCAGGTATATATCGAAAGGAACTGAAAGCAGGGATTCACACAGATACTTGCATGTACACTGCAGCATTGTTCAGAACAGTCAAAAGGTAGAAACACCCCAAATATCCATCTACAGATTAACAGGTAAACAAAATGTGGTATATTGATAAATGGAATATTATTCACCCATTAAGAGAGATTAAGGCCAGGTGTGATGGCTCTTGCCTGTAATCCCAGCACTTTGGGAGGCCAGAGTGGACATCTCTTGGGGCCAGGACTTCTAGACCAGCCCGGGCAACATAGAAAGATCCTGTCTCTACTAAAAACTCAAAAAACTAGCTGGGCATAGTGGTGCAAGCCCATAGTCCTAGCTAATCAGGAGGCTGGGCAGGGGAGGCATCCCTTGAACCCAGGAGGTCGAGGCTGTAATGACCTGTGATCATCCCACTATACTCCAGCCTAGGCAACACAGGGAAGGAGGTAGGAGGAAGTAAGGATGGAATTAAGTTCAATACATGATACAACATGAATGAACCTCAAAAACATTATGCTAAGTGAAATGAGTCAGATGCAGGAAAACAAACTGTATGATTCCACTTACATGAAATGGGCAAATTCATGGAAACAGAAAGTGAGATAGTGGTTAAGTATTAACTGCCAGTGGTATTAATAGTGAGGAAAAAAGGAGGATGGGGAGTTACAGGGTTTCTTTTTGGAGTGATGAAAAAGTTTTGGAAATAGTTAGCAATGGTTGCACAACATTGTGAATGTAATTAATGCCACTAAATTATATACAGTTATAACTCAAGAGATATTGGGAGTTCAGTTCCAGACCACTGCAATAAAGGGAGTAACACAATAAAGCAAGTCACATGAATTTCTTTGGTTTCCCAGTGCATATAGAAGTTATGTTTGCACTATACTATAGTGTATTAAGTGTGCAATAACATTATGTCTTAACAAACATACCTATCTTAATTTTAAAATATTGATTTAAAAAATGTGGCTGGGCGCAGTGGCTCACACCTGTAATCCCAGCACTTTGGGAGGCCGAGGCAGATGGATCACGAGGTCAGGAGATCGAGACCATCCTGGCTAACACAGTGAAACCCCGTCTCTACTAAAAATACAAAAAATTAGCTGGGTGTGGTGGCGGGCGCCTGTAGTCCCAGCTACCCAGGAGGCTGAGGCAGGAGAATGGCGTGAACCTGGGAGGCGGAGTTTGCATTGAGCTGAGACTGTGCCACTGCACTCCAGCCTGGGCGACAGAGCAAGATTCCGTCTCAAAAAAAAATGCTAATGATCATCTGAGCCTTCAATAAGTCACAATCTTTTTGACAGTGGAGGGTCTTGACTTGATGTTAACGGCTGCTGACTGATCAGGGTGATGGCTGCTGAAGGCCAAGGTGGCTACAGCAATTTCTTTCTTTTTTATTTATTTTATTTCTTTCTTTCTTTATTTTTCTGAGACAGAGTCTCACTCTGTCGCCCAGGCGGGAGTGCAATGGTGTGATCTCAGCTCACAGCAACCTCTGCCTCCCGGGTTCAAGCGATTCTCCTGCCTCAGCCTCCTGAGTAGCTGGGATTACAGGTGCACACCACCATGCCCCACTAAATTTTGTATTTTTAATATAGAAGGGGTTTCACTATGTTGGTCCGGCTGGTCTCGAACTCCTGACCTCATGACCTGCCCACCTCGTCCTCCCAAAGTACTGGGATTACAGGTGTGAGCCACCGCACCCGTGCAGCAATTTCTTAAAATAAGATGACAATGAAGTTTGCTGCATCAACGGACTCAGGTCCTTTCACAAAAGATTTTTCTGTAGCACACAATGCTGCGTGGGTAGCATATTGCCCATAGTACAATTTCTCTCAAAATTGGTGACAACCCTCTCAAAACCTGCTACTGCTTTAACAACTAAGTTAGTTTATGTAATATTCTTAATCCTTTGTTTTCATTTCAACAATATTCACCACATCTTCACCAGGAGTAGATTCTATCTCAAGAAACCACTTTATTTGCTCATCCATAAGAAGCAATTTGTCATGCTTAAGTTTTATCATGAGATTGCAGCAATTCAATCACATCTTCAGGTTCTACTTCTAATTCTAGTTATCTTGCTATTTCCACCACATCTGCAATGACCTCTTCCACTGAAGTCTTGAAACCCTCAAAGTCATCCATGAGGCTTGGAATCACCTTCTTCCAAACTCCTGATAATGTTGATATTTGACCTAATCCTACAAATCACAAATGTTCTTAATGGCACCTAGAATGGTGAATCTTTTCCAAAAGCTTTTCCATTTACTTTGCCCAGATCCATCAGAGGAATCACTATCTATGGCAGTTATGGCCTCATTAAATGTATTTTCTTAATAATAAGACTGGAAAGTCAAAATTATTTCTTGGAACCATGGGCTGCAAAATGGATGTTGTGTTAGCAGGCATGAAAGCAACATTCCTCTCTGTGTGTATCTGCATCACAGCTCTTGGGTGACCAGTTGCATTGCCAATGAGCAGTAACATTCTGAAAGTAATCTTTTGTTCTGAACAGTAGGTCTCAATGGTGGGCTTAAAATATTCAGTAAATCATGCTATAAAAAGACGTGCTGGCATCCAGGCTTTGTCGTTCCATGAATCAAGCAAAAGCAGAGTAGATTTAGCATAATTCTTAAGGGTCTTAGGATTTTCAGAATGGTAAATGAGTACTGGCTTCAACTTAAAGTCACCAGCTGCATTTGCCCCTAACAAGAGAGTTGGCCTGTTCCTTAAAGTCAGGCATTGACTTCTCTCTAGCTATGAAAGTCCTAGACGGCATCTTCTTACAAGATAAGGCTGTTTTGTCATTAAAAATCTAGCTGGGTGCAGTGGCTCACACCTGTGATCCCAACACTTTGGGAGGCCAAGGTGAGAGGACAGCTTGAGGCCAGGAGTTCAAGACCAGCCTGGTCAACATAGCAAGATCCTGTCTCTACAAAAACATTTAAAAAAGAAAAAATACAAGCATGTCAGTGTGTGCCTACAGTCCCAGCTACTTGGGAACCTGAGGCAAGAGGACTGATTGAGCCCAGGGCCCAGGAGTTTAAGGTTGTACCGAGCTATGACTGCATTACTGCACTCCAGCCTAGGTGACAGAGCAAGACTCCATCTCAAAAAAAAAAAAAAAAAAATTCTTGTTTAGTGTAGCCATCTTCAACAGTAATCTTAGCTAGATCTTCTGGATAACTTACTACAGTTTCTATATCAGTACTTGCTGCTTCACCTTTCACTTTTATGTTATGCAGATGGCTTCTTTCATTAAACCTCATGAACCAACCTGTTAGCTTCAAACTTTTCTTCTGTAGCGTCCTCGCCTATCTTAGCCTTCATAAGAACTGAAGAGAATTAAGGTCTTACTCTAGATTAGGCTTTGGCTTAATGAAATGTTGTGGCTGGTTTGATCTTCTATCTAGATCACTAAAACTTTTTCCATATTGCCAATAAAGCTGTTTCACTTTCTTATCATTCATAATGCTCATTCAAGTAGTATTTTTAATTTCCTTCAAAAACTTTTCCTTTGCATTCACAACTTGGCTAGCTGTTTGGTACAAGAGGCCTAGCTTTTGGCCTATCTCAGCTTTTGACGTGCCTTGCTTTCTAAGCTCAATCATGTCTAGCTTTTGATTGAAATAGAGAGACATGTAACTCTTCACCTCACTTGACCCTTAGAGGGCATTGTAAAGTTATTAATTTGTCTAATTTCAATACTGTTGTGTCTGAGAAAACAAAGAGGCCCAATGAGAGGGAGAGACTCAGCAGAACAGCAGTCAGAATACACACAACATTCATCAATTAAGTTCCCCGTCTTATATAGGCATGGTTCATGGCACCTCAAAACAATTAACAGTAACATCAAAGATCACTGAGCACAGATCACCATAACAGATACAATAATAATGCAAATGGCTGAAATATTGCAAGAACTACCAAAATGGGGCAGAGACACAAAGTGAGCACATTTTTGGAAAATGGCACCTACAGACTTGCTCAGGGCAGAGTTGCCACAAACCTTCAATTTGTAAAAAAACACAATATCTGCGAAGCCCAATAAAGTTCAATAAAATGACATAGGCATGTATTTTTAAATGGTCAAACCAGCAAACCTTGTTATATATATTTTACCACAATGTTTAAAAGTTGATTTAACTAGCATACACTTAGGGAAACCCAATATCTGCAAATAAGGTATTTGAGAGTTTTTGATTAATTGTGTTACTGCTAAATTCACTTGCCAAAGATGAGAGCCCACCATGTAACTGAAAGGATGGAGTACCCAGTTATCCTTTAGGAGATTCTACACGAGCTTTACAAATAAGATTAACAGTATGATAATTATACATTTTCTTTCTTTCTTTTTTTTTTTTTTTCTTTTTTTTTTTTTTTTTTTTTTGAGATGGGGTCTCACTCTGTCACCCAGGCTGGAGTGAGGTGGCACGATCTCGGCTCACAGCAACCTCCACCTCCCGGGTTCAAGCAATTCTCCTGTCTCAGCTTCCCGAGTAGCTGGGACTACAGGTGCACGCCACCACGCCTGGCTAATTTTTGTATATTTAGTAGAGACAGAGTTTCACCATATTGGTCAGGCTGGTCTCGAACTCCTGACCTCAGGTGATCCGCCCACCTCAGCCTCCCAAAGTGCTGGGATTACAGGCGTGAGCCACCACACCCAGATCTAAATTTTCTTTTTATTTGTACCCTTAACATTCTCAATTTGGGGGATATTTAGAAAAAGGCAAGGAATATAGGGTTTATATTTTAATTCAATTGTTAGGTCACAGCAATTTGCTGAAAAGACTTACTGAACTGCATCCACAGATCAAGAGGCTCCCAATGGCTTGTATGATAGCATACTCTTACTAATATGACAAAATGTCTGAACCCATTGAACCTAAAACTGCAGTGGAAATAAAGGGTGCTGTAGAAATGCTCAAGGAAATAAACTTCTACAAATTTAAATGTGACATGTGGATTAAGCAGAAAGCAAGTGGACACCGTATTCATTTTCCAAACTACATGCCCTAAGCTCAGCAAAGTTACAGATTGTGAATAACTACAGAGTTTCACAGAACTCTTTGGTTAAAAAAGTCAATTTTAGGCTGGGCGCGGTGGCTCATGCCTGTAATCCTAGCGCTTTGGGAGGCCAAGGCGGGTGGATCACCTGAGGTCAGGAGTTTGAGACTGGCCTGACCAATATGGTGAAACTCCATCTCTACTAAAAATACAAAAATTAGCCAGGCGTGGTGGCGTGCGCTTGTAGTCCCAGCTACTTGGGAGGCTGAAACAGGAGAATTGCTTGTACCCAGGAGGCAGAGGTTGCAGTGAGCTGAGATCAGGCCACTGCACTCCAACCTAGGCAACAGAGTGAGACTCCATTCCAAAAAAAGAAAAAAAAAGTCAATTTCAGAAAAGATTCATTACTTTTGATGAGTACAGAGTCTACATTTTCATTTCTGTAGTTTGCACTAAAGTATAAACACCAAGGTAATCCAAATCCCAATTGTCTGCCCTAACAGTAGGATTCCGTTTCAAGATTATCAGAACAGAAAATAAACTGAGCCCACTAAGAATACCTGGAATTTTGGAAATCAATATACAAATCCAAAACCATCACAGAAAAGTGTTTACTCGGTTCTTTAATAAACATTCTCTCAGGGCTGGGCACCTTGGCTCACGCCTATAATCCCAGCACTTTGGGAGGCTGGCAGATCACTTGAGGTCAGGAGTTCGAGATAAGCATGGCCAACACAGCAAAACCCCGTCTCTACTAAAAACACAAAAAATTAGCTGGGCGTAGTGACATGTGCCTGTAATCTCACCTACTCAGGAGGCTGAGGCAAGAGAATTGCTAGAACCCGGGAGGTGGAGGTTTCAGTGAGCCAAGATTGTGCCCCTGTACTCCATCCAGCCTGGGAAACAGAGAGAAACTTATCTCAAAAAATAAAAATAAAAATAAAAAACATTATCTCGGGCCACGTGTGGTGGCTCACACCTGTAATCCCAGCACTTTGGGAGGCCGAGGTAGGCAGATCACTTGAGGACAGGAGTTTGAGACCAGCCTGGCCAACATGGTAAAACCCCGTCTCTACTAAAAGTACAAAAATTAGTCAGAAATGGTGGTGCACGCCTGTAGTCCAGCTCCTCGGGAGGCTGAGGCATGAGAATCGCTTGAATCCGGGAGGCAGTGGTTGCAGTGAGCCAAGATTATACCACTGCACTCCAGCCTGGGCGACACAGCGAGATTCTATCTCAGGGGAAAAAAAAAAAAAAGAAAGAAAAAAAAAATCTTCAAAAAATGTTGAGACCAGGAGTAACGTAAATCTGAAGTCTAAATCAAGATGTACCCTACCTGACTTTCAACAATCAGTATAAAAAATCTTTTAAATCTTTAAATGTTTTTCATTCTTCACTAGCAATAAAGCTGTAACTGTTTTGCTCATTCATTCCTTTGCAAATATTCCTTGGGCCATTTATTCTGCATTTAGTATTAAGTCCTGGGCATGGAAATACAGCAATAGACAAGCCAGACACAATTCCTATCTTCATGGGTCTTACTATCTAGTGAATGTTAGAAGCCATAAATAAATAACTACACAAATATTTAACTAGTTATAATTGTGGTAAGTAAGAAACTACACCAAACTAAGATGCAGTCTTCAACTGGCTGTATGATCTTAGACCTCAACTTCTTCATCTGTAAAACTAAGGGGTAGACCTGAATGATTTCTTCTTCTTTGTTTTTTCTTTTTTTGAGACAGGTTCTCACTCTATTGCCCAGGCTGGTGTGCTGTGGTATGATCACTGCTCACTGCAGCCTTGACCTCCCAGGTTCAAGTGATTCTCCTGCCTCAGCCTCCCAAGTAGCTGGTACTACAAGTGTGCACCAGCATGCCCGGCTAATTTTTGTATTTTTTTGCAGAGATGAGGTTTCGCCATGCTGCCCAGGTTGGTACTGAACTCCTGGGTTCAAAAGCCATCCACCCATCTCGGCCTCCCAAAGTGCTGGCACTATAGGCGTAAGCCATCCCGCCTGGCCCTGAATGATTTCTTGAGATCCCTTTCTATTAAACAATTTTACAAACCCAGAAGTATAAAACTTTGCTTCCAGAGTCCCTTTGTCAGAATATTTACATTTTTAGGATCAGCAAAGTAATACAGTCCCCATCTCCCGAAACATGAAGGTTTTTTTGGCACAAAAACGTAAAGTTAGATGGTCACTAATCTTTGCTGTTACAAATTTTTAAGACCAAATTCCATATATTAAATATATTATGATATTGTAAACCAAGCTTGTCCAAAACCTGCGGCCCATGGGCCTCATGAGGACCAGGATGGTTTTGAATGCAGCCCGACATAAATTCGTAAACTTTCTTAAAACATTATGAATTTTTTGCAATTTTTTTTAAGCTCATTAGTGTTAGTGTATTTTATGCGTGGCCCAATACAATTCTTCGTCTTCCAATGTGGCCCAGGGAAGACAAAAGATTGGACACCCCTGTTGTAAACTAACTTATAAAGAATAAGTGGGAAAAAAAAGTATGTCCATAAATTATCTGTATGTATCAGAATTACTTTGATAGCTATTTAAAATGCACATTCCCAGGCCCCAACCAAAACCGACTACAGAATACCTGGAGGTCAGGCTTGGAATCTGCTCTTTTTGGTAAGTTTCTCAAGTTAATTCTAATATACACTAAATGTTTGTTCTACTCAAAGCAGAACAAATAATATTAGAAGAAGTAGCTTCAGAGAAAAACACTTCAGGATAAGAACTATAATAAGCTTACCTGTGTAGCTTTGTCCCTCATGCAAGGTGCAGCTTGCCCATGGCTATCCCGAGGCCAGTGTCCAGCAAGATACGGTGCAGCAAGAGTATCCAGGGAGGAAGTGCGTCGGATAATACTGGAGGGGCTTGAAGAAGGCTGTCGTGTTTTGTCACCTAGATTTAAGACAAAAATGCTTGTTTTAATAAAATTAGGAAAGAAACAAAGCAGAAACTAAGTTTTAAACTATGTAGAAAGTTCTCCAACTTAACTATGGTAATCCCCTTTAACCACAGGGGATACTTCCAAGACCCCCAGTAAAGATGCCTGAAATGGCACATTGTACTCAATTCTATATACACTGTTTTTTCCTATATATACATATCTATGATAAAGTTTAACTTGTAAGTTAGGCACAGCATGAGATTAACAACAATAACTAATAATAAAATAGAACAAGTATAACAACAAGCCAGCATCACTGCTCTTGGGCTTTGAGGCCATTAAGTAAAACAAAAATTCCTCGAACATCAGCACTGCAAAACCATGACAGTCAATCCAACGATTGAGAGGGCTCCAAAGTGACTAGCAGGTAGGGAGCATAGACAACGTGCATACGTTGGACAAAGGAATGATTCACGTTCCTGGTGGGGGATGCGAGATAGCAAGACATTTCGTCACCCTACTCAGAATGGCGCAATTTATAACATATAAATTGTTTATTTCTTGAAATTTTCCACTTAATCTTTTCAGACCAAGGTTGACTAGAAGTAACTGAAACCATAAAAAAAAAAAGGATAAGGATTACTGTATATAAACAGAAACAAAAAGGAACAAGCTACTCATACACGCAATAACTTTCATGACTCTCCAGAGAACTATACTGAGTGAAAACAGTTGACCCACCCTAGGCCTAGCAAATCTAAATCTCCAGGGATTGGGCCCAGGAATTTTCCATAGAATCAATGTATCTCTCATATCCAACAAATTCTTATTTGGATCTCCTTCTTGTTTATAAATTAAACCCTTGTTCGATACATTTCAGGGAAATGGGAGGACATAATGAAAATAAGACAGGAAGGTAATTATCATGGGAAAATATAAAATAAATCAGTGACAATCTTTCACTAAATATTGTCACTAAAAAATTAGTGACAATGTTATTTGATAATGACATCTAAAAGTAATACTGGCACTTAGTGATCATCTTATTCCTCAATCTTCACAGAGGATGGAGTAATAACACATCTGCTTCACAATAACTTAGTACCAGCCCAAAAGATTAAGACAAATTAACACCTTGCTAATTGATCCCTTGCCTTTGAGAGTATCCTAGGGCATGCATAAACCAAATCAAGTGCCAAGAACCAACCACCAGCTTTGTAACAGGGGTAGGTTTCATTTCTGAGCAAACAAAGTGGGTATTTGCCAATATAATAGTTATAAGACATCCAATGTAAATTAAAATAGTAAAATAATATGGTGGCAATAAAGCATATTACTTATTAATGTTTCCTCACATTAATAAGTAATGTGAGGAAAGACACATATAAAAAAGTTGGTTTTGGCCAGGCGTGGTGGCTCAAGCCTGTAATCCCAGCACTATGGGAGGCCGAGGTAGGAGGATCACCTGAGGTCAGAAGTTCGAGACCACCCTGGCCAACATGGCGAAACCCCGTCTCTACTAAAAATACAAAAATTAGCCAGGTGTGGTGGCGGGCGCCTGTAATCCCAGCTACCGAGGAGGCTGAGGCAGGAGAATCGCTTGAATCCTAGAGTTGGAGGTTGCAGTGAGCCAAGATCGCACCACTGCACTCCAGTCTGGCGACAGAGTGAGACTCTGTCTCAAAAAAAAAAAAAAAAAAAAAGAAGTGGGTTTTGCAATAACATCTTCAATAATGCAGGCCAAGCTTTGATACATCAAAATAAACTTTAAGTACCAACCAACACCTCATACATGATTTAATAATTGGAAAATAAATCTATGTATAATTTTCTGTGAGAATAATTCTAACTACCCTTACCCCATAGTTGCCAGTAAAAAAGGAAAATGTGTTCTCCTAAATAAATGGACCACATTAAAACTATATTCAATGTGCACATCCTTTAAGATTAAGCCCCCAAATCAAAGTGGCATTAAAAAAACTATTTCAAAATTAATGATCAACTTTCAAGTTTATTTACAAAAAGAGCACATAACAATGAATTGCAGAAAACTAGAAACAACAAAATGTCCAAAATGAGAAGATGATTGGACACATTACGGCAGAGTCACATAATGTAATGATAGGCCATTCAAAGAATTAAGCACATAGATACACACGTCCTGATCTAAAGACTCATTCATGATAAAGTCAGTGAAAAAAGGCAAGTCCTCACATGTTTATAAAAGGCATGATCTCATATTTTGTTTTAAAAAGTAATTAGATGTGCATAAAAGTGTTTGTTTTGTTTTGTTTTTGACATACAGTCTCGCTCTGTCACCCAGGCTAGAGTGCAGTGTGGCGATCTAGGCTCACTGCAACCTCCACCTCCCAGGTTCAGGTGATTCTCCTGCCTCAGCCTTCCAAGTAGCTGGGACTACAGGTGCCAGCTAACTTTTGTATTTTTAGTAGAGACGGGGTTTCACCATGTTGACCAGGCTGGTCTTGAACTCCTGATCTCAAGTGACTCGCCCGCCTCAGCTTCCCAAAGTGCTGGGATTACAGGCATGAGGCACCACACCCGGCCAGTGTTAGTACATTTATTTTTTAAATCTGGAAAAAGTATGCACCTAACCTTCTGGGGGACAGAATTAGTGTTTTAATTACTAATTTAGGCATTTCTATAATGTTTGAATTTTTACATGGAGTATACTGTTCGAGAAAAGGTATTAAAACAATAGAAACACTTTTAAAACAAGTTACTAATTTTCTGAAATCATAAAATGCTTAAAAATACAAAAATATCTATATTAGATTTTGGGAATTTTTATGGTTTATATCTGGGGTTGGGAAAACTACAGCCTACAGGCCAAATCTGTCTTGCACCTGTTTTTTGTATGGCTAGCAATCTAAAACTGGCTTGTACATTTTTTAATGGTTGGGGGACAAATTAAAATATTTTGTAATCCATAAAAATTAAATCACATTCCAACTTTAATGTCCATAAGTAAAGTTTTATTGGAACACAAATATGATCATTCATTTACAGGTTGTCTATGGCTGCTTTTGTGCTTAAAAAAAAAGGCAGAATTAAGTACACACAGCAAAGACCTCATATGGCCCTCTCATTGCTTCACACTGCTGCTCAGCACTACAAATCATAATGACAAAGTTATGCCATGTGCATCTCTTGTCTGGGTGAAAAGTCAAATTCGAAGATGATACGTAAAATTTCATATAAATCAGCATTAGCAGATGAACATTTGCAATTGATTTGATGATATGGAACGCTAACTTTTAACTAGAATTAAGTGAAATGTTATCCCTTTAAAAAGAATTCCCTTTTCTCATTAGAGCTGTATTACAAAAAATGCATTCAATTATTATATTTTGAAATTTTGTCCTTTAAAAATTTGTGAAAAATTGCATGCTCTCTTATTATAGTAGTGCCTACATAATATCTTCGATTTTACCTCTTGACCTGTAAAGTCTAAAATTTTACTATGTGGTACATTACAGAAGAAGTTTGCTGACCCCTGGTTTCTACTGCATGTCTTTATGTCTTGGTTTCTGTGCTACAACACCCTCATATATTTTATCTTTTGGCAGGGGAAGGGGATGAGCTTAGCTCATTTATGCTTAACTTTCATAGGGGCTTTAAAAATATTTTAAAGATATATTCATAATATTATATTACAGTGTTATTCTAGTTCTATAAGATGGCAAATACATGTATGAAAACACCTCTTGACACCTCTCTATATTACATTATTATCTTGGTAAGGGTCTTGCATAGCTACAAGTACAAAAGTTCAGGTGCTGGTTATGTGACCCACATAAGATCCAATTCCACTAATACAATAGTTACAGCAACTGTGTTGCTGATAACCATAAAAGCTGCTTCACAAATATGTCTGAGACA
Source organism: Homo sapiens (assembly GCF_000001405.40). NCBI lineage: Eukaryota > Metazoa > Chordata > Mammalia > Primates > Hominidae > Homo > Homo sapiens. The sequence goes on along the minus strand of NC_000002.12, from coordinate 202,691,991 downwards.
CATAATTTGCTTTCTCAGTTATTTCACTATGGCACAGTTATTTCACTAATACGTAATTGTTATAAATGCTACCTATCTCTCCATGTTCAGTTTTCCTTTTGTAGCACATTTTCAGAAAACAAATGCAGTATATACTCATTTTCAGGAAAATATGTACCCACATTATTAACTGTGACAAGTGAAACGCAATAAATATACATGTTCACAATTTTTCCTCTAACTAAAAAAAAATCCCTTTCGGGATAGTCGCAAGAAAACTAGTCTCAGCTGGCAGGGTGGGGAGGCGCGCGCGCACACACACACACACACACACACACACACACACACACACACACACACACAATGTAAACTGGTATATATGCATTATATCAAATGGCTAAAAGCTGTCTGGCACTTTTCTTCCCTAACTATGACCATTGTTGCTTCAGTTGCCTACCGGTACATTAATTCAACAGACCTTACTAATGGGTCTGATTTCATTTTTTTTTTTAATTAAAAATCTAAGGGTTAACTTTTCAACCAGTCCGCCAAAGATTATTAAAATTATTGGATTATTATTATTTCTTTTTTGGGGGGAAAGAATCTCGCTCCATCACCCAGGCTGGAGTGCAGAGGCATGATCTCAGCTCACCGCAACCTCCACCTCCCAAGTTCAAGCAATTCTCCTGCCTCAGCCTCCCAAGTAGCTGGGATTACAGGCATGCATCACCAAAACACCTGGCTCATTTTTATACTTTTAGTAGAGACAGCGTTTCTCCATGTTGGCCAGGCTGGTCTCCAACTCCTGACCTCAGGTGATCCTGCCCACCTTGGCCTCCCAAAGTGCTGGGATTACAGACGTGAGCCACCATGCCCAGCCAGATTATTATTATTTTGATAATGAACTGGAGAACAGATGAGTTATACATGTAAAAATGCTGAACATTTTATCTTTGGAACTCCCTTCCTTTAATCCATTTGTTCAGACAGTAAGGGCCTGTGAGCCAGTGCTAAGCCCTAGAAATTAAAAAGAATAAGTCGCAGCCTGTAATAAAGAACACAGTCTACATCTACCCTGTCATTTTTCCATTTCAATCCAAGTTCCCAAAACTGACAGGATTTGGTGCCTAATTATTAAGGAGGTTATGGGAGGAAAATCTGAAGAAGCAAAGATGACTCAAAAGTTCCCAGACTAAGTGAACTAAGGCTGTATTTATAAGGAAATCCACGGTAAGAAACTGACAGCTAACAAGACTCTTCATGATCTGGCCTCTGAAGCCTCACTTTTTTGCCTGCACTGCCTTGATCCCTACACTAAGACCATGGACTTGCAGTTCCCAGTATGTACTGTGCCCTTACATGCCTCTAGGTGTTTGTCTCTACCCTTATATCCCTTTCTTTGGTGTGGCTAATTCATGCTTAACCTTTCAAAATTCAGTTCAGATGTAACTTCCTCTGGAAAATCTTCCTCAACCACCCACCCGAACTCATAGTTCACTGGAAAGGTTCCTGACTGTTCCTGTGTTCCGGTACAGAGCATGATTCTGCAGGGGAGGAATTTTACTTCCCACCCCCCATCCCAGTGATTAAGGCAAACCCTGATACAGGCAATATGTTATAAATGGCCAATGAAAAAATTAATTTTCTTTGTTAATTTCCTAAATGAAGAAGACTTGAGATGCAGAGAAAAGAATGACTTCCAATGTTACTATCATTTATCAACAAGGACAAGTGTATGCAATAAATTCACATGCTTTTTGGTTAATTCAAAGTAAATAAAAACTATGGCTCAAACTTGACTTGTTCTTTAAAAACTAAGTCTTTAGAGAGTTTAACTACATATAGCAGGGTGTAGCATTGAAAATTTCAGTCAACGCCTTGGGTCCTGGAGTTCAGAGTTCCCCAACTATGAGTACCTGTTCAACTGGTTCCTGGGTAATTTCAGCTGCACTAGTGGAGCATCCCAAACCATGACCCTTAGGTATTCCATTACAAAGGTTCTACAGACCTTGATAAACCAGTGTTAGATATAAATATTTTTAGAACTTGATTGGGTACTTTTTTTTTCTTGGAGACAGGGTCTCACTCTGTCACCCAGGCCGAACTGCAGTGGCAGGATCAGGGCTCACAGCAGCGGTGGGATCAGGGCTCACAGCAGCCTCACCATCCTGGGCTCAAGAGATCCTCCCACCTCAGCCTCCATAGCAGCTGAGACCACAGGCACGCACCACTACACCCAGTTAACTGTTGTATTTTTTGTAGGGATGGAGTTTCACCATTTTGCCCAAGTTGGTCTCAAACTCCTGAGCTCAAGCAGTCCACTGGCCTCAGGCTCTCAAAGTGCTGGGATTACAGGCGTGAGTCACTGTGCCTGGCCTCAGGTATTGTCTTAAAGGCTATGTCTCCTATTATCCACAGAAACAGCAAGCAAATAAATTAGACATATTTAATTGTTCAGAAAGGAGAGAAATTTTTTCAAGTATACAAATGATAAATATTCAGCATAAAGAAACCTAAGAGTGTTAAAAATTCTAATAGTCCACCATCCAGAGCTAACTGCTTTTGTTTTTTAGACAGGGTGTTGCTCTGTCACCCAGGCTGGAGTGCAGTGGCATGATCTCGGCTCACTGCAACCTCAAGCCTCGCAGGTTCAAGTGATCCTCCCACTTCAGCCTCCCAAGTAGCTGAGACTCCAGGCGTACGCCACTACGCCTGGCTAATTTTTTGTATATTAGGTAGAGATGGGGTTTTGCCATGTTGCCCAGGCTGGTCTCCAACTCCTGAGCTCAAGCGATCCACCCACCTCAAGCTCCCAAAGTGCTGGGATTACAGGTGTGGGCCACTGTGCCCAGGCAGAAAACCACTTTAATGAGTATTTGTATTTACAGAAATCTGTCTACCCTTGGACATACATATGATTTTATATAAATGAGGTCCCATTATGCATTCAATTACTTATTGTTGAGAGAAATAAAAAGGGTATGTCGAGAACCTATTTCCATGGCAATAAATTAAAATCTACAACACATCACTATGTTTAATACTTGTACATTATCCTATTTGGTAGATTCACTATAACTTAATCTTCTATTAATGGACACTTTCACAGCAGATAGGTATCCTTTTAGACTTGTTTTAAGATCTGTTCGTGAAAAGTTTCTAGATATCAAATTACTATATTCAAGATAACAGACAGATTAAAATTGGAAGTACTGCCAAATTGCCTTTTACTGAAAAAATTTTGCAAAAACCTATAACATCACAAGGGTACCCATTCTTGTATATTTTATCAATTTTCACCAGTCTAAAAAAGATAAAAACATTTCATTTCTATTTCAATAACTGAGTTCTAAAATAGTCATACTTTTACTGGTAATTTATATTTCTTTTATATATTAACAATATTTCAAAAATATTACTCCAAACCTTTCTTTTCTTAATCTTAGAGATCTTTTCTTCTGGTAAATATTTAAATTCAAAGAGGTTCTATCAGTTTCATTATAGTTTCCTTTTCTTTTATGAAATTCAAGTAAAAATAACTGTAGTTGATTTTATTTTAAAGAGTATGTATAATATAATTACCTTCTTGTAAAATTTGTCTTTCATCCACTATCTAAACTTCTTGCAACACACACACGAAGGAAACGCAAAATTCTGATGACACTGGCTGCCTCCAAGAAGGGAAATTTGTCAACAAAGGCACAAGGAAGACATTTCACTGCATTCCCAATTGTACCCTTGGAATTTGCCATGTGAATTTATTATCTATATTTTTTTGAAATTCATACTCCTTGATTCAGTGATTCTACATCTAAGTATGCATACAGAAGAATAATCAAATGCCAAAAAAGGCTTCAAATACAAAGATATGTCCAAAAATTGAAGAACAGGAAAACTGACAGAAAATACATAGAATATTAAAGATATTTAAAATTATGTTTTTAAAATGATAAACTTACATGAGAATTTATTTATAATCTAAGGGAAAATTTAGGAAAAAATGAATTTCCACAATTTATTTCTAATTTTGCATCTTCTCCAGTTATTTCCATGTTTCTTTTTCAGTTAATTTCTCCACTAAGTTTTCAAACATTAACAGATACCATAACCAAATATTGATACAGGCCCAGCAGTACCTAATTAATAATTTATCCTAGAAAGAAAATGATTGATTTAACCAAAATGATTTCCCATAGGCATAGTATCAAAAAGATAAGGACTATTGTAGAAACTTAAAAATCCAATTAGTAATTATTCTTTTGTTAAACATGAGGTATCATTTACATAAAAAACAATGTACCAGGCTGGGTACAGTGACTCACGCCTGTAATCCCAATGCTATGGGAGGCTGAAGAGGGAGGATCACTTGTGGCTAGGAGTTTGAGACAAATCTGGGCAACACAGTAAGACCCCCATCTCTATAAAAAATGTAAAAATAAGCCAGATGTGGTGGCATGTGCCTGTAGTCCCAGCTACAAGAGAGGCTGAAGCAGGAATATTGCTTGAGCCCAGCAGGTCAAGGTCGGAGTGAGCTATGATTGAGTCACTGCACTCCAGCCTTGGTGACAGGGCAACATCCTATCTCTAAATAAATAAATCTGCACCCATCTTTGGAGTTTTGAAAGCCAAATACGCCATTAAATCACTACTACCATCAAGATTTAGAACACTGCCATAAGCCCTAAACAATTTTTCACGCTCCTTTGAAGTCAATCTCTCCACTCTTGAACCCAGGTAAACTCTGACCTACTTCCTATTATTAAAGGTTAGTTTTGCTTTTTTAAAAGGTGTCATACAAATGTAATCACATAATACTGTTTTGTGTCTGACTTCATTCACTCGGCATAGTGTCCATGAGATCCATGCTTGTTGTTGCATGTAACAGTTCATTCCTTTTTATTGCTGAGGAGTACTCCATTGTATGAATATATGTGGTGGTAATTATGTCAACTCCTTCTGGTTCTCAGGTCTTTGGACTTAGTCTAGAACTATACTACTGGCTCTCCTGGGTCTCCAGCTTGCCTACTGCAGATAACGGGACTTCTCAGACTCCATTAGTGCATGAGACAATTCCTTAAAATAAATCTGTGTGTATGTTATTGTATCAATAAAATATATATGTATCCTATTGGTTCTGTTTCTCCGGAGAACCCAGATTAATACAAAATACTACAATTTGGTTATCTAATACCTCTTTTTTTTTTTTTGACCGAATCTCATTCTGTTGTCCAGGCTGGAGTTCAGTGATGGCAATCTCAGCTCACTGCAACCTCCCCCTCCCAGGTTCAGGAGATTCTCTTGCCTCAGCTTCACGAGCAGCTCGGATTACAGGCATATGCCACCAAACCTGGCTAATTTTTGTATTTTTAGTAGAGGCGGGTTTCACCGTGTTGGCTAGAATGGTCTCAAACTCCTGACCTCAAGTGATCCGCCTCGGCTTCTCAAAGTGCTGGGATCACAGGCATGAGCCACCGCGCTCAGCCTCTAATAGCCTACCGATGGGCGCGGATTGCTTCCAGTGTTTGACAATTAGGAATAAGTCATATACGAAAATTCTTGAAGAAATCTTTTTATGGATAAGTATTTTCATTTTTCTTGGGTAAACAGTGGAAATGCTGGATCTTAGGACAAGTGTAAGTCTCCCTTTATAAGAAACTGCCAAAATGTTTTCCAAACTGGTTGTACCCAGTGTACATTCCCACCAACAATGCATTACAGCTCCAGTTGTTCCACTATCCTCATCAACATCTGGCATTGTCATACTTTTTCATTTCATTCATTCTAGTAGATGAGCAATGGTTCACCGTGGCTTTAATTAGCATCTCCCCAGTACCAAATGAGGTTGAGTTAAAGTGCTTTTTGGCCACTTACACATTTTCTTCAGTGATATGTCTGATCAAATCCATTGTCCATTTTTTAACTGATAGGTTTGTCTTCTTATTGAATTGGATTTATGTATTCTGGATGCAAGTTCTCTGTCAAATATATGCATACAAACAGTTTTGCCTTGTCTTCTTTTTGGCTTGTCTTCTCAATTTTTAATGGTGCCTTTCGAATAGCATTTTTTAATTTTAATAGACTACAATTTATCGACTACTTCTGTTAATAGTTCATGCTTTTTGTGTCCTAAAAGACCTTTGCCTACTCCAAGGTCAAGATGATTTGCTCCTATGTTTTCTTCTAGAAGTCTTTCCATTTTACCCTTCATATGTAGGTCTTTCATCCATTTGGAGTTCACTTTTGTGTACAGTTTAAGGAAAGGGATTATCCCCCTCCCCTATATGGATATCCAGTTGCTCCAAAACTGTTTGTGGAAAATACTATTCTTTCTCCCACTGAATTACCTTAGGAACCTTTATCGAGAAGTGTGAATTATTTCTCAATGTTCTATTATTTTCCATTTATCTGTACCTCTGTCCAAACGCAATGTAAGTTCTTTAATTTTAATTATTCCTTTTCAATATTGTTTTGGCTATTTTAGTCTTTGCAGTTTCATATAAATTTTAGGATCAGAGTAGGAATTGTGAGAGTTGACATCCTTAGTTGTTCTTGATCTTATGAAGAAAAAAATATGATGTTAACTGCAGGCTTATATTATATACACTTATATATAATAAAGCAGTCCTTTAATTAGAAGGTTGACGTCTAGTCCTAGTTTCCTGAGCATTTCTAACATGAATAGATGGTGAATTTTATCAAATACTTTTTCTGTATAAATTGAGATAATTGGCCAGGCACAGTAGCTCACACCTGTAATCCTAGCACTTTGGGAGGCAGAGGCAGGTGGATCACTTGAAGTCGGGAGTTCAAAACCAGCCTGGCCAACATGGTGAAACCCCATCTCTACTAAAAATACAAAAATATTAGCCAGGCATAGTAGCGGGCACCTGTAATCCCAGCTACTCGGGAGGCTGAGGCAGGAGAATCACTTGAACCCAGGAGGCAGAGGTTGCAGTGAGCCAAGATCACACCACTGCATTCCAGCCTGGGCCATGGAGCAAGACTCTCTCAAAAAAAAAAAATTTTTTTTGAGATAATCATGTGGTTTACCTTCTTTTCTCTTAGATAATCGAGTAACAGATATATAGCCCATTCTCGTTATTTATGGTAGTTATTTGTTCTATAAAGTCACAATGAACAATAAATTAGCAAATACTGAGCCATTATTCCTAGGGAATACAGTTATATTCCTATAAGCCTCTAATCACAACACTTTCATCAACCAATCAATACATGATCTTGTTTAATATATGTTTCTGTTAAAGACATCTTATTTAATATATATTACTGGTTCATTAACATTAAACTCATAGGCAACAGCACTATAATTCATGCCTAAATGAAGTTATCTAATACATGTTAATTTCTCCAGAAGGCACATTATAGCTTTCTTGCACTTAAAAACATTAAACAGCACTTCAGTACTGTGCTTGGGGGCATAATGATTTCAAACAACAAAATCATTAGCAAAAAATCTGAAAAATATGGCACGATCACGAAAAGGACATTTGTTTATAACACGAGAGCTGAAGAAAAAGGGAGAGAACGTTGCTTGACTCAATTGGGAATGTATATATTGGACAATTCAAATGTTCCACTGCACACATGTCCACAAATGACCACAAAAAAGCAAGAAAGTATTGAGTTTGGAGTTACAAATAACTTTTAGCTAGTGGGCAAATTTGCCAATACAAAATCTGCGAATAATAAGGATGGACTGTATATTGATTTTTTTACTACTAAATCAAACTTGCATACTTGGGGTAAACTCTACCTGGTCATGATGTATCATCATTATATTTATACTGCTGGATTCAACTTGCTAATATTTTGTCAAGAAGTTTTGGGCCAGGTGCAGTGGCTCACACCAGTAATCCCAGCACTTTGGGAGGCTGAGGCAGGCAGACTGCTTAAGCTCATGAGTTCGAGACCAGCCAGAGCAACATGGCAAAACCTGGTCTCTACAAAAAATACAAAAATTAACCAGGTGTGGTAGCGTGTGCCTGTGATCCCAGCTGCTCGGGAGGCTGAGGTGGGAGGACTGCTTGAGCCCAGGAGGTCAAGGATGCAGTGAGCCATGATCGCGCCACTGCACTCCAGCCTGGGTGACAGAGCAAGACCCTGTCTCCAAAAAAAAAAAATTAAAATTTTGTGTTCTGTAGTTTTCTTACAATGTCTGTGTGGCTTTGGTATTGGAATAATACTACCTCATAAATTAGTTACGGTATTATCTCTTCTATTTTCTTAAAGGGTTTATGAGCAATTAGTATTTTTTCTTTCTTAAAACTCTTACACAATTCACGACTGATGCCATCTGGTCTGGAGTTTTCATTTTGGGAATATTTTAAATTAAGAATTTTTAAATAGATACAGGGATATTCAAGTTTTCTATTTCTTCCTGAGTCAGTTTTGCTAGTTTGTCTCTTTTAAGGAATTTGTCCATTTCATCTTGTTGAATTTATTGGCATAAAGTTGTCCATAATGTTCCTTTATTATCCTTTTATGTACGATCTGTAGTAACATCTACTTTTTCATTCCTGATATTTAAAACTTGTATCTTTTTTCCTTCATAAATTAACTAAAGGTTTATCAATTTTATTTATCCTTTCTAAGAACCTGCCTGTGATTTAACTAATTTCCTCTACTAAACAGGTTTTTGTTTTGTTTTGGTTTTTTGTTTTTTTGAGACAGAGTCTCACCCTGTCGCCCAAGCTGGAGTGTAGTGGTGTGATCTCGGCTGACTGTACCCTCCGCCTCCCAGGGTTCAAGCAATTCTCCTGCCTCAGCCTCCTGAGTACCTGGGATTACAGGCACATGCCACCACGCCCGGCTAATTTTTGTGTTTTTAGCAGAGATGGGGTTTCACCTTGCTAGCCAGGCTGGTCTCGAACTCCTGACCTCAGGTGATCTGCCCGCCTCGGCCTCCCAAAGTGCTAGGATTATAGGCATGAGCCACTACACCTGGCCAACAGTTTCCTAATTCACTGGATTCTGTTACCTTTATGATTTCCTTTTGTCTACTTACTTTGGGTTTAATTAGTTCTCTTTCTAGATTAAGGTAGGTGCTTAAATTATTATTTTAGACCTTTCTTCCTACTATAATCATTTATAAACATTTTCTTCTACACGTTTTAACTGTATGCCACAAAATATATTATGTGCTTTCATTACCATTCAGTTCCAAATATTCTGCAACTTCTTCTTTGACCCATGGATTATTTAGAAAAGTTTAATTTCAAAAATATTTGAGATTTTTCAAGAATCTTTCTGTTACTGACTTCTAATTTAATTCTGTTGTGGTCAGTGAACATATTCTATATTTCACTCTCTTTAAAGTTACTGACGCTTATTTTATGGCTCAGCATACAGTTTATGCTGGTGAATGTTCCAGGTGCAGTTGAAAAGAATACGTACTGTGCTGTTGAAGCGGGATATTTCCCTGACCCCTTCTCAGGCAGTAACAGGGATGTATGGGCGCTGGAACTAGCCAGCCACTTCGGCATTGGCAGGGGCCAACTCCCACTCACTTGTTACTCCACCCCTCGCAGGAGGGGGAGCGCAGGTGAGAGAGTGCAGTGGTTGGGCGACTGCTTTTGGGTGTCAGCAAGAGCAAACTCCATACTAGCCCCGAGACACCATCTAGGGTAGGGTGCTCATGACCCTTGAAGCCCGAGGGGAAACATTACAGCACCCTTTTAACTTTGCCATCCGCAGACGGCTTAAGAGTTAACAGCTCAGTGGAGGGTCAGCGTGACAGCCTTTTGCACCCACATTCGTGGCATCTGAATTCTTGCCCAGCACCCAGGAGGAATGAGGTCACACGAACAAACAGGAAATGATAAATGCGGGAGATTTTATTGCCGATGAAAGTGGCTCTCAGTGTGAAGAGGAGCTGAAAAGGAGACAGAGCAGGAAGGTATTCTTCCCCTGGAGTCCAGCCAACCAGAATCCTCTCTGAAGCTGCGCTGTCAAGCTGTCCCTTTGAAGTCAAACTGCTTCTGACATCCAACTATAGTCTCCAATGTCCAGCTGCTTCTCCTCCCTCTGCCAGCAAGGCCTGGGGTTTTTATGGGCACAGAATGAGGGGCGGGGCAGGCCATGAGTGGTTTTGGAAAAGGCAACATCTGACCGGACAAACAGGGATGTCAGTTCTCACACTGGGCCATATAGTACCAGGCTTTTTCAGTTTGAGGGCGGGGCCCTCGCCAGGGACTCACCCTCTTCTGCCCAGAATTTCCCTGCCTCCTGTCCCTATCACTGTCGCTGAGTGTTCTACAATGCAACTTAGGTTATATTTGTTGACAATGTTATTAAGTGTTCTAAATTCTGATTTTCTCTCCACTTATACTATTAATTACTGGGAAACAAATGTTGAACACTGCTTTATGAATTTTGAATTTTTCCTATTCGATGCAAACACTCTTACAATTGATAAATTAACCCCCTTGTCATTTTGAAATGTCCCTCTTTTTTCTTGGTAATATGCCTTACTCTGAAGTCTCCCTTAAACAGTAATCACTATATTAGCTTTCCTACGCTCAGTTTTGTACAGTGCATCTTATTCCATCTTTATACTTTAAACCTGTTTCTTCATATTTAATGTCTTGGTAGATGTCATATAATTAGATCTTACTTTTTGTTAAATCCAGTCTGATAATCTCTGTATTTTAATTTAAATGGTTAAAGTATTTAATATTATATGGTCATACCAACCTATCATCTTGCTTATTTTCCATTTTCTCTACCTGTTCTTTGTTCTTTTTTCCCCTTCTCTTCCTTCATAATCTTGGTTTGGTTGGTAATCTACTGACACATTAGCTATATTTCTTTTACTTTTTGTTTAGTTGCTCTATCTAGGGTTTTATAATATGCATCTTTAACTTATCACACTGTATCTTCAAATAAAAATACATCATTTTACATATAAGACTCTTAGGCCTAATATTTCCATTGCTGCTTCCTGTCTTTGTGCTACTATTGTCATTCATTTCATGTAGACATTGTATAATGTCTATATATACACAATACATTATCATTTTGCTTTAGGCAATTAACTCATAAATAAATCAAATAATGTCCAAAGAGTCCTTTTATCTTACCATTAATTGACTATTTCAGGTGCTTATTCTTTTGTATACCAAGTTTCTATCAGAGATCATTTTCCTTCCACCTGAAGAACTACCTTTAGCATTTTTTATAGTGTAATTTACTCTCAGGTTTTGTATGTATAAAAAGCCTTTATATTGAAGGATTTTTTGCTGGGTATAAAATTCAACCTGGGTTTACAGTTTCATTTTATCTATTAGCACTTTAACAATGCCAAATTCTATTTTGCTCTGTCTTACATTGTTTCTGGCAAGAAATTTGCCCTTTTTTTTGGCTGTTTCTCTGTACATAAAATGTCGTTTTTCTTTAGCTGTTTAAAAAACTTTTTTTCTCTTTATCACTGGTTTTCAGCCATCTGATTATGGTGCCTTGGTATGGTCTTCTTTGTGTTTATTCTGCTTGAGATTAATTGAACTTGGAGCTGCATGATTGTAGTTTTTATAAAGTCAGGAAAATTTTCAGTCATTATTTCTTCAGACTTTTTTAAATTATACTTTAAGTTTTAGGGTACATGTGCACAAAGTGCAGGTTTGTTACATATGTATACATGTGCCATGTTGGTGTGCTGCACCCATTAACTCGTCATTTAGCATTAGGTATATCTCCTAATGCTATCCCTCCCCCCTCTCCCTTGTCAGACTTTTTTTGTGGCTCTTCCTTCTTCTTCTTCTGAGAGTACAATCACGCCCATGTTATCACACAGATCACAAAGGTTCTGTTCATTATTTCTTTTAATCTTTCTCTTACATTCAATTTTTGTGTGGTTTCTACTGCCGTTTTCAACTTCACTGATCTTTCTCATCAGATAAGAAACTGCTGTTGTCTGCTGTTAACCTCAATCAGTAAATTTTTCATTTCAGTTAAATTTCATTTTAGAAATTTTGATCAGTTCTTTTCAATATATTTCATTTTTCTCATTACATTCATGTTTTCCTTTAAATCTCTGAGCATACTGAACATATTTATAATGCCAGTTTTAAAAAATTTTTGTCATATAATATTATCTCTATTATCTCATAGTCTGTTTCCACTGCTTTAGTTTTCTCATTATAGTTTACATTTTCCTGCTTCTAGTCATTTTTTACTGGATGCTAGACAGTATCATGTTTTTAAGTATCGGGATTTTGTTATCATTCTTGAAAGATTCCTGTGCTTTGTTCTGAAAGTCAGTTAAGTAACCTGTTCATCAACTTGATCCTTAAAGTTTGTTTTAAGGTTTTGTTTGGACAGATTGGGAGTAGCCTTTACTCTAGGCTAATTTAGCCCCACTTTTAAGGCACGGCCCTTTTGGGGTCTCCACTGAACATACTGGGTGATCAAAAACAACTTAGCACTCTGGTAAGTGCTTAACAACTCCCTAACCCTGGGAATTACTTAACATAGAGCTCCTCAGTCATTCCTTGTCCAGCCTAATGGAGTTTCACTGTACACACATTCTATATATTCCTTCAGCAAAAGCTAAAGAAAACACCTATTCAGATTTCTAGAGCTCTTTTTCTACACAGTTCCCTCTTCTCTGAAACTTTGTCCAGCTCTTTCCAGCCACTGCAACCTCTCTGAATTCCAATCCCTATCTCAAATCAACAAGGCATCATGCCCTGAGATTCCCCCTGCCTACAGTGTGATCTAAAATGTGTCTTCTGGCAGAAATCTAAGGCAATCATAGTGCTCACCTTACTATGTTTCCCTTCTCTCAAAAATAATATTCCCACAATGCCTGTAATCTAATATCTAAAAAATAGTTGTTTGATGATATCTTTTGACCAATTTTCTCACTGTTTACCATAGAAGGGACTATTTCTCCATCATGGCCAGAAATAGAAGTCTCTTCATGTCCAAATATTAATGTATCATATTATTATGATATTGTTATAGGAGTTATTAAATTATTTTAGGCAGATAGAGAGGAAAAAGAGTCCTTGGGAAGTTTTTGTTTCTTTTAAAGCAGCTCCAGAAGTTTCTCATCTAGCAGGAAAACCCCAGCTCTTAGAGCTGGGCCAGCAAATTTTGATATGCAAATGCTGGCCATTAGAAACTGTGTCCACCCTTGTCCGGGTGCAGAGGCTCACACGTGTAATCCCAACACTTTGGGAGGCAGAGGCGGACAGATCACCTGAGGTCGGGAGTTCAAGACCAGCCTGGCCAACGTGGAGAAACCCCGTCTCTACTAAAAAAATACAAAATTAGCTGGGCGTGGTGGCGCATGCCTGTAATCCCAGTTACTCTGGAGGCTGAGGCAGAATTGTTTGAAGCCGAGAGGCAAAGGTTGCAGTGAGCCAAGATCTCGCCATTGCACTCCAGCCTGGGCAACAAGAGTGAAACTCCGTCTCAAAATAAAAAAAACACTGGATCCACTCAAACATGGAGATTCCCACTGTCTTCTTCCTTGCCCCAACATGTGCCTGGCAACATGGCTGTCCCCACATATCCCCATGTATGTAGAACATCATAGCACCCTGCATTTGCATATTAAGAGGCTAGGGTGGGAGGGCCAGTTTTTTCACGGGCTATGTGAATGACATGCCTGGTCAAATCAATCCCCTGAGCCCTATGCAAATCAAACACCACCTCCTCCAGCCTCCTCATATAAGCAGCCACTTTTCTACCGCACACAGGGTTTCCTCTCTTGGCTTAGGAGCCCCACTCCCTCCGTCTCTGTATAAGGGAGCTTCTTCCTTCTCTCTTGCCTATTAAACTCTCAGCTCCTTAAAACCACTCCATGTGTATCTGTGTCATTTTATCCAATTCAGTGCGAGACTAAGGACCCTGGTGTCCCTCCACTCATCAGAGCTGTATCAATATAATTACATGATATGATAATGATTATGATAATATATATCATATTAATATATCACACTTTAAATTAAACTGACTCCTGATGTATCATCCAGAACTACAAACAACTCTTTTGCTTTGTGAGTTGTTTTATTCACGAAATGGTTTTCTATGCATCAAGGACTAGATGAATAATAGGGAGAAAAACAGCTAAACACAACAAACACTGAGCAATTCATATTTATTAGGCATTGAGCAAACTGCTTCCATGCATTACCTAATTTAAACCAACAATCTGAGGCAGAAATTACTCAATTCGTTAATTCAATAAATATTTATTAAGCACCTATTATGACTCCAGATTCTTCTAGGTGCTAGTAGTGAGCACACAAGTAAAAATACAGAGATTTTAGGAGTTTATATTCTACTATCATTAATCCTACCCTCCAGATTAAGAAAGTGAGGATGGAAAACTTAAGTAACTTGTCACTTAGTTTGTAAGAGACAGAGCCAAGGCTTGAGTGCAAATCTCTTTAGAATCTGAGCAAGATCTAAACCACTACACGTTAGAAGGCCTCTCACAGAATTCATAGCCTAGCGAGAAATACAAAAAATTAAGTATATATAACACAGTATGATAAATACTGTAAGAGTGGTATGTCCATACTATTAGAGGAAAACTCACAGGGCACCTCCTGCATTTTACTATAAGCAGCAAGAAGAAATCCAGTGGCAGCTTTCACACTTTGCTTAGAAATCTCTTTGGGGCTGGGCACGGTGGCTCACGCCTGTAATCCCAGCACTTTGGGAGGCCGAGGCGGGCGGATCACGAGGTCAGGAGATCGAGACCATCCTGGCCAACATCGTGAAACTCCATCTCTACTAAAAATACAAAAATTAGCCGGGAATGGTGGTGCGTGCCTGTAATCCCAGCTACTCGGGAGGCTGAGGCAGGAGAATCACTTAAACCCCGGAGGCGGAGGTTGTAGTGAGCCGAGATTGCGCCACTGTACTCCAGCCTGGTGACAGAGCGAGACTGTCTCAAAAGAAAGGAAAAAAAAAAAAAAAGAAAAGAAACCTCTTTGGTTTAGTAACACTCAGTTCATCAGCCAAGCTTCCTATTTTCCATGCTATTAGTGGTAAGGGTGCTTCTAAGCTTTCTGCCTCTACATAATAAGAATTCTCCTTCCTCCGTTTTTCAACAATATGCTTCTCATCACCTTTTAAGTTCTTAACCCCAGCTTCCTCAAAGTCCAGATTTATGCCAATAGTCTGTTCAAGGGAATTTCTGTATCATGACGGACAAAATTCTTTCAACCTCCTAAGGCTTCTTCCACATTTCTATGTATTTGCTGTGGCAGCACCCCTCTTGCAGGCATCGAAATTTTTATCAGTTAACTACTGTTTCAGAAAAAATTACCCCAAAACTTAGTGGCTTAAAACAATGAACATCTGACCAGGCGCGGTGGCCCACATCTGTAATCCCAGCACTTTGGGAGGCTGAGGCAGGCAGATCACGAGGTCAGGAGTTCAAGACCAGCCTGACCAACATGGTGAAACCCCGTCTCTACTAAAAACACAAAAATTAGCCAGGTGTGGTGGCGCATGCCTGTAATCCCAGCTACTCAGGAAGCTGAGGCAGGAGAATCGCTTGAACCTGTGAGGCAAAGGTTGTGGTGAGCTGAGATAGCGCCACTGCAATCCAGCCTGGGCAACAAGAGCGAAACTCCATCTCAAAAGAAAAAAAAAAAAAAAACAAGGAATATTTATTATCTCATAGATTCTCAGTGTCAGAAATCCAGGTATGATTCAGCTGGATGCCTCTGGCTCAGGGTCTACCACAGAGATACAACCAAGGTATCAGCTGGGGCTGCAGTTATCAAGGCTAAAATGGATTTTCTTCCAAGTTCATTCATATGGCTACTGGCAAACCTCAGTCCCGTGCTGACTGTTGTTGGCCACAGACACTAGTTCCTTGCTACATGGGCCTCTCTACAAGACTATATAAACGTAGCAAGTTGCTTCCCCAACAGAACAAGCAAGTAAGAAGGGAAGAGTAATACATAAGTGACAATCTTTCAGTAACCTAATCTCAGAAGTGACATCCCATCACTTTTGCTATATTCTTTTTTTTTTTTTTTTTTTTTGAGACTGTGTCTCGCTCTGTCCCCCAGGCTGGAATGCAATGGTGCGATCTCAGCTCACTGCAACCTCTGCCTCCCAGGTTCAAGCAATTCTCCTGCCTCCGCCTCCCGAGTAGCTGGGATTACGGGCACATGCCACCACACCCGGCTAATTCTTCTATTTTTAGTAGAGACAGGATTTCACCATGTGGGCCAGGCTGGTCTCAAACTCCTGACCTCAAGTGATCTGCCCACCTCGGCCTCCCAGAATTCTAGGATTACAGGGGTGAGCTGCCACACCCAGCCTGCTGTATTCTTTTGTTAGAATTGAGTCACTAGGTTCTGCTCACACATTAAAAAGGAGGGTATTACACAGGGCATGAACACCAGAAGGTGGGAACAACTGGGAGCCATCTCAGAGGTTGTCTCCCACTAGAGGTATGACCAAGGTGCTAAACACCACAAATGAGGGGTACTAAAGAGGAGAGGAAATACCTAGAAGAGCAAGCAGAGGTTTTCTGAGAGAGGTAGCACTTGGCCTTTTTTTTTTTTTTTTTTTTTTTGAGATAAGGTCTCACTCTGTCGCCCAGGCGGTAGTGCGGTGGCACAATCTTGGTTCACGGCAATCTCTGCCTCCTGGGCTCAAGTGATCCTCCCTCCTCAGCCTCCCAAGTAGCTGGGACCACAGGTGCACACCACCACACCCGGCTAATTTTTGTATTTTTTGTAGAGACAGAGAATCACCTGTTGCTCAGGCTTTTTGTTGTTGTTTTTTTTTTTTAAGAGACAGGGTCTTACTCTTTTGTCCAGGCTGGAGTGTAGTGGCACTCATTATGACCTTGAACTCCTGTGCTCAGGCAATCCTCCCACCTCAGCCTCTTGAGTAGCTAAGACTACAGGCATGCGCCACCATGCCTGGGCTAATTTTTAAATTTTTTGTAGAGATGGGGTCTCACTATGTGGCCAGGCTGGTGTTGAACTCCTGGTCTCAAGTGATCCTCCTGCCTGAGCCCCCTAAAGGGCTGGGATTACAAGTGTGAGCCACTGCATCCGGCCCCAACTTGTAAAAATGAGAAGTTGAAAGTGATGGAGGAAGAAAGAGCATGCCACAAAAACAAAAGCAAAATGGCGAATTATAGCTCTAGAAACTCCATGTATCTTAAAATGATTGAAACAAAAAGACCATGCAATATGACCATGAATTGGCCAGAGAAGGTCCTAGATGCTATGCCAAAGATTTTGGTTTTTATCCTGAAGGCAGTAAGGGAAATGACAATTAGACTTGTATTTTAGAAGAAATTTCTGGACAGCCCTGTGGATGGAGAAGAAACTGGGTCAGGAAGATCTGTTAAGTAGCTATTGTAGTAAACTAAGTGAGCAAGTCAACCAGAATCATGCAACATGAAATGTTTTACAGCAACTCAAGACGTTGGTAGTACCGGGTCCTCCTAGGGGTATTTCTCTGCACCTCTGTGCTATGTCCATATTGAAGGGAAGGGGAACAGAAGTGCAGCAGAGTAGATAGAGTATGGAATTGGAAACCATCCAGACGTGGTTCAAATTCAACTTCATCAGTTATACTAAGTATTATTACCAACTGGTTAAGTTCCTTAATTGTTCTGGTAACAGGGTTATTATGAGGATTAAGTGAAAACATATATGTACGGAGCCCAGACACAGTAAATAGTAACTAGCGTTATTATGTGTTCCACAAGTTTCAGGCTTAGGCAACCAGGAGATAATTAGCTCAGTTTCAAACCCACTGAGTTTGATATAGCTATATGATATCAAATTGAGACTTGATAGACAATTTTATACATTAGTATGGATTTAAGAGTGTGTCTAGAGTTCTGCACCAGAAGGAGAAATTTAGAAGTAATCAATTACAGACAGGTTAAAGCCATGGATAGCAGCTAATGAAACAGAAGAAGTAAGTACTGTATGGAACCCTAGGAAACAAGAACATTTCAGAGGTGGGGGGGGTGCAGGGAGGAACATTTCAGGTACCTGAAAAGAAAGAGAAGTTTGAAAAGAAGCTGCCTCACTAGATTGCTATGCGGATTAAATCAAAAATAATACAAAACACCCATCATGTAGAAGACACTGTAACCTCGTTCAAGAGCCATTTCAATAAAGTCATCAGGCAAAAGTCACACTGGATATTCTGAGGCACAAACAGGAAGAAGTTAGACATAACCTTTTCAAGAAGGCTCTTTATGAAGAGATAAAGAAATAAAGTAAAATCCATAAGAAATAGGGTAGGCCGGGCACAGTGGCTCACGCCTGTAATCCCAGCACTTTGGGAGACCGAGACAGGCGGATCACCTGAGGTCAAGAGTTCCAGACCAGCCTGACTAATATGGTGAAACCCCATCTCTACTAAAAATACAAGAATTAGCCGGGTGTGGTGGTAGGCAACTGTAATTCCAGCTACTTGGGAGGCTGAGGCAGGAGAATCGCTTGAACCCAGGAGGCGGAGGTTGCAGTGAGCCGAGATTGCACCACTGCACTCCAGCCTGGACGACAGAGCAAGACAACGTCTCAAAAAAAAAAAAAAAAAAAAAAAAAAAAAAAACAGAAAAAGAAAAATAGGGTAGGCTAGCCTTTAATTCATCACTCTAGAGCAGGAACTAGCAACTTTAGTCCAAAGCAAACAGTAAGAGGAACTACTTAATGGTGAATTAAGGATTTAGCCCTCTAGCATACACAAAATCAGCCAGCTACAACCAAAGTTCACACTGCTTCAGTTTGTAAACACTCCATAGCTCCCTTCTGGACTCCCGTTGTAGTCTTTCTTTTGCAAACAATTAAAAAACAAAACTGCAACAGACTCACTTGCAACCAAAAATATGTTAACACCAGTTTTCAAAGAGTGACAATAAAGGAGCAAAATATGGAAAGTGAACAGAACTAAAGTCTCATATTTCAAAAGGTACTTTAAGTCCTTTTTGTTTTTTAAAAGAAATGAGGTCTCACTCTGTCGCCCAGTCTGGAGTGCAGTGGCGTGAACGCAGTTTACCGTAGCCTCGACCTTCCAGGCTCAAGCAATCCGCCCACCTCATCCTCCAGAGTAGCTGGAACTACAGGTGCATGCCACCATGTCAGCTCGCCTGGCTAATTTTTTTTTATTTTTTGTAGAGACAAAGCCTTGCCATGATGTTGCCCAGGCTGGTCACGAACTCCTGGTCTCAAACAATCCTCCCATCTCAGCTTCCCAAAGTGCTAGGATTACAGGCATGAGCCACCACACCCAGTCTGTCACCTCCGATCTTATACTTTCAATAAACATTTACTAAATTATGATATACATAGATACCAAATGTTGTCAAAACTTTAAAAAGGAAATTAAGAAAATTCCACCGCATTTGTCAGATGCCAAATTAATGACTTATATAAGAATGTGAAGTTTCAATTTTGTGAAAAACTAAATGACTTGCCCTTATTTTTACTGTTTGTAAAAGGAAATAGTGAGATAAAAATAAAAAAAGAAAATAGTGCCAGGTGCAGTGGCTCATGCCTGTAATCCCAGCACTTTGGGAGGCTAAGGCGGGTGGATCACTTGAGATCAGGAGTTCAAGATCAGCCCTGGCCAACATGGTGAAACCCCATCTCTACTAAAAATACAAAAATTAGCCAGGCGTGGTGGCGCACGCCTGTAACCCCAGCGACTCAGGAGGCTGAGGTGGGTAAATCGCTTGAACCCAGGAGGTGAAGGTTGTAGTGAGCCGGGATCGTGCCACTGCACTCCAGCCTGGGCGACAGAGCAAGACTCCTTCTCAAAACAAAAAGGAGGGGGAGGCAGGTGGTGAAAATAGTAATTAATTATATGCTCAACATGTAAATAAAAAAGAATAAATGTGATTTTTACAGGACTTGAAGACTCTATTAAAATTAAAATTCTTCAGGGTCAAATGGGTCAATTTCTTACAATTCCCAGGTTCCCTTCCAGTTAGGTCACAGCCATGCAACTGGTCTGGCCACAGGTTATGAATGAAGTAACTAACACACCTAAAGCTGATGTACTTTCTCCATGATTTTTCCCATCCACATGGCTAAACAGAAAAAAAACTCTTAGATTGTGGAGTGTCAGCTTGGGTCTCTGAGTCATTGATTGGAAGAGAGCTCTGCCAGAGAGCCACCCAACCTATATTGAACATGATAAACCATTGCTAAGTCACAACAATTTCTGGGATTTGCTGCAGCAGGCAGTGGTAACCACCCTAATGCAAAGCAAATAAAGTGAACCAGCGTGGGAGCGGCATGGTTAGGGTAGGTACTTACACTGCTCTACCAATATATGGGAATTTTAATCAAAATCAAAGGAAAAATTCACCTGTTTTGAGAATATACAATGTATTTCACCATTCATAGCTGAATCTATCAATGTCCCACCCATTTCCATTCACAGCCAGTGTGGAGAACACCTGCAGTTTCTATGAACAGTTCTCCAGACAATTTCTCAGCATCTGAGCCTCTCTGCCAGAGCTTTCTCTGCCTGAAGGAGCATACTCAGCTTGGCAGCAGGACAAGCAAGAGAGCCTGGGAGTTATTCCCAGAAACTTCAACCAGTGAAGGGCAAGAGGTAGTAAATGTCTTATCCCTCAATGGGACAATCCAGAGGCATATTCTCTATGTAATCTAGCAGAGGGAGTTCAGCGAGACTGATGACCAGTTGCCCAGTGTGGTATACTACTTATTAAAGCACGCTTATTAACTTTTGTCCCTTCCCTGTCTCTTTCCTACTTCTTCAACATTCTTAAATGAACTATTTGGAACCAAACAAATCCTTGTCTCAGGGTCTTCTTTTGGTGGAACCCAAATTAAAACACCATGTAGCATTAATCTCAAAACGGTGTTTATGATCGACAAAACTACAACCTTCCTGTCAATACAGTGAATTATGTGGGAAGCAATATGTTTAAATCATTAAGTTATTTGTCTGGCTCTTTGGATATGAAACTGAAGATCACAATTACTTTAGATTTAGAAATAAGGAGAAAGATCAACACTTTCAAGCTTTCAAAAATTAGTAAAGCTTTGCATATTTGGCAAATTTATTTGCAGCTTTAAATACAAGGAATTAAACTTCAAAATGCAAACACCATGGTAGCACTATTTTTGCCTGCCCAGTATACTCATTTGCCCCAGACCTTCCTGTCTTTTGGTAACAGATGCTAGTCCCTAACAGGGTGAGTACATGACCAGGCTCAGCTAATAACAATAATTCATTCTTCTGGATGCAGTAACTGACTCTGAAATGGGCGCAGAATGAAACATTATCCTTCCCTGTAATTTTTCTAGCTGGAGTTGGTGGAGAAGAAGCCCTCTTGCCTTGTGGGTCTTGCAGACGGAAATATGAGTCTTGAATGGTCTGTGGCCCTGTTCCCTGCTATGTAGACAAAGTCTCTACACTAGAAAGTATGCTCCTTGGCCAGGGGGCGGTGGCTTATCCCAGTACTTTGGGAGGCTGAGGCAGGATCACTTGAGGTCAGAAGTTCAAGACCAGAATGGCCAACGTGTTTCATGAAACCCCGTCTCTAAAAATACAAAAATTAGCTGGGCATGGTGGCAGGCGCCTGTAATCCCACCTACTCAGGAAGCTGAGGCCTAAAAATCACCTGAACTTAGGAGGCAGAGGTTTCAGTGAGCCGAGACTGTGCCACTGCACTCTAGACTGGGTGACAAGCTAGACTCCATCTCAAAAAAAAAGAAAAAAAAAAGAAAGAAAAGAAAAAAGAAAGTATGCTCCTTGAGGACAGAAGCTTGATGTGTCTTATTTCTCTTTTCATTTTTGCCCCTTAAGCCTTTGGAACAAATTGGTATGTCTTATTTCATCACTTGTTTCCCCAGCAACTAAATAGTAGCTAGCACATAGCAGGTACTCAATAAAGATTTGTTGATTTAGACAGTACGTGAGAATGAAGCTAACAAACAGACCCACATGAAAGATTAAGAAACTAAGAGAATGTCCTGAAAGTACTTAGACAGTATGTGAGAATGAAGCTAACAAACAGACCCAAATGAAAGATTAAGAAATTAAGAGAATGTCCTGAAAGTACTTAATTTTTGTGGCCACATCTATCTATGTTTGTGGTTATTTCTTCAGTTCTACTGTCATTCTGCTTAGTTTAAGCTGAGTTGTCATTTGCAATCAAGAGTCTAGAAAAATACTTCAAGCAAACAAAGAAAAAAATCCAACAAACTGGATAAAGCAAATTAGTGCTTTAATATTTCTTCAACTTTGACCCAATAAAGCACTCAAGGATAAGGCGGAAAAAAAGCAATACTCATCCATATTTTTGTTCTGAAAGATGATTTAAGGAAATACTTTCATAATGACATGCCTGAAAATCCCACTTGAAACAATGTGAAAAACATTTTTTCTTAGTTATGTTCCATGTTGGCAAAAACATCTCAAATGATAGTTTTTATCATTCAAATTTGATTCAGTTAACAGAGTAACTTCCAAAAAAAAAATCTAGAAAATTTGAGGAGGAAGAACATCTTCTGATTCACTCCCGAAAATAAGCAAACTTTATCCTCTCCTTATTTTACAAAGCTAATCTTTTTTATTGCACTCAGGTAATAAAAACAGAACAATTCACAGATTTCCATACTATTTGGGACTGAAAAGCCTGGTGATAAATAAGTAGCCCCACCCACACTGATACCATATGACTGGTACAGAAAAATATCTATGTTTTAAAGATTAAGTTTTTTCTTCCTAGAATCACTGCTGTTTTAATTTTGAAATACTTATTTTGAAATCTCCAATATCATATCATGATTTTTGTGTCTATCAAATCAAGATGTGGGTTTAAAAGACTAAAAAAAATCTGTCCCTAACACCATTTTACAACCAATTTCTACCAATTATTCCAGATCACTCTGTCTATTGATTTATCAATGTATTTAATCTCTGCTTCAACCAGAAACTGTCTGAACCCTTCTGCAAGAAGGGAGGAACTTTTGGCATATATTATTCCTTATTTTGGTGTTCTTTCAAATTATCCAACTTGGTAGGATACCTATTCGTAATAGGTTTAATGTTGACTAAATTATATTATATATAACACTGTGAGAAGACTTTAAAAACATGGTCCCCAAAACGAAGCAGACATGAGTTGAAATCCCACATTTAGAAATTCTCTGAAACATTAAATTACTTAGTTCTCTTGGACTGAGTATTCTCATTTATGAAATGGAAATAAACACAGCCCTTAGAGGCATATATTTAATGCATGAGACATGCATTCAAATATTACTTTCTTTCCTTTTTCTTTGCTGATACAGAAAATAAAACTTGACCCAAAATCTACCATCCTATACCACACTTTAGAAAATGTTCTTTTATTTTATTTATTTATTTATTTATTTATTTATTTATTAGGAACAAGATCTCACTCTGTAGCCCAGGCTAGAGTACAGTGACACAATCAGAGTTCACTATACCTTCTTTTTCTTTTTTTTTTTTTTTTTTTGAGAGAGAGTCTCGCTCTGTCACACAGTCTGGAGTGCAGTGGCGTGATCTCAGCTCACTGCAACCTCCACTTCTCAGGTTTACGCAATTCTCCTGCCTCAGCCTCCGAAGTAGCTGGGATTACAGGCACCCGCCACTATGCCCAGATCAGAGTTCACTGTACCTTCTAACTCCAGGGCTCAAGCCATCCTCCCACCTCAGCCTCCCAAGTAGCTAGGACTACAGGTGCATGCCACCGCATTTAATATATAAATATTTTTATATCTTTATATATGTATCTAAATATATAAATATTAATATATATTATATTGTATATTATATAAAAATATATAAATATATATTATATAATATAATATGTATGTATTATATAATTATATATTTATATATTTTTATAAAATATATATTTTATAAAAATATTTTTTATATAAATATATTTTTATAAAATATATGATATATATTTACAATATATATATATTTTAAAGATGGAGCCTTACTGTGTTGCCTAAGCAAACTCCTGGCCTCAAGCAATCTTCCCATCTGGGCCTCCCAAAGTGCTAGAATTACAGGCATGAGCCACCATGCCTGGGAACAGTGATTTTACTTCTAATACTACTCTACTACTATCCTCACTATTATCACCCTATAACCTCAATCCACTACTCTTTTCTGTGGTTCAGCCATGCTAGCTGTCCACTTCACTACTTATCAATTATCTCCTCATCTGTCAATATCCCAAAGGCCTCCAAAGACTGAAACCTAGCAGAAAAAAATATAGCCAGCATACTACTTCAACTTGAGTAGAAATAGGTAATTTAACTTAGGTTATCTAGTTTAGTTTAGATCCCTACACTATCTAGTGGGGCCAAATGGCTAAGGTTTATCTTGAGATTGGTCTAAAACATAACACCAGTACCATTCAGGAATACCTTGACACAGTTATTCCTCTCTACATAATTATCACCTTCATTGTAATAATTGGATTCAAGAACAGAGCAATATTATTTCTATGGAAAAAGAGACAGCACATGCGCGCGCACGCACACACAAACACAGACACACACACACAGACACACAGACACACATACACAAAGCTTTTTTTCTTTAAGCTGCCTCAAAAAGAAATACTTAGGCCGGGCGTGGTGGCTCATGCTAATAATCCCACCACTTTGGGAGGCCGAGGCGGGTGGATCACTTGAGGTCAGGTGTTCGAGACCAGCCTAGCCAACATGGTGAAACCCCGTCTCTATTAAAAATATGATAATTAGCCAGGTATGGTGGCACGTGCCTGTAGTCTCAGCTACTCGGAAGGGTGAGGCAGGAGAACTGCTTGAACCCAGGAGGCGGAGGTTGCAGTGAGCCAAGATCGCACCACTGCACTCCAGCCTGGGCGACAAAGCAAGACTCCATCTCAAAAAAAAGAAAAATTTACTAAAGTAACTCAAATAGAGGCCTGGAGCAAGTCCCAGTTTTTACGACATTTTTACTCTATTTTTAAACTCTTTAAAAATCATTTCACTTTATTT
Source organism: Homo sapiens (assembly GCF_000001405.40). Classification (NCBI taxonomy): domain Eukaryota; kingdom Metazoa; phylum Chordata; class Mammalia; order Primates; family Hominidae; genus Homo; species Homo sapiens. The sequence goes on along the minus strand of NC_000002.12, from coordinate 202,667,005 downwards.
TAAATCACTGCTACAACACAGATTTTCGATCTGCATTTTTATTATAGAAATGAAACATACTGGCCGGGCGTGGTGGCTCACACCTGTACTCCCAGCACTTTGGGAGGCCGAGGCAGGTGGATCACGAGGTCAGGAGATCGAGACCATCCTGGCTAACACGGTGAAACCCTATCTCTACTAAAACTACAAAAAATTAGCTGTCCCAGCTACTCAGCGGGCTGAGGCAGGAGAATCACTTGAACCCGGGAGGCAGAGGTTGCAGTGAGCCAAGATCGCGCCACTGCACTCTGGCCTGGGCAGCAGAGCGAGACTCTGTCTCAAAAAAAAAAAAAAAAAAGAAATGAAACGAAACATGTTATTTCAAAATAGTCAAAAACCAGAAGTGAATACAGTAGAAAGTGAAAGTTGTCTGTAACATACCCCCACATCCCACCCACCAGTGAAAACCCAGCTAGCAGTGTCAAAATATAAACATACATAGTACATGCTCAGATACAATTTAAAAAAAAATGTGGCTGGCTGAACTTCTCTGACTCTTCAAGCCTTCTGTCTGCCATCCTCACCTAGAATTATGACTGTACATATGGTACATATGTGTGTGCGTTTGTGAACGTGTAACACCAATAAACATTTTACCAAAGTATTTTTCCAATGCAAACTTCAATGAGTCAACATTTTTTAAATTAGTTTTCTGAAAACCATAGGTAAACTGTTTCTATTTTTTTTCAATTTTCATGTTTATTTTGCTAACATAACTTCCGTTTCAATTGTTTTTAATGTAAAGTTTATAATAAAGACCCAATCTGCTTTTGACTATATCAGATTTTCTCAACAAAGTCTCTATCATCAAAAGGTTTGCTTTGTAACAATACCATTCCCAATTTAAGCAAACTATGCAGACACAAATTGCAGAATGAATGTTTTCTTCTGTCAAATTTTAGTCATAACAAATGTTGCCATAATACATATTTATAGCTATTTGTTTGTGTTTGTAATATTTATATCAATAAGTCACTACCAGTGAGTAGGATGAATGGTTTGTATTAGTTTCTTAGCTGACTACAGTAGGCAGAATTTTAAAATGGTCTCCCAAGATTTCCTGTCCTGCCAGTTTCCATGGCTCACGCCTGTAATCCCAGCACTTTGGGAGGCCAAGGCAGGCAGAACACCCGAGGTCAGGAGTTCGAGACCGGCCTGGTCAACATGGTGAAACCCTGTCTCTACTAAAAATACAAAAATTAGCCAGGCATGGTGGCATGCACCTGTAGTCCCAGCTACTCAGGAGGCTGAGGCAGGAGAATTGCTTGAATCTGGGAGGCAGAAGTTGCAGTGAGCCGAGATTGCACCACTGCACTCCAGCCTGGGTGATAGAGTGAGACTCTGTCTCAACAACAACAACAAAAAGAGGATTTCCTGTCCTAATCCCCAGGACTGAAAACACAACGAGATATCACATCCACGATTACATCATGTGCCAAGAGAGATTCTGTAGATGAAATTAAGGTTGCTAATCAGTTAGTAGTGAGTTATTAATGGGGAGATTATCCAGGAGGGCCCAATCTAATCACAAGTGCCCTTTAAAAATAGAAAGTTTTCTTTGGCTGGCTGCAGAAGAGCAAGTAAAAAAGATTCTATATGAGAGATATTCCACTGCTGGCTTTGAAAATTGAGAGGGTTGGCCAACTATAACCCCAGCACTTTGGGAGGCTGAGGTGGGAGGATCACTTGAGCCCAGGAGGCAGAGGTTGCAGTAAGCTTAGATCACACCACTGCACTCCAGCTGGGCAGCATACGAAACTCTGTCTCAAAAAAAAAAAAAGAAAAAAGAAAATTGAGAGGGTCATGTGGAAAAGATATGAGAGCCGCCTCAGAGCTGAGAGTGACCCCTAAAGCTAACAGTCCACGACAATGCAGTCATCTCAGTCCTATCACCTCAAGGAACTGGATTCTGTCAACTCCATGAATGAGTTTGGAAGCACCTTCTTCCCCACCAAAGTCTCCAGATAAAAGCCAAACCCAGCTTGATCTTGATATTGGCTTTTGAGACCCTGAGCAGAAAACACAGTGGAGCCTCCTCCCCGCCCCAACTTTCAACCTACAGAACTGTGAAATAATAAACGGATATTGTTTTAAGCTGCTATATTTGGGGCAATCTATCACATATCAATAGAAAACTAATACACTGACCCACAGAGAAACCCGTAATTCCTTCAGACTGACTTCTTATAAGCGAGGCCAAAACTACTACGGTAAGGCAAATGAGGCACGTGTTCTGAGGGCAAAATAACTTACTAGATAGATAAATTACTCAAGGTAAGTCATGCATGATAACGAACTATCAAAATTTTAAACAGGACTCAATCATGTACTTGCATGACTCTTAATCTTTGCCCTGTTGGACCCTATCTTTAAAATTTTCATAATTAGTTCTTTGAATTGTGTTAAATTAATTTTTATTTTGAAGCATTTTATTTAAATATTATTTATCTCAATTACCAAGCTTTCTGGCAGACACCAAAAACATGTATCCAGGGCCAATGCCTCAGTTGTCTCATTCTCGTCTTGTGCCAATTCTAAGACTAATCTAAGCCTTCTACCTAGCACTATTAGCCACACAAATCACTGAGCAGTTCTCAGACATTCCAGGCTATTCTACTATGTTGCCAAGCTAATTCTTTCAAATATTTTTATCATTTTTCCTACCATATACACAAATGGCAGTGAAAAGAACAGCTTAAAACCTCTGGAGTCAATATATTCTTTCAGTTAAATATAACTTCAGAAAAGATATCTAATTAAATGTACTCAAATCATCAGGAGCTAATGACACTCACCCTTAAAGAGGGATATCATGGGATAATTAGTTATTATTTGTGAAAATGCACAGAAGTATATAAATGAACTGGAATGTATTATTTGCATATAAAAATAGTTTTCTAGATTCACTGATAGGAACTGTGGTTCAACATGCTTTTTTTTGGAAATAATGAGTTTGCACTGTGTCATCCACATATTTTAACCTCATAGACCTTGTATCAGTATACTTTACAGGACAGTTAACAAAAATGAAAGGTTTGGTCTGCAGCCTTTGAACAAAATCTGGTATATAAAAAGCTTAATGGGGCTGGGCGCAGTGGCTCACGCCTGTAATCCCAACACTTTGGGAGGCCGAGGTGGGCAGATCACCAGAGGTCAGGAGTTTGAGACCAGCCTGGCCAACATAGTGAAACCCCGTCTCCACTAAAAATACAAAACTTAGCTGGGTGTGGCAGGGGGTGCCTGTAATCCCAGTTACTCAGGAGGCTGAGGCAGGAGAATCGCTTGAACCTGGGAGGCAGAGGTTGCAGTGAGCCAAGATCGCGCCACTGCACTCCAGCCTGGGAAAGGAGAGTGAGACTCTGTCTCAAAAGAAAAAAAAAAAAAAAGGCTTAATGTGACTGAATATCGAATGTGAATGATGTAATGAATTTAATCCAGCAAAGTACTAAATGTATAAAACACATACTATTATTTCAGAGAAGATTATAACATATTAAGTAATGTTCGCCATTAAATAAAAAGATACACGCTTTTCAATAAAAACCAGTAAAACTCTCTATATATAAATGTAGCACAATAACACTATTTCCTATAATAAAGTTCACTAACTATAGAGTTACCCACAGCTGAGTCACATAGCATAATATCTTCAGCACAAGTGCACAGTCAGAATTCAAAAGTTCAATTTCTGCAATCACATTCAAACCACAATGGAACTCAACCTAGTACCAAATGGAAATTAACGTTCTGTGCACTGTTTATAACAGCAAAAGACTACCCAATAATAAATGTGGAAGATCCACACAATGGAATACTACATAGCAATTAAAATGTTGTAGAAGTGTACCTATTGATATGGAAATTGTTGCCAATATTTTAAGTGGAAAGAGCAGGTTATAAAACTATGAATGTATAATTTTAAAAAGAGTGCTTCTAACGCTTCATTATTCTGAAGCTAAAAATAGTTATTTCTTAATTTTTTATTTCTAATTAACAATCGTACATGTTTACAGGATAAGAGTGTGATGTTTCAATGCATGAATACACTGTATAATAATCAAATCAGGGTAATTATATCCATCATTTTAAACATTTATCATTTCTTTTTTTCTTCTTCTTCTTTTGAGATGGAGTCTCACTGTATCGCCAGGCTAGAGTGTAGTGGCATGATCTCGGCTCACTGCAACCTACGCCTCCCGGGTTCAAGCAATTCTCCTGCCTCAGCCTCCCAAGTAGCTGGGACTACAGGCGTGCACCACCACCATGCCCAGCTAATTTTTGTATTTTTAGTAGTGACGGGGTTTGACCATGTTGGCCAGGATGGTCTCGATCTCTTGACCTTGTGATCCACCCGCCTCAGCCACCCAAAGTGCTGGGATTACAGGCGTGAGCCACTGCACCCAGCCAACATTTATCATTTCTTTGTGAGGATAACATTCACAATCTCTTCTAGCTATCTTGACTACATTGCTATTAGCTATAGTCACCCTACTGTGCAACAGAACACTAGAACTTATTCCTCCTGACTGCAACTTTGTACCAGTTGACTGACTTTTCCCAGTCCCCTCCTCCTCTATCACCTCCTCTTCCAGCCTCTGGTAATCAATATTCTACTCTACTCCTATGAAACGAATTTTTTTAGATTCCACATGAGTGAGATCATGTGGTGTTTGTATTTCTGTGCCTGGATTATTTCACTTAATATAATAATATCCTCCAGATTCACCCATGCTGCCACAAATGACAAGATTTCATTCTGTTTTATGGCTGAATGGTATTTCTATATACTACCAGTCTGTACACGTACACACACACACATACACACATACACACACACACACACACACCTACCTCACATTTTCTTTATCCACTCACCTGTGGTTGGGCATTTAGGTTAATTCCTTATCTTGGCTATTGGCTATTGTGAATAGCTCTGCAATAAACACAGGAGTGCAAGTATCTCTTCGACATACTGATTTCATTTCCTTTGGATACTTACCCAGTATTGGGATCGTGGGATTGTTGATCTTTTTTTTTTTTTTTTTTTAGATGGAATCTTGCTCTGTTGCCCAGGCTGGAGTGCAGTGCAGTGGCATGATCTCGGCTCACTGCAACCTCCGCCTCCCGGGTTCAAGCTATTCTCCTGCCTCAGCCCCCCAAGTAGCTGGGATTACAGGCACGCGCCACCATGCCCGGCTAATTTTTGTATTTTTACGAGAGACGGGGTTTTGCCATGTTGGCCAGGCTGGTCTTGAACTCTTGACCTCAGGTGATCTGCCTGCCTCAGCCTTCTAAAGAGCTAGGATTGCAGGTGTGAGCCAATGCACCTGGCCTAAAAATATAATTTTTTAATGTTAGCTGACTCAGCAAGTGGATGAGCGACTCTGGAGTCTGTAAAGGCCCAGGTTTATACACTCATTACACCACTTAATAGCTATCTGACCACAAATAATTAACCTCAATATTAAAATGGTAATATACCTACTTTATAAAGGCAGTTTAAGAATTACATTACATATTCAAAACACTTAGCATTATAGTTGGAATATAGAAGGTACTCAGTAACAGTTAACAGTTTTACTATAATTGTTTTCCTATTTTTACAGTTTTACTATTTCTCATACTGTACTCAGACTTTCAAATACGCATCTGAAATTAAAAGTTGATGGAGTAAGGGTGGGAAATGCCTACAGTTCTGGCTAAGATGAACTAACACACTTCTATCTCTAGCACCAATTATCACTAAAAACCCGGACAGCATATATGGAGTCCTCCGAGGATTCAAAAAAGTAAATAATGGCAGCTAGATTTGGGAACAAAACAAAAACTAGAAGAGCTGATAGGGAAGTGATTCACTGAGTTTTTCCCCCTCCCATATGTCCTGGATTAGATTCAAGGGCATCCCAAATCTTAGAACTGCACAGTAGGAGTGGGCAGGAAAAAGTCCAGGAGAAACACTTTCTTTGTGGCCAATGGACTAGGTAGGAGGGCCCTGCAGGATGAAGGCTATGGGTGGAATCCCAGCTCTTTTTCTCTCTTTTTTACTCTTCTGGCCCTAGCCCAAGTCAAGTACTGGTCACAAAACTGCACTCCTATGGCTTCGGCAGTGACCACAAAGGCACCTAAAACTGAGAGAATCCTTCCCTCTGACCAGAGGAACTGAGGCTCTGTAACTGGAACAGTGCAGAGAGAAACCAGGTTATTTCTTCCTCTCTGTCACCATCTTGGTCTAGAGGCATATCCAGTTGTAGGAAGTTCATGATAGTGTGGAGAGGTTAAAAATCCTGGCTTTGTCATCAGAGAATGAGGACAAGATCTCCTGGGAAACAGAGTGTGAAAATAAATCATGGAGAACAGGGAGCTGAAAAAGGAACACTCCTAAATCCATGTATGAAGTTCCAGGCACACCTAAAGGCTGTGCATGTATGAACTGACCCAAAATAGTATAACACAGATCTTCAGACCTAAATTAAGATATAGATACCGACCACCACTCAGGTCCCAAACTGACTCCTGGGAGGTACATACACAAAAGACAGACCCAAATAGTACTGCAAAGACTGTGAAAAGTAAATTGACATTAGAACCACAGCCCACTGAAGGTAAGATGACACTTGGAGTATGAATCCAACCAGTCTGATTGCCTGCTAAAAGAAAAAACTCAACATTTCCAGGTGCCTTAAATAGGACTCAGAGTCTCAAGTAAAATATTCAAAATGTACAAACAAGCAGGAGACACCAACCCTAAGATGGCTCAGATTTTGGAATTGTCAAAAATTAAGCAGCTATTATAATCATGCTTTCTGAAGTAAGGGCAAATACACATGAAATTAATGAAAAGATAAACATTTTCATACAGAAATTGAAACTATAAAAAAGAACTAAATGAAAATTTTAGATTAAAAAAACTAAAATAAAAATTACTGAATGGACTGAATAACAGAATGTGACAGAAGAAAGAAACAGTAAGCCTAAAAATAGATCAACAGAAATTATCCAGTCTGAACAAGAGTGAAAAAAAGGTGGGGGAAAAAATGAGCACGGTGGTGGCCGGGCGCAGTGGCTTACACCTGTAATCCCAGCACTTTGGGAGGCCGATGCGGGTGGATCACGAGGTCAGGAGTTTGAGACCAGCCTGGCCAACATGGTAAAACCCCATCTCTACTAAAAATGAAATAAAAATAAAAAACTGGGCATGGTAGTGTGTGCCTGTAATCCCAGCTACTTGGGAGGCTGAGGCAGGAGAATCGTTTGAACCCGGGAGGCGGAGGTTGCAGTGAGCCAAGATCGCACCATTGCACTCCAGCCTGGGCAACAGGGCAAGACTCCGTCAAAAAAAAAAAAAAAAAAAAAAAAAAAAAAGCACGGTGGCTCACGTCTGTAATCTCAGCACTATGGGAGACCAAGGGGGGTGGATCGCTTGAGCCTAGGACTTTGCCACCAGTCTGGGCAACACAGTGAAACCCATCTCTACAAAACAAATACAAAAATTAGCCAGGCAGGATTATGTGCGCCCATAATGCCAGCTACTCAGGAGAATGAGGTAGGAGGATCGCCTGAGCCCAGGAGGTAGAGGCTGCAGTGAACTAAGATCACACTTTTGCATTCCAGCCTGGGCAAGAGAGCGAGATTCTGTCTCAAAAGAAACAAAAAACCAAAAAGGCCAGGCGTGGTGGCTCACGCCTGTAATCCCAGCAGTTTGGGAGGCCGAGACAGGTGGATCACCTGAGATCAGGAGTTCAAGACCAGCCTGGGCAACATAGTGAAACCCCGTCTCTACTTAAAATACAAAAATTAGCTGGGTGTGGTGGTGCGTGCCTGTAATCCCAGCTACTTGGGAGGTTGAGGTAGGAGAATCGCTTGAACCCGGGAGGCAGAGGTTGCAGTGAGCCAGAACATGCCACTGCACTCCAGCCTGGGAGACAGAGAGATATTCCATCTCAAAAAAATAAAAATAAAAAAGACAGGAAAGAGCCTCAGAGATCTGAGAATATCAAAAAGTTATGTCAGTGAAGTCCCAGAAGAACAAAAGAAAAAAACTGGAGCAGAAAAAAAATATTTGACAAAACAAAACCTTCCAAATTTCATGAGAAACATAAATAATTAAGTGAACACGAACAGGATAAATGTATGCCCATAAATAATCAAACTACTAAAAAAATCAAAGATTAAAGAAAAAAACTCCTAAAGGAGCCAGTGAAAAACAACACATTACATACAAAGAAACAATGATTCCAGTGATTATAGATGTCTCATCAGAAAGCACAGAAGACAACAAACTACATTTTTGAAGAGCTAAAAGAGTAAAACAATAAACCCAGGATTCTACATCTAGTGAAAATTTCCTGCAGTAAAGATATTCTTAGGCTGGGCACAGTGGCTCATACCTGTAATCCCAACACCTTGGGAGGTCAAAACGGGTGGATCACTTGAGGTCAGGAGTTCGAGACCAGCCTGGTCAACAAGGTGAAACCCTGTCTCTATTAAAAATATAAAATTAGCCAGGTGTGGTGGCTCATGCCTGTAGTCCCAGGACTTGGGAGGCTGAGGCAAGAGGATCACCTGAACCCAGGAGGCAGAGGCTGCAGTGAGCCAAGATCACGCCCCTGCACTCCAGCCTGGAAGACAGAGTGAGATTCTGTCTCAATTTTTTTAAAAAAGATATTCTTAGGTGAAGGAAAACTGAGATAATTCATCAGCAGCAGACCTGTTCTAAAACAAATGCTAAATGTAGATCTTCAAGCAGAAGGAAAATGATACCAAAGGGAAACTAACTTCAGGAATAAAGGAAGTGCAAATGAAGTAATAAATATACTTGTACATAAAACATTTTTCTCCCCTTAAATTCATTAAAATAGGTATGACTGTTGAAAGCAAAAATTATAATGCTGAGTATGTGGTTTTCAATGTTTAAAGATGTAACATATAGAATCACTGTAATGTAAAGAGGCTAAAGAAACATAGATTGTGTGATTTCTGCATTTCACCTGAAGCAGTAAAGTATTAACTCTAAGTAAAATATAAAGTTAGGTATGTATATTGTAATCCCCATAGCAGCCACCAAAAACAAAACAAAACATACAAAGAGTCAAAAAAAATACATAAATTAAATGAATTACTAAGACAACAGTCAAGCAATCTGAAAGGTAGGAAAAGGGAGATTATGGAACAAAAAGCAGAAGGGGCCAGGTGAGGTGGCTTACACCTATAATCCCAGTACTTTGAGAGGCCAAGGCAGGAGGATCACTTGCCTACGAGGTCGAGACCAGCTTAGGCAACACAGTGAAACCCATCTCTAAAAAAATTTTAAATTAGCCAGGTGAGGTGGCATGCGCCTATAGTCTCAGCTACTCAGGAAGCCAAGGTTTGAAGATCACCTGAGCCTGGGAAGTCAAGGCTACCACCGTAGCCATAATTGTGCCACTGCATTCCAGCATGGGCAACAGAGCAAGACCCTGTCTCCAAAAAAAAACAGCACACCTATATCCAAATATATCAATAATGTCAACAACTGTAAATGGTCTCAACAGAACAATTAACATACAAGATCATCAGACTAGATTTAAAAAACACAAGACCTACTGGGCATGGTGGATCACCCCTGTAATCCCAGCACTTTGGGAGGCCAAGGCAGGCAGATCACCTGAGGTCAGGAGTTGGAGACCAGCCTGGTCAACATGGTGAAACCCCATCTCTACTAATACTACAAAAACTAGCTGGGCCTGGTGGCACATCCCTGTAGTCCCAGCTACTCAGGAGGCTGAGGCACAAGAATTGCTTGAACCCAAGAGGAGGAGGTTGCAGTGAGCCAAGATCATGCCACTGCACTCCAGCCTGGGTGACAGAGGAAACTGTTATCTCAAAAAAAATAAATAAAATAAAATTAAAATTAAAAACACAAGAGCCAACAATACGCTGTCTATAAGACATCCCTTTAAATACAACAAAGGATGGAATTATAGAAAGGATAGTAAAAATAGATCTTGCAAACTCTAATCAGAGTAGACTTAAGAACAAGAAAAATTACCAGGGATAGAGGGAAATTATACAGTAAAATGGTCAATTCACCAAAAAATATATAACAATTCTAAATGTTTATGGACTTTTTTTTAAAGCTTCAAAATATATGAAGCAACAACTGAAAGAAGAAATAGAAAATTCCACTATATTTGGAGATTCAACACTCCTTTCTGAGCAACTGATAAAACAAATAGAAAATCAGCAAAGATATGTAAGACCTGAAAACCACTATCAATCAATCTGACCTAAGTGACATTTATAGAACACTCTACCCAACAACAGCACAATACACAAGGGCATGTGAAACATTTATCAAAGTAGATCATATCCTGGGACATAAACCTCAACAAATTTAGAAGAAAAGAAATAAAATAAGGTATGCTCTCTGATATGAAATCAAATTTAAAAATCAATACAAGAAAGCTATCTGGAAAAATCCCAAAATATTTAAAAACTGAATAAAACCCTTCTAAGTAATCTGTGGGTCAAAGAACAAGCCTCAAGGAAAACTAGAAAATACCTGGAACTGAATTAAAATGAAAATACATATCAAACTTTGTGACATGCAGCTAAACAACTGCTTAGAGAAAAATGTATGGCATTAAATGTTTCTATTAGAAAAAGAAGATTTCAAATCAGTAATGTAAGCTTCCATCTGAGAAACCAGAAAATGAGCAAACTAAACCAAAAGCAAGTAGGAGGAAGAAAATAAAGACGAGAGCAGAGATGAATGAAATGAAAAAATAACAAAGAAAGTAAATGAAACTAAAAGCTGGTTCTTTGACAAGACCTATAAAAATAATAAACCTCTCTAGCCATTCTGACCAAACAAAGAGAAAATATACAAATATTCAAATCAGGAATGACCGAAAGGATGCCACCACTACAAACTCCACAGATGAATAATGAAATACCACAACTGCATGTCCACAAATAAACCAATTCCTTGAAAGACACAATCTACCAAAGCTCATTCCTCAAAAAAGAGATAACCTAATAGTCCTGTATCTATTAAATAAGCTGAATTTATAGTTAAAATTTTTCTAACAAAAACATTCCAAAGGTAGTGAGTTCTCCCAATTGATTGTTCACTGTCTTACAGATCAAACTCCCTGTTCTACTCTTTCTCCCCTTCTCATTACCACACTAAACTAGTCTTCAACACACACACACACACACACACACTCTCTCTCTCTCTCTCTCTCTCTCTCTCTCTCTCTCTCTCTCTCTCTCTCTCTCACTCTCTTCCCGCACCCACTCCAGGCCAAGATGATTTCACTGGGGAAATTTTGGCAGTCAAGGAAGAGATACTATCAATGCTACATAACCTCTTCTAAAAACAGATAAGGAAGGGAACACTTCTCAACTCATTTTATAAAGCCAACTTTCCCCCAATATCTAAACCAAGCAAAGGCATTATAAGAACAGAACACTACAAACCAATATACCTCATGAATATAAATGTAAAAATCCTCAACAAAATATTAGCCAAAGACACTGGAAAACTGGCAGTTTCTTATAAACATACACTTACTGTATGACCCAGAAACCCCAATCTTAGGTTTTTAACAAAGAAAACAAAAACAAGGTTCACCAAAAAAACCTGTATACAAATGTTTATAGCACCTTTATTCATAATCACCCAAAACTACAAACTCCCCAATACCCTTCAACTAATAATGCATAAACAAAGTGTCGTACATTCATATAATGCAACACTACTCAGCAATAAAAAGAAATGGACTACTGAAACATGCAATAACATGAATGAATCTCAAATGCACTATGCTAAGTGAATGAAGCTAGAAAATGCTACAACTCATTCATATGACATTCTGAAAAAAGTAAAACTATAGGAACCAAATAATTTTTCCTTCTTAAAACCAAATCTACTCCAGAAAAAGCATTAAATTATTTAAAACTTAACAAATAATCTTAATCCTGGGGACATTTCTTTTTCTTTTTCTGTTTTGTTTTGGGGCACATTTTTTCTAAAGAGAATATATATATATATAAACGTATACTCATAGCAGCCCCAAATAGACACTTATAAAGGTGTTTTTACTAGAGTAATTTGTAAAGAGAAAAAGAAATAAATGCCCACTAGAAGTTTATAAATTTGACAGAGTATTCAATCTTATTTATAACAACACATTATACCATATTTTCTTGCCGCCTATTTGAGGGTTCAGACTTATTAACAAATTGGTCACATTTCAAATCTTTTTAAAAATACAGTATGATGCAAGTCTGACTCCAATATGGGCAAAAAAAAAAAAAAGATTACAAAGGGGAAACTGTTCTATTACCTCTTACTGTACACAGCCTGAAATGCAGTAAGATGTGTATACTATTAATCGATACAGAAGAGTATCAGACAATGTGTATATGAATCAACATAATATCATTACTAGAAATACACAATTTTCCAGTATTAAAAAAAATTTCCAATGGGAAGATTTCCAGGATTATTGAAGACATTAAAACTACTCAATAGTGGGCTATCAGTACAACCTTCATAAACAAAGTTTAACTACAAGACAAGAAAATAGTGCTCAAGATAGGCAAAAATCCAGTGATAACCCAGAGCCTCCAAACAGATAGAGAACAAATACACAAAAGACAAATGTCAGGCATGGTGGCTCATGCCTGAAATCCCAGCAACTCTGAGATTTTTTTTTTTTGAGGTAGACTTTTCTGGATATATTTTATATCTCAGTAAGTGTTCTTAAAGTAAATATTATAAATAAAAAAATTTGGCCAATAAAATTTAATATTACTGTCTTTCTTTTCAATCAGAATCAAGTTAGTAAGTCTTCAACACACACAAACACACACACACACTCTCACTCTCTCTCTCTCTCTCTCTCTCTCTCTCTCTCTCACTCACTCTCTTCCCGCACCCCCTCCAGGCCAAGATGATTTCACTGGGGAAATTTTGGCAATCACGAGTCTACCTCTGTCCTGACAAACGCTTATATACATGCACAGAAAAGGTTGAATAGTACGGACAAATGCTTATATACATGCACAGAAAAGGTTGAATAGTAGCATACTTGAAATGCAAGAGAGAACCTGGAAGACCATTTCATTAGTGACAGAAAAATCATTTCTTTTCAGTCACCATAGTAATAAATGATTAGGGCAAAAAAAAATCTTTTTTGGTGTTTGCCGCACTTTAATTGCCAAGAGGATATAATACATTCAAGTAAATGAAGAAAAACGGGTTAACAAATGAACACATTATGAGGATTTCTAAGGTTCAATTAACGTGTGAATTTCTCAAACTCTCAATTATCAGGGAAATTGATTAAAAGACAAGAAAATAGTTTTCAAGACAGACAAAATCCAGTGATAGACAAGAAAATAGTTTTCAAGACAGACAAAATCCAGTGATACTCAAAGCTTCCAAACTAATAGAGAACGAATACACAAAAGATAAATGTCAGGCACAAATGTTCATGCCTGTAATCCCAGCAACTCTGGAGGCTGAGGCAGGAGGATTGCTTGAGGCCTGGAGTTCCAGACCAGCCTAAGCAACATAGCGAGACCCTGTCTCTTAAAACAAAACAAAACAAAACAAAACAAAAGTTAAATACTTTTTAAAAGATGAATAGAGGATGGGGCACGGGTCTTCACTTTTGTGGGGGTTTCTTTAGTTGCTATTGTTGTTGTTTTTGAGACAGGGTCTTACTCTGTTGCCCAGGCAGGAGTGCTGTGGCATGATCATGGCTCACTGCATCCTCCACCTTCTGGGCTCAAGGGATCTTTCCACCGCAGCCCCCTAAGCAGCTGGGACTACAGGTGTGTGCCACCTCATCTAGCTAATTTTTCAATTTTTTTGTAGAGATGAGGTACCTCTATGTTGCCTAGGCTGGTCTCGAAAACTCCTGAGCTCAAGTGATCTTCCAGTCTCGTCCTCCCAAAGTGCTAGGATTACAGGCATGAGCCACCATGCCCAGCCTGTTTTGTTTTTTTTATTTTTTAACAGGAAGCCATTTATTCATTTGACAAAATTTGTATTGAGTCTCACTTAAATCTTGCAAGTTCTCCCTTTCTGGACTGCAGGTTACTGAGATTTACGGGTAAAAAAGTTTAACTGCTAGAGAGAATGTCCAAAGGTGTGGGTCCTCAATCTTCCCTATACAATTGAGATATAACATCCCTGAAGTAGAACAGGAGCATTCCCATGACATTAAATTAATTTCCAGGAGTAGACCTTCCAAGAATTCTTAGGGATAGCATTAATGGCATCTGCTTTCTATAGAAGTGAAAGATCTCTACTCTACCAATCACCCAACAATTCCTGACTGCACACAAAGCATTCTGACTCAAGATAGAGCCACATACGGCCATATCAGGCTTTTGTCATGAAGTACTACTCTTTTCGGTAATACTACATATGTTCTTCTTTGTACTGTTAACCCCTGAATACTGCAAAAATCTGAATTATCTCTTTCTTAAATTCTAAAGTCCATAAGGTCAAGGATGTGTTCTCAACATCCTGCTCTGCACAAAGTGAGCACGGGTTCTAAAATAACATAAACAGGCCAGGCAGGGTGGCTCGCACCTGTAATCCTAACACTGGAAGGCCAAAGAAAGAGGATTGTCTGAAGCCATGAGTTTGAGGCCAGCCTGGGCAACATAGTGAGACCCCATCTCTACAAAAAAAATAAAGAAATTAGCCTGGCAAGGTGGCATGCACCTGTGGTCCCAGCTACTCAGGAGGCTGAGGTGGGAGGATCACTTAAGCTAGGGAGGTCGAGGCTGCAGCGAACCAAGATCATGTCACTGCACTACAGCCTGGGAAACAGAGCAAGACCTTGTCTTTAAAAAAAATAAAATAATATAAACAGACATCCCTTGTCCTTATCTTTTTTTTTTTTTTTTTTTTAGACAGAGTTTCACTTTTGTTGCCCAGGCTGGAGTGCAATGGCACCACCTCAGCTCACTGCAAACCCTGCCTCCCAGGTTCAAGCAATTCTCTTGCCTCAGCCTCCCAAGCAGCTGGGATTACAGGCATGCATCACCACGCCCGGCTAATTTTGTATTTGTAGTAGAGACAGGGTTTCTCCATGGTGGTCAGGCTGGTCTCGAACTCCTGACTTCAGGTGATCCGCCTGCCTCAGCCTCCCAAACTTGTCTTTATCTTTAGAAATACCAACATACATGCACAATAGGAAAATATAATTAAATGGTTTTCCCAGACACTACTAAATATAGCCCATTATATCCCAGTAGAACAGCATGTAAGATAAAAATTACAAACTTTTGGCCAGGCGTGGTGGCTCACGCCTGTAATCCCAGCACTTTGGGAGGCCCAGGCGGGTGGAACACCTGAGGTCAGGAGTTTGAGACCAGCCTGGCCAACATGGTGAAACCCTGTCTCTACTAAAAATACAAAAAATTAACCAGGCATGGTCGTGAGCGACTATAATCCCAGCTACTCAGGAGGCCGAGGCAGGAGAATCACTTAAACCCAGGAGATGGGAGTTGCAGTGAGCCAAGATTGTGCCATTGCACTCCAACCTGGGCAACAAGAGTGAAACTCCATCTCAAAAAAAAAAAAAGGAATGGTAAATTAAGGGCCCGGAGCGGTGGCTCACACCTGTGATCCAGCACTTTGGGAGGCTGAGATAGGCAGATCACCTGCAATCAGGAGTTCGAGACCAGCCTGGCCAACGTAGTGAAACCCTGTCTCTACTAAAAATACAAAAATTAGCTGGGCGTGGTGACAGGTGCCTGTAATCCCATCTACTCTGGAGGCTGAGGCACCAGAATTGCTTGAACTGGGAGGCAGAGGTTACAGTGAGCTGAGATGGCACCACTGCACTCCAGCCTGGGCGACTGAGCAAGATTCCGTCTTAAAAAAAAAAAAAAAAAAAAGAATGGCAAATTAGAAGGGAACATCCAAAAATAATCATGAGCTGTGACGGTTATTATTGAGTGTCAACTTGACTGTATTGAAGGATGCAAAGTATTGTTCCCGGGTTTGTTTGTGAGGGTGTTGCCAAAGGAGATTAATATTTGAGTCAGCGGATTGGGAGAGGCAGACCCACCCTCAATCAGGGTGGGCACCATCTAATCAGCTGCCAGTGCGGCTAGAATAAAGCAGGCAGGAGAAGATCTTGGAAGAGCGGACTTGCTGAGTCTTCCGGCCTTCATCTTTCTCCCGTGCTGGATGCTTTCTGCCCTTAAACATCTCACTCCAGTTTCTTCAGCTTTTGGACTCTTGGATTTACACCAGTGGATTGCCAGGCGCTCTCAGGCCTTTGCCACAGACTGAAGGCTGCACTGTCGGCTTCCCTACTTTTAAGGTTTTGGGACTCGGACTGGCTTCCTTGCTCCCCAGATTGCAGACAGCCTATTGTGGGACTTTACCTTGTGATCACGTGAGTCAATACTCCTTAATAAACTCCCCTTTATATATACATCTATCCTATTAGTTCAGTTCCTCTAGATAACCCTAATACATGAGCCTTTTCCTTTATCGTCCAAATTTTCCATATTTTTATTACTTTTAAAGGTTAAAAATTTTAGTGCATTATGCTCCAAAAGTCCATGGCCTACTCTGTATGAATACAGAAAATTTTAACAGCATTTATGAAACAAGTTAATACTGGCAACATTATTAACCCGACCACCCAAGTAGGTTCCAAATCCCAGCCATCATTACACTCTTTCATCTACCAAATCTAATCAGTTAACAAATCCTATCAATTCTTCACTTTTTAAATAAACCCTTTTTCATTCACACTAACTAGAACCACCCTATTTTCAAACAAAGAAATTAAGGCTGCTGAAAATAGTAGAAATTAGGATAAATATAAAAGACTTTCTTCCTATTTTTAATTGCTCTAAAACACTGGCTAGATGAAACCCCGTGTCTACTAAAAATCCAAAAAAAAAAAATTAACCAGGTATGTGGTAGGCGTCTGTAATCCCAGCTACTTGGGAGGCTAAAGGCGGGAGAATCACTTGAACCCAGGAGGTGAAGGTTCCAGTGAGCTGAGATCGCACCACTGCACTCCAGCCTGGGCAACAAGAGCAAAACTCCATCTCAAAAAATAAACAAACAAACAAACAAATAAATAAGCCGAGCACGGTGGTTCACGCTTGTAAATCCCAGCACTCTGGGAGGCTGACGTGGGCAGATCACTTGAGGTCAGGAGTTCGAGACCAGCCTGGCCAACACAGTGAAACCCCGTCTTTACTAAAAACACAAAAATTAGCCCAGTGTGGTGGCGCGTGCCTGTGATCCCAGCTACTCGAGAGGCTGAGACAGGAGAATCACTTGAACCCGGGAGGCACAGGTTGCAATGTGCCGAGATCACGCCATTGCACTCCAGCCTCAGAGACAGAACAAGACTCTATCTCAAAAAATAAAAAATAAAAATAAATAAATAAATAACAAAGCATTACAAAGTTTATAAGAGAGAGAAAATATTTGATGAATAACAAAGTATTTGACAATTATATCACAAAGGATGGGTGGGAGGAAACAGAATTATATGTAAGGTTCTACCATATGAAATATTAGACAACACACCATCATTCACAAAGTTCTACTAGACAGCAGTGCTCTAGCACAACCACTTTAGAACACAGTAAAAAGAGGCAACAATAGTGAAGATAGGGAAGACAGAAAAGAGAGAGGGAAGGAGACATTCTGGTAGGTAGATTAAACTGTACAATTAAGAGTTTACTCCTTGAGGGCAAGGACTCCAAAAAATAATAGTAAGATGAAATGATAAAACATAATCCAAAGGAGGATGGGGAAAAAATGTTCATGAAATTCAGGTACAAACTGATATCAATTCCCAAAATATATCTGACAACACAAAGAAAAATGCACGCCCTTCTGACCCAAAAAATTCTATTTCTAAGAATTTGTCAGCCGGGCACGGTGGCTCATGCCTGTAATCCCAGCACTTTGAGGCTGAGGCGGGCAGAACGCCCGAGGTCAGGAGCTCGAGACCAGCCTGGTCAACACGGTGAAACACCATCTCTACTAAAAATACAAAAATTAGCCAGGTGTGCGCCTGTAGTCCCAGCTACTCAGGAGGCTGAGGCAGGAGAATCGCCTGAACCCGGGAGTCAGAGGTTGCAGTGAGCCAAGATCACCCAACTGCACTCCAGCCTGGACAACAGAGCAAGACTTCTTCTCAAAAAAAATAAAAAATAATAATAAAAAAAGAATTTGTCCTACAGATAAATTCATATATAAGTGCACAAAGAAGTATATACAAGAATATTCAACCTAGCATCATTTAACAGCAAAAGGCTAGAAATGATCTAAATGTTTATAAATAAAAGCCTGATGAAATAATGCATGGTCCACTATAAACCTATGTGCACAACGACATACACGCACACACACACACATACATACATATATATATATGTATTTTTTGTTTTGGGGGGGGGGTGGGGACAGAGTCTCGCTCTGTCACCCAGGCTGCAGTGCAGTGGCGCAATCCTGGCTCACTGCAACCTCCACCTCCCAGGTTGAAGCAATTCTCCTGCCTCAGCCTCCCAAATAGTTGGGACTACAGGCGCACACCGACCGCTATACTCGGCTAATTTTTTTCTGTATTTTAGTAGAGACGGGGTTTCACCATGTTGCCCAGGCTGGTCTCGAACTTCTGAGCTCAGGCAATCTACACATCTCGGCCTCCCAAAGTGCTAGGATTAAAGGCATGAGCCAACAAGCCCAGCTGACATATGCATATATCTGAATATACATAGAATAGCTCTGGAATTATACAAAGAAACAACTGGATTTCTCTTGAGAAGAATGAACTGAGACAAACAGCAAGAAGACTGCTGACTGTATTCTCCTTACCATTTATAATTTTTATCATGTGCACATTATTGCCTGCAAAGAAAGAATGGAGTAGGGGAGAGAGGAGAGGAAAGAGAGACACATTCTGGTAGGTAAATTAAACCATACAATTACAGAGTTAGTTCCTTGAGGGCGAAGACTCCAAGCAGCAGCCTATACTAGCTCATGAAGAAGAAGAAAAATGTCAGTAAATTTCTTTTGGGTTAAACTAGCACTAATTTCATCTCAACTGCTACATGCCAGCCTCAATCAAAAAAATGTCAGATACTTCCTATTAAATAATACTAACAGAATAAAAATACATAAACTCACTAGAACAATACACGGGAAAAGAGGCAAGAGCAAAAACAAGTTTTCAACCAAGTTGTTTTGGAAGCAGATGTTTAGGTGATAACTTTGCTGCAGCCTGATCCTATGCTCCACCCAAGATTTCCTCATCTGCCCCAAAATAAGTTCTAGATTTCTATGGAAAGAATAAAGTCTTGTCATTCACATGTAAGCGATGAATATTTTGCTGTAGTTTTCAAATTCTCATATGCATCAACAAGCTTCTTCTTGTTTAACAAGCATCAAGATCAAAGAAGAAAGTTTCATTTCAGTTGAATATGAAATCTGGGTGTGCTCATTTCAAGCTCAACCCAGAACTGAGTATTTGTACAGAAAAAAATATATATACACGTTTTGTTGAAATAAATAAACTGTTTTTTTCAGTTTTGAAAATATCACTTTTTATGTACAGGTCTAGAATAGAGACCAAGAAATCGCCACACATTAATAATTCTGCTAGACCTATATTTGACACAGATCTTGTTACAGAAAAAGAAATTTTTGAAGCTCTCAGATAAAATTGTGTTAAGCTATATTTTTTTATATTGCCTTGCTTTATGGTTTTAGTAGCTTTTACTATAAACATTATAAATTTTCCTATTGTAAAAAATAACTTTACTAAGTTCATTTAAATTAAATATACCTTTAGAAAAAATAAATCCCATTTTGTCTTATATAAATTATTTAATCAAAACATTATGGTTGCCTTATAAGTTTTTAAAAATCTAAGAAAAGGGAAGAGATTAATTTCAAGAAAGGTAAGCTAAGCTTAACTGCACATTTTCCCCCAAAAAAAGTTAGTTAAAAATAACATGTTTAGTCTTAAAAGCTGGCTGGGGGTGTGCCTCTTGTACATACCCTAGATCACATAATATCTCATTAGCATCTTGTATACTAAAAACTGGGGATAAAACTATTGTTATCACTTAAACAAGGTAAAAAAAAATCATACAGGAATTTCTTTAGAAGGAAAAACTAAAGTTTCCTTTACTTCACTACTCACTTGCAATAATGATGATATCCTTAGGGGAGAGAGGAAAACCATACAAAATGAATAGGCTAATAAGATGGTCAAATAAACAGATTCATAGAGAAACCACTCGTACTCAAAAGAGCATAAATTATTACTAGAGCAATATATCTCAACTTCCTGGTGACAAATGCCTGGGTTCCCTGAGAAATGGAAACGATGCCAAGGAGTCTCCAGAACAAAAAGATTGGGAAAATCTGCGCTATAGAAATTAACGAGACAGGCTCTGGACTTAAGGACACTACACATATCCTTAGGCATGATACTGAGGTCTCTTCCCTGGGGAAACTGGCCCAAGAGAAGAAAAAAAACCTACTTTTGGGAGTCCCTGCGTCTTCTTTCTAGAGTAACATGCTCCAGACAAGCAGCCTGATCTAAACACAGAAAACATTTAATCAGCATTTTAATGTCTCACTTAAATATTAATAGAAAGTGGCCAGGCCAAGCGGCTCACGCTTATAATCCCAACATTCTGGCTGGTGGAGACAGGCGGATCACTTGAGGTCAGGAGTTCAAGACCAGCCTGGCCAACATGGTGAAACCCACCAAAATTAGCCAGGTGTAGTGGTGTGCCCCTGTAGTCGCAGCTACTCAGGGGGCTGAGGTGGGAGAATTGCTTGAACCCGGGAGGCGAAGGCTGAAGTGAGCCAAGATAGTGCCACTGCACTCCAGCCTGGGCAACGGAGCAAGACTCCATCTCAAAAAAAAAAAAACAAAAAACTTTTAGGCATTAACAGGACAAAGAACAAACAGCAAGGCAAGTGCTCTTGAAGAACTGAAGTATAATGGCCAAAATGTAAAAATCAATAAAACGAATACAAGATAAAAATAAATCTGATAGGCCGGGCGCTGTGGCTCACTCCTGTAATCCCAGCATTTGGGAGGCCAAGGCGGGCGGATCACCTGAGGTCAGGAGTTCGAGACCAGCCTGGCCAATTTGGTAAAACCCCGTCTCTACTAAAAATACAAAAAATTTAGCTGGGCGTGGTGGCGCGCGCCTACAGTCCCAGCTACTCGGGAGGCTGAGGCAGGAGACTTGCTTGAACCCGGGAGGCGGAGGTTGCAGTGAGCCGAGATCTCTCCACTGCACTCTAGCCTGGGCGACAGAGCGAGACTCCGTCTCAAATAAATAAATCTGATAGAAATAAAAACAGGCTGCCGGGCGCAGTGACTCACGCCTGTAATCCCAGCACTTTGGGAGGCCGAGGCGGGCAGATCACGAGGTCAGGAGATCAAGACCATCCTGGCTAACACAGTGAAACCCCGTCTCTACTAAAAATACAAAAAATTAGCCGGGCGAGGTGGCGGGCGCCTGTAGTCCCAGCTACTCGGGAGGCTGAGGCAGGAGAATGGCGTGAACCCCGGGGGGCGGAGCCTGCAGTGAGCCGAGATCTCGCCACTGCACTCCAGCCTGGGCGACAGCGAGACTCTGTCTCAAAAACAGACAAACAAAAAAAAAAAGAAAGAAAAAAAAGAAACAGGCCAGGCGTGAGTAATCCCAGCACTTTGGGAGGCCAAGGCAAAAGCATCACTTAAGGCCAGGAGTTCCAGACCAGCCTGGGCAATACAGCGAGACTCAGTCTCTATTTTTTAAAAGAAAATATATTTTGAAATTTTGAAAAATAATAAAAAAGAAATGCAAACAGATAAAGATACGGAAACTAGACAGAAATTGTTAAATTACAGATGTGCTCCAAGATATACCACAACTAGATAACACAGCTTCCAAAAAGACAAAAAACAAAGATAACAGAAAGGAGAAATAATAAAAGAAAAATTCCCAGAAATAGTCTCTAGACTGAAAAAGCCCACAGAGTAACCAGCACAGTGAACAGAAAACAAACAATGAAACACCTCACAACAAGGCAATCCTCATTTCAGAATGGTGGTAACCCTTCCACAGAGGACAGACACCATCACCAACAAAGGATTAAGAATCAGAATGGCATCCAAATTCTCAACAGCAATTCCAAAAGCTAGAAGATGAAGTGCTTTCAATACCCAGTGGAAAAATTATTTCCAACCTACAATTCTAATTCTATACCCAGTCAAACCGGCAAGTATAAAGACATCACTGAAGATATTCAAGGTCTGGGTATAACATATACCTCCCATGTATCCTCTCTCAAAAAATTATTGGAAAATGCACTCCAGCAAAACAACATCCAGAAATTAGAGTATCCAAAACAGGAGAGAAGTGAAGAGAATTCCCAGGGAAGTTCCCGGTTCTAATAGCTGTGCCACAGATGTAGAGATCAATGAGCTAATTTGGAATATGAGGATGAGGGACTCCAAAAGACATATCTCCAAGGAAAATAAACAAAAGTAACTCTCTGCTATGTTTTTAATTATTTACAGGAAGTTTCCATTATCAAAACTTTCTTAGGGATAAATTTGTGATAGGTACATAGAAAACGAAGCAATCAAAATGAAAAACAATTTTAACCTCAAAGACCACAAAAAGTTATTTAAAAAGAAAATATAACTGTAGTATCCAACAAGGCTCTACTGTAATCAATATTTACATGGTCATAATAACATTAATACTGATTTAACCAAAAGATGCTACACCTACAATGGAAGGATTCGGTAGGATGGTGATTAGAGAATTAAGTGTACATTTTCCACAGTAGCAAGTCACTACATAATACATAAAACTGAAAAAAAAAAAAAAAAAAAACAAAAAAAAAACAGCTCCTAAAGCAGTAGTATAGCATATTATTTAGAAATGTGTAGGCCAGGCACGGTGGCTCACGCCTGTAATTCCAGCATTTTGGGAGGCCAAGGCGGGTGGATCACTTGAGGCCAGGAGTTCGAGACCAGCCTGGCCAACACGGGGAAACCCTGCCTCTACTAAAAATACAAAAATTAGCAGGGAATGGTGCTACACACCTACAATCCCAGCTACTCAGGAGGCTGAGGCATAAGAATTGCTTGAACCCAAGAGGCAGAGGTTGCAGTGAGCTGAGATCCTGACATTGCACTCCAGCCTGGGTGACAGAGCGAGACTCTGTCTCAAAAAAAAGAAAGAAAGAAAAAGAAATGTGTAGGTAAACAGCCAAAGAAACCTCTAAGAGTTGAAAGTGGTTGTTTCTAGGGGGCAGGAAGAGGGAGTGGAGAAAGATGTGACAAGGGAACATTTTATTTGATAATAAGTTCAGTGCTATTTGACATTTTAAATTATGCACACGTAGTTTAAAAAAATAAATTTAAATTTAAAAATATAGTATAAAGACAAGCATGCTATTTTTGCCTTCAAGTAGTTTGGAAAAGGAAGTAGCTTACTTTCTCAACTTCCTTCCCTTCTACTGCTGATTTACCTATCATCTTAACCTACGCCCTTACCTCTTCCCCTCCTCAGAGAAAAAAATGTCCTTGTTTCTGAGATTTCCAGACTCTACCATGTACTGGATCCCATGCCTCTCGCATTTTCCATAACCTTGCTCCATCTACATTTACCATCTTCTCTTGAATTTACAATCTTTCATTCTATAAATCCTTTCCCTAAAAGCTATAAACAAGCTGAAGTTTTCCACATCCTGTAAATAACTGAAGCTTAAGCACACCCTTCACCCAGTTTTTTCACTTTCCTTCCGTCCACATTAAAGTACTTTATACTCATTACCTCTACTTCCTCATCCTCCACTTTGATTTGTGCCCCCAACATGCTTCTCAAACTACTTTCTCTCACAGATCATTGACTAATCTACATGCCAGATTCAAAGGCCTATTCTCCAGGCTCAGCCTACTTCACGACATTTGAAAATCTTTCCTATCTCTCCTTGAAATACAATCTTTCTTTTCGGCTTTCTCAACACTATTCTACCATTTCTCCTCCTACCACATTTCACAGGTTTCTTCACTGGCTTTTCTTTCTACCCTTAAAAATGCTTGTTTCCTCCCAGAGTTCTATCTTCAGCATTTTCCCTATCATTTTATCCACCCTAGTGATTAGTCATTTCGAGTGTTGCCCACATGTAAATGCCTAGCATGATGTACATGTTAAATGAATGTTTACTGAACTGCAATAAATGAGTCCTAATTTTTACCCCCAAGTTCAAAGTGTATCCCTGAGTTTTAAAATGTTATTTGCCACAATCTAGAAAATTATCTGAAGTTCCTGAGAGCACAAACCAAATACATCCACAACTGAGTTCATTTTCTTTTCCCAAATCTGTTCTCCTCACTGTTATCAATTAGAACCACCATCCAAACTATCACCCTCAACTCCCCGTTTCTCAATCCCTACATCCAACAGTTTGCCAAATCAGTCTTTTCAATCTTTTTTACTCTTGCCATTCCCACTGCCATTCCCCCAAAATTCAGGTGATCAATGCCTTTGTGAGTTTCTCCTATCTCAAGTCACACTCTACTCATTTTATATATATATATATATATATTCTATTTATTCTAAGAATATAAATACTAGTAATAATAACTGTGAGTGCCTAAAGCCTTGGATGAGAAGGAAGACAATGATGTGAAAATATCTGGCTGGGCGTGGTGGCTCACGCTTGCAATCCCAGCACTTTGGGAGGCCGAGGCGGACAGATCACGAGGTCAGGAGTTCAGGACCAGCCTGTCCAATATGGTGAAATCCCGTCTCTACTAAAAAAAAAAAAAAAAAGTACAAAAATCAGCCGGGCATGGTGGCACACGGCTGTAGTCCAGCTACTCAGGAGGCTGAGGCAGGAGAATGGCTTGAACCTGGGAGGCGGAGGTTGCAGTAAGCCGAGATCACACCACTGCACTCCAGCCTGGGCGACAGAGTAAGACTCCGATAAAAAAAAAAAAAAAGAAAATATCTGCCAGGCGCGGTGGCTCATGCCTGTAATCTCAGCACTTTGGGAGGCCGAGGCGGATGGACCGCCTGAGGTCAGGAGTTCGAGACCAGCCTGGCCAACATAGTGAAACCCTGTCTCTACTAAAAATACAAAAGTTAGCTGGGCGTGGTGGCAGGCGCCTGTAATCCCAGCTACTCAGGAGGTTGAGGCAGGAGAATCGCTTGAACCCAGGAGGCGGAGGTTACAATGAGCCAAGATCTGCCATTGCACTCCAGTCTGGGCAACAAGAGTGAAACTCCATCTCAAAAAAAAAAAAAAAGAAAATAAAATATCTAATATTGAGATTCCTATACCCCACACACAGATTACAAAGATTTTATTCCTTGAAACAATTATCTACGGTAAGTATCATTAGTATCCCCTTTTTACAAGTAAAGTGAACTTGCCTAAAGTTAAACTGCTAGCAAGTAAATGGCAACTCCAGGGTCTGAACCCTGACAGTCTGGCTCCAGAGTACATACTATTAACCATGGAATACTTTCTAATGTATATATTCTATTCAAAGTCATTCTGAAAACTTACGTCTCTCCCTTCTTTCTCTACTATTTCCGCTCTCCCCATCCCAACACCCTATTACCCTACATTTCAAGCCACAAAGAACTGAATATGATAGGCTTATTTTCACACCTCTAAGATCCAACTGCAAAGTTCTGTTCTTCCCTTTGTAATCCAATTCAAAATTCATCTCCTCTGAGGGAACCTCTATACCCATCCCCTGTGGAATTATTCACTCTCTAAGCCAGAAAACTCATCACATTATATGCTTA